>NC_000003.12:121281331-121584361 GCF_000001405.40 Homo sapiens | reverse complement strand
CCTCTCTTCATTTATTTGTTCAGGAATCCAGTCCATCTCATCTGGCAAATAGGCTCTTTTCTTTGCTTTGCTTTGCTTTGCTCTTCTTTTCTTTCCTTCCTTCCTTCCTTCCTTCCTTCCTTCCTTCCTTCCTTCCTTCCTTCCTTCCTTCCTTCCTCTCTCTCTGTCTCTCTCTCTTTTTTTAGAGACGGGGTCTTGCTCTATTGCCCAGGCTGAATGCTGTGGCACGATCATAGTTCATTGTAACCTTGAACTCTTGTGCTCCTGCAATCCTCTGGCTTCATCCTCCTGAGTAGCTAGGACTACAGGCACTATCACCCCTCCTGGCTAATTAAAAAACTTTTTCTTTCACAGAGATGGGGTTTCCTTACATTGCTCAGGCTGATGTTGAACTCCTGGGCTCAAGTGATCCTCCTGCCTTGGCCTCCCAAAGTGTTGGGATTACAGATGTGAACCACCGTGCCTGGTAGAGCTTTTTCTTTTATGGGATTTCTGAGGCTCTATTCACTACTTTGGGGAAAAGAAATCAAACGTGGTCAGCACAATGTGCTCACACCTGTAATCCCAGCACTTATGGGAGGCCAAGGTAAGAGCATCACATGACTGGAGGAGTTGGAGACCAGCCTGGGGAGTGTAGGGAGACCCTGTCTCTATGAAAAATTAAAAAATTAGCTGGGCATGGTTGCATGTACCTGTGGTCCCAACTATTCTTGAGGCTGAGGTGGGAGGATTGCTTGAGCCAGGAGGTTGAGGCTGTAGTGAACCATGATTGTCACCGCATAATAACTATTCTTGAGGCTGAGGTGGGAGAATTGCCTGAGCCTGGGAGGTTGAGGCTGCAGTGAACCATAATTGTGTCACTGCACAATCATGTGTCAGCCTGGGTGACAGAGTGAGACCCTGTCTCAAAATAAAATAAAATAAAATAAAATAAAACAAAATAAAAATAAATATGTATAGAAGATTGAAAAAGTATAGTTTTTTAATGGCAATGGAAAGGAAAAGGGTTTTTTCTTTAAAAATGCAATTATCAGCCAGGTGTGGTGACTCACACCTGTAATCCCAGCACTTTGGGAGGCTGAGGCAGGTGAATCACTTGAAGTCAGGAGTTTGAGACCAGCCTGGCCAACACGGCAAAACCCTGTCTCCACTAAAACTACAAAAATTAGCCAGGCATAGTGGTGCATGCCTGTAATCCCAGCTACTAGGGAGGCTGAGGCACGAGAATTGCTTGAACCCTGGAGGTGGAGGTTGCAGTGAACCGAGATCATTGCATTGCACTCTAGCCTGGGTGACAGAGCAAGATTCTGTCTCAAAAAAAAAAAAAAAAAAAAAATCCCGCAATTATCAAAATTTGGCCATGCACAGTGGCTCACACCTATAATCCCAGCACTTTGGGAGGCCAAGGCAGGAAAATTGCTTGAGGCCAGGAATTTAAGACCAGCCTGAGAAATATAATGAGACCCTGTCTCTACAGAAAATGTTTAAAAATTAGGTGGGCATGGTAGCACATGCCTGTGGTCCCAGCTATGGGAGGCTGAGGTGGGAGGATCACTTTAACCCAGGAGATCAAGGCTATTGTGAGCTACTATCATGTCACTGCACTCCAGCATGGGCAACAGAGAGAGACCCTGGCTCTAGAAAAATAAATAAAATAAAAGTAAAAGGAGGAAAGGTCCTCACTTGGACCTCCCTTCTTGTACTTAAAAGTCCATAATACCAATACTAAAATCAGGCAAAAATAAACACTATAGATAAAACTATAGGCAATGCCACTTACGAACGTAGATGAAAATAACCTATATAAAACATATTTAATCCCACTTTAAATGTACATATTTCTAAACTTATAATATCTTATTTTTTCAGTTCATATATATATGTGAAATCCAATATACTTAGAAATATTGATTTTTTTCTGCTCACATTTAATAAAATTATTCTACTCAAACTGTATTTACCTTAGATAGCCATATCTTAAATATTCTGAGCCTGTTCTTTTAATTAAATAACATCGTTTTACCAGGCACTAATTCTTTACTTTCAAATAAGTAGTTTGTGATACAATATTTCTGGAATGTGTCTGTGGAATACTGTTACTGGGAATTTTGTTCTAAGCCACAGGAAACTTATTTATATAATATTAAGATAACCACTTTCCCCCCACACTCATCCCATAGGGGTGCATTTGTGACTTCCATAACCTAACTACTTACTGTAAATTGTTTAAAAATAACAATTTACAAACTGTAAATTGTTTAAAAATAAGAACTTGATTTATTCATTTATTTGGAAAAGCAATATGTACAAATAGTACAAAATTGAAACCATCCCTGTTCCCCAACCACCCAATTACTCTCTAGAGCTGTTCTGTTCAATACAGTAGCCACTGCTTCAAATGACTATTAATCATGGGAAATGTGGCTAGTTCCACTGAGGAGCTGATTTTTTTTTTTTACAGAGTCTCCCTCACCAGCCCAGGCTGGATTGCAGTGCAGTTGCTTGATTATAGCTCACTGCAACTGCCATCTCCCTGGCTCAAGTGATTCTCCCACCTCAGCCTCCCGAGTAGCTGGGACTAGAGGTGCACACACCATGCCTGGCTAATTTTTGTGTGTGTGTGTGTAGAGATGAGGTTTTGCTACGTTGTCCAGGCTGGTCTCAAACCCCTGGGCTCAAGTCATCCTCCCACCTCCACCTCCCAAAGTGCTAGAATTACAGGTATGAGCCACTGTGCCTGTAATTTTTAATTTTATTAAATGTTAATTTAAAATTAAAAACTGATAGTGCAATTATTGGGAAACTAGTATGCTTGGAACAACTTGGGTTCGTCAACCTTTTTTCAACTGTGATTTTATGAAATCTAAATGCAGATCAAGTATTTCTCATGAAATATTTAGCATCTAGACTGAGATATGCAAAGTGTAAAGTATTCACTGGATTTTAAAGTCTTGCTATGAACAAAGAATGTAAACCATCTCATTGGATTATATTTTGTCTGCTTAACAAAATTGTTACATTTTATTAATGTGTTGCATTCAATGTCATATATACATTGTTTAATTACCTATTAAAAGTAAAGTTAGAAGCTTTAAACTTACTATTTTGGCCAGGCATGGTGGCTCACACCTGTAATCCCAGCACTTTGGGCAGACCACTTGAGGTCAGGAGTTTGAGACCAGCCTAGCCAACATGGCGAAACCCCATCTTTACTAAAAATACAAAAATTAGCCTGGAGTGGTGATGTGTGCCTGTAAGCCCAGCTACTTGAGGCACGAGAGTCGCTTGAACCCGGGAGGCAGAGGTTGCAGTGAGCTGAGATCATGCCATTGCACTCCTGGGCAACAGAGCGAGACTCGGCCTCAAAAAAGAAATAATAATAATAAACTTGCTATCTATTTGTGTGTATCTAAACACAACATATAATAAAAGTAAATTAAATAAAAAACATATAGATGATACAGTAAAGGAAGCAGTGGGTTTTTGTGTGTGTTTTTAGCTTTTTACATACTTTTGAATCATTAGCTTGCTTCTGTATTTATTCAAAATGTCCCTTGAAATAGGACTGTCTCTACTAAAAATACAAAAAATTAGCCAGGTGTGGTGGCACACACCTGTAATCCCAGCTACTCAGGAGGCTGATGCAGGAGAATCACTTGAACCCAGGAGGCGGAGGTTGCGGTGAGTCAAGTCCGCACCACTGCACTCCAACCTGGGCGAAAAAGTGAGACTTCATCTCAAAAAAAAAAAAAAAATATATATATATACACACACACACACACACACACACACACTTTTCTTTATAACTCAAAATTATGATTTATGAATATATAGAGAGTAGACTACAAAAATTATGAGAACCTATTGCAATGACAACCTCAGAGAGGCAGTAGAATGGAACTGATAGAAATGGTTGAGTACTTTTGTTTTACCTCCATTATCTTAATTTATTTTGTTTATTTATTTTATTATTATTTTTAGAGATGAGGTCAGGTGTTCGAGACCAGCCTGACCAACATGGTGAAACTCCATCTCTACTAAAAATACAAAAATTAGCTGGGCATGGTGGTGCATGCCTGTAATCCCAGCTACTCGGTAGGCTGAGGCAGGGGAATCACTTGAACACGGGAGGCGGAGGTTGCAGTAAGATAAGGTCTTGCTCTGTCTTAGGAGTTCGAGACCAGTCTGGACCACATGGTGAAATCCCGTCTCTACAAAAACATGGTGAAATCCCGTCTCTACAAAAAAGGGTGTAGTGGCACGCACCTGTATTCCCAGCTACTCGGGAGGCTGAGGTGGGAGAATCAGTTGAACCTGGGAGGTTGAGGCTGCAGTAAGCTGAGACCGCGCCACTGCACTCCAGCTTGGATAACAGAGTGAAACCTGTCTCAAAAAAAAAAAAAAAAAAAAAAAAAAGAAAAGAAAAGAAAAGAAAAAGAAAGAAAGAAAGAAAATATAAATTTGATTTTGGAAGGCCAGGTGCGGTGGCTCATGCCTGTAATCCCAGCACTTTGGGATGCCAAGGCGGGCAGATCACGAGGTCTCGCTATGTTGCCCAGGCTGGTGTCTAACACCTGGGCTCAAGGGATCCTCCTGCCTCAGCCTTCACAGTAGCTGGGACTAAATGTGCACCACCATACCCAGCTCATCAGCCTCCTGATTCTATTCCAGGAAAACCCATCTCAATCAAATATGACCAACATACAAGATATTTAGTCCTAGATTTAGGTCTGTTATATTCACACCTGGTAACTACCCTCTTAGGGAAGGACAAGTGGGCTCCCTGAGAAGAGATACAGACTACAGAGAGGGCACAGGGGAACAGAGCTTGCTGGAACTGGCTTGGTCCTGTGGTATCAAGGACACGCTGGAATCACTGATGCTGATTAAAATATGTGGCTGAGGAGTCACAAAGGATACCCTATTCATCAGAGTACTGTGGAAATAAACATTATATACTTGAAAGTATTTTCAGTCAGCCTTGGCTAAAATGAAAATTAAAGAAACTATAGATCAGTTTGGTATCAGATAAGGAAAAATAAAAAGCCTGGAACCAGGATATACTTTGTGTTACAAATACTTCAATAATTATAAATGCAGACCTAAGTTATTTTTTAGGGCAATGTGATAAGGAAGATTAAGTCAAGGAAACATCATATATGGACAACTACCAATAATATCCCAGGAAAACTCACATCCATGTGGGGCGCATTTCTTCCAGAAATTTAAATGTATACATGCTGTCTTCTGAAAACTTTGATCTATTTCTTATTCAATTAGCTCAAGGAGTCCATAATATGCAAGTTGCACTGTGGAAAAGTTTTAAGCAGTAATCTTGATATATGTTCAACAGTAGAAATTTTGCTTTTAAAACAGTACTTTTCAGGCCGGGCACGGTGGCTCACGCCTTTAATTCCAGCACTTTGGGAGGCCAAGGCAGGTGGATCACGAGGTCAGGAGAACAAGACCATCCTGTCTAACATGGTGAAACCCCATATCTACTAAAAATACAAAAAAAAAAAAAATAGCTGGGTGTGGTGGCGGGTGCCTGCAGTCCCAGCTACTCAGGAGGCTGAGGCAGGAGAATGGCATGAACCTGGGAGGCAGAACTTGCAGTGAGCCGAGATCGCGCCCCTGCCCTCCAGCCTGGGCAACAGAGCGAGACTCTGTTTAAAAAAAAAAAAAAAAAGATAAAACTATACTTTTCTAGGAATGTGATTATGAACCTATTACCCAAACTCTTCACCTCAATTTCTTTTTTAAAATTTTTTAATTTTTTAAATACAGATGGGGTCTTGCTATGTTGCTAAGGCTAATCTCAAACTCCTTGGCTCAAGTGATCCTCCGCACCTCAGCCTCCCAAAGTGCTAGAATTATAGGTGGAAGCCACCACACCCAGCCCACCTCAGTTTCATCAAGCATAAAAGGGGAATGTGGCCAGATGTGGTGGCTCACACCTGTAATCCCAGCACTTCGGGAGGCTGAGGTGGGTGGATCACCTGAGGTCAGGAGTTCGAGATCAGCCTGACGAACATGGAGAAACCCCATCTCTACTAAAAATACAAAATTAGCCAGGTATGGTGGCGCATGCCTGTAATCCCAGCTACTCTGGAGGCTGAGGCAGGAGAATCACTTGAACCTGGGAGGCAGGAGGTTGCAGTGAGCCAAGATTGCGCCATTGCACTCCAGCCTGGGCAACAAGAGTGAAACTCTGTCTCAAAAAAAAAAAAAAAAAAAAAAAGTGGGGTAGGGGGAATGTTAAGAGTACGTACTTTTGGCCAGGTGTGGTGGCTCACGCCTGTATTCCCAGCACTTTGGGAGGCCAAGGCGAGCGGATCGCTTGAAGTCAGAAGTTTGAGACCAGCCTGGCCAACATGGTGAAACCCTGTCTCTACCAAAAATACAAAAATTAGCCAGATATGGTGGCAAGCACCTGTAATCCCAGCTACTCAAAAGGCTGAGGTAGGAGAATCGCTTGAACCCCAGGAGGCAGAAGTTGCAGTGAGCTGAGATTATGCCAGTGCACTCCAGCCTGGGCAACAGAATGAGACCTTGCCACACACACAAAAATGAATACCTACTTTATAATAGGGTTTGTAAATTTATTACATGAATGTATTAATGTAAGGCACTAATTATATTGATTTATTAATGTAAAGGCATTAATACACTACAATAATGTGTGGCACATTGTATGCACAACATACCTCTCTTTTGTAAATTAATTTTATTTTAGTTTAGAGTATGTCACTGAAAATGAAGTCTTTTCAGCAGGGTAATGTGACATGTAAAATATACTTTTCTGGCCAGGTGTGGTGGCTCATGCTTGTAATCCCAGCACTTTGGGAGGCCAAGGCAGGCGGGCGGATCACTTGAGGTCACGAGTTCAAGACCAGCCTGGTCAACATGGTGAAACCCTGTCTCTACTAAAAATACAAAAAATTAGCTGGTGTGGTGGCACACACCTGTAATCCCAGCTACTCAGGAGGCTGAGGCAGGAGAATCGCTTGAACCCAGGAGGTGGAGGTTGCAGTGAGCCAAGACCACGCCACTGCACTCCAGCCTGGGAGAAAAAGTGAGACTCCATTTAAAAAAAAAAAAATATATATATATATATATATATATATATATATATGTACATGTAGATATATATATATATACATACACACATACATATATACACAACACACTTTTCTTTATAACTCAAAATTATAATTTATGAATATATAGAGAGTAGACTACAAAAATTATGAGAAACCTATTGTAATGACAACCTCAGAGAGGAGATAGAATGGAACTGATAGAAATGGTCATCAAGTACTTTTGTTTTATCTCCATTATCTTAATTTATTTTATTATTATTTTTAGAGACAAGGTCTTGCTCTGTCTTAGGAGTTTGAGAACAGTCTGGACCACATGGTGAAATCTCGTCTCTACAAAAGAGGGTGTAGTGGCACGCACCTGTAGTCGCAGCTACTCGGGAGGCTGAGGTGGGAGGATCAGTTGAACCTGGGAGGTTGAGGCTGCAGTAAGCCGAGACCGTGCCACTGCACTCCAGCTTGGATAACAGAGTGAAACCTGTCTCAAAAAAAGAAAAGGAAAGAAAGAAAGAGAAAAAGAAAGAAAGAAAGAAAGAAAGAAAGAAAGAAAGAAAAAGAAAGAAAGAGAAAGAAAGAAAAAGAAAGAGAAAGAAAGAACAATGAGAATATAAATTTGAGTTTGGAAGGTCAGGCGTGGTGGCTCATGCCTGTAATCCCAGCACTTTGGGAGGCTGAGGCGGCTAGATCACAAGGTCAGGCATTTCAGACCAGCCTGACCAACATGGTGAAATCCTGTCTCTACTAAAAATACAAAAATTAGCTGGGCATGGTGGCGCACACCTGTAATCCCAGCTACTCGGTAGGCTGAGGCAGGGGAATCACTTGAACTCAGGAGGCAGAGGTTGCGGTGAGTCGAGATCACACTACTGCACTCCAGCCTGGGTGAAAGAGCAAGGCTCCATCTCAGAAATAAATAAATAAATAAATTGAGTTTGGAAATAGACACACTTTAGCCACTGGACCATCCAAACCACCATAATCTCAGGGAACACATATGTCCATTATTATTAGAAAATTTGGTTTGGGCACTGTTGATGACATCAGTAATTTCAGCATTTAGGGAGGCAAAGCATTCTGCTTGACCTTGGGAGTCAAGACCAGCCTGGACAACATAGTGAGACCCCCATTCTCCACAAAAAGGAAAAAAAAAAGGAGAAAATTTGGCAAAACATAAATGTCTGTTTACGTGGAGGGTCTCAGTTTTCACATTTATAAAATAAAAAAGAATAGCTTTATTTTATTGAGTCACTTCACAGATTATGTACAATGAGACCTTATTTTCCTCTTCCTTTTCTCTTTGTCCTACATTTATTTCATTTATTTTCAACCACACTTTTTTTTTAATGTTTGAGACAGAGTCTCACCGGAACACCCAGGCTAGAGTGCAATGGCTCAATCTCAGCTCACTGCAACCTCCACTCCACAGGTTCAAGCGATTCTCCTGCCTCAGCCTCCCAAGTAGCTGAGACTACAGGCGCTCACCACCATGCTGGCTAATTTTTTTACTTTTATTAGAGATGGGGTTTCACCATATCAGCCACACTGGTCTCAAACTCCTGCCCTCAAATGATCCACCCACCTCGGTCTCCCAAAGTGCTGGGATTACAGGCATGAGGCACTGTGCCCAACCTAGCCACACCTTCTTAATTGAGCCAGAGAGTGACACTCTGAAGTGATGATGCCCCCCACTCAAGAGGCCGTGCATGCTTCTGTGCTCGCTCTCATGCCTGCCCTCTCTCTGTCTCACCCACTCTCTCCCTCCAAGCCTGGACTAGCCTTCTAGAGGATGAGAGACTATAGCGAAAAGAGCTCATATTCTGCAACATAGGCTACTTTAAATGAGTTTACAGCTAGTCAACCCTCAAGCATGCAAGAGATGCCAGCCAAGATCAGAAATGGCCAGCTGGCTTGTAGATTTTTTTCTTTTTCTTTTTTTTTTTTTTGAAATGGAGTCTCGCTCTGTCGCCAGGCTGGAGTGCAGTGGCACGATCTTGGCTCACTGCAATCTCTGTCTCCCAGGTTTAAGAGATTCTCCTGCCACAGCCTCCTGAGTAGCTGGGACTACAGGCACACGCCACCACGCTCAGCTAATTTTTGTATTTTTAGTAGAGATGGGGGGTCTCACCATGTTGGCCAGGATGATCTCGATCTCTTGACCCTGTGATCCGCCTGCCTCGGCCTCCCAAAGTGCCGAGATTACAGGCGTGAGCTACTGCACCTGGCCTGGCTTGTAGATTGATAAACAACAACAAATACTTATTTTTTTAAAACCACTGAAATTGTGTGAAACAGCAATGACTAATTTGTACATACATTTGGTCTTCAAACATATCAATTTTCTGAACTTTCTTCTGTTCTCTCAGTTCTCACCATGTTCCTGCAGCCTCTATTTCCACATTACCATTCTGCTGGGGATTTTCTGCAAAATTCTTAGCCATGTACTGTGTGAGATGTAAGAAATAACAATTCTATTTGGTGTGTAACATATTCTTCCACATCTCCTAAATCCGGGGTCCCTAATCCCCTGGGTCACAAACTGGTATGGGTCCATGGCCTGTTAGGAACTGGTCCGCACAGCAGGAGGTGAGCAGCGAATGAGTCAGCGAAGCTTTATCTGTATTTACAGTCGCTCCCCATAGCTCACATTATTGCCAGAGCTCCGCCTCCTGTCAGATCAGCTGGTAGCATTAGATTCTCATAGGAGCATGAATCCTATTGTGCACTGCACAGGTGAGGGATCTAAGTTGCATGCTCATTATGAGAATCTAATGCCTGGTGATCTGTCACTGTCTCCCATCAGCCACAGATGGGAGCATCTTGTTACAGGAAAACAAGCTCAGGTCTCCTACTGATTCTACATTATGGTGAGTTGCATAATTATTTCATTATATATTACAATGTAATAATAATAGAAATAAAATGTGCAATAAATGTAATGTCCTTGGATCATCCCAAAATCAGCCCCCCAACCAGTCCGTGGAAAAACTGTCTTCCACAAACCAGTCCCTGGTGCCAAAAAGGTTGGAGACTGCTGCCCTGAATGCTTCTGGAAAGAGCTTTTCATACCTTTCAGTAAATATATTTATTTTATAAGATGGGGTCTCACTATATTGCCTAGGCTGGTCTTGAACTGGTAAGTCTATTTTTAATTTTTGAGGTACCATCATACTGTTTTTCACAGCGGCAGTGCCATTTTACATTCCTGCAAACATTCTGATTTCTCCCCATCCTCACCGACACTTGTTCTTTTCTGTTTCTTTGATAGTTGTCATCCTAACGGGTATGGTTTTGATTTTCTTTCCCCTAATAATTAATGTTGCTGAGCATCTTTCATGGATTTGTCCATTTGTATATCTTCTTTGGAGAAAGATCTATTCAAGTTTTTTGCCTTTTTTTTTTTTTTTTTTTTTTTTGAGATGGAGTTTTGCTCTTGTTGCCCAGGCTGGAGTGCAATGGCGTGATCTCGGCTCACTGCAACCTCTGCCTCCTGGGTTCAAGTGATTCTCCTGCCTCAGCCTCCCGAGTAGCTGGGATTACAGGCATGCACCACCACACCCAGCTAATTTTGTATTTTTAGTAGAGACAGGGTTTCTCCATGTTGGTCAGGCTGATCTTGAACTCCTGACCTCAGGTTTTTGCCCATTTTTAATTGGATTTTTTTTATTGTTGTTGAGTTCTAGTTTTGTATATATTATAGCTATTAACCCCTTATTAGATAAATGCTTTGCAAATATTTTCTCCCACTACATAGTTTGCCATTTTACTTTTTTTTTTCTTTTTTGAGACAGAGTCTCTCTCTCTCTGTCATCCAAGCTGGAGTGCAGTGGCGTGATCTCTGCTGCAGTCTCTGTCTCCCAAGTTCAAGCGATTCTCCCACCGCAGCCTCCCAAGTAGCTGAGATTACAGGCGCCTGCCACCACGCCTGGCTAATTTTTGTATTTTTAGTAGAGACAGGGTTTCACCATGTTGGCCAGGCTGCTCTAGAACTCCTGACCTCAGGTGATCCACGCATCTCGGCCTTGCAAAGTGCTGGGATTACAGGCATGAGCCACCATGCCCGGCCCCATTTCACTCTTTTGATTGTGTCCTTTGATCATACAAGTTTTTATTTTTAATGTAGTCTAATTTATCTATTTTTATTTTGTTGCCTGTGCTTTTGGTGTCATATCCAAGAAACCATTGCTAAATCAAATGTCATAAAGCTTTTCCTCTATGTTTTTTCTATGAGCTTTGCAGTTTTAGCTTTTGTGTTTAGGACTTGATCCATTTTAATTTTTGCATGTGGTAAGGTAAGGATCCAGCATCATTCTTTCACATGTGGATATTCAGTTTTCCCAACACCATTTGTTTCAGAGACTGTCCTCTCCCAATTGAATGGCCTTAGCACCCTTGTTGACTATATGTGCAAGGACGTATTTCTGGACTTTGCTCTCTTCTATTGGTCTATATATCTGTCTTTATGCCAGCACCACACTCTTTGATTACTGTAATTTGTAATAAATGTTGAGATTGTGTAATATGAGGCCTCCAGCTTTGTTCATCTGTTCATCTTTTTCAACATTATTTTGGCTATTTGGGATTCCTTGAGACTTTATATAAATTTTTGGATAGACTTTTTTTAGTTTCTGCAAAAAGCACCATTGGGATTTTTATAGGGATTGCATTAAATCTTTAAATTGCTTAGGTAGTATTGACACATTAATAATATTAAGCCTGGCCGGGCAGTGGTGGCTCATGCCTGTAATCCCAGCACTTTGGAAGGCCGAGGCGCGTGGATCACCCAAGGTCAGGAGTTCGAGCCCATCTAGCCTGATCAACATGGTGAAACCCTGTCTCTACTAAAAATACAAAAATTAGCCGGGTGTGGTAGCGCCTGCCTGTAATCCCAGCTATTTGGGAGGCTGAGGCAGGAGAATCGCTTGATCCTGGGAGGCGTAGGTTGCAGTGATCCGAGATCGCTCCATTGCACTCCAGCCTGGGCAACAAGAGCGAAACTCCGTCTTTAAAAAAAAAAAAAAAAAAAAACAACAATAATAATAAAAATATTAAAGCTGGCCAGGCGAGGTGGCTCATGCCTGTAATCCCAGGACTTTGGGAAGCAGAGGCAGGCGGATCACAAGGTCAGGAGTCAGCCGGGTGTGGTGGCTCACGCCTATAATCCCAGTACTTTGAGAGGCCAAGGCAGGTGGATCACCAGAGGTCAGGAGATCCTAGACCATCCTGGCTAACACGGTGAAACCCCTTCTCTACTAAAAATACAAAAAAATTAGCCAGGCATGGTGCCACATGCCTGTAATCCCAGCTACTCGGGAGGCTGAGGCAGGAGAATTGCTTGAACCTGGGAGACGGAGGTTGCAGTGAGCTGAGATCGCACCATTGCACTCCAGCCTGGGCAACAAGAGCGGAAACTCCATCTCAAAAACAAACAAACAAACAAAACCCTAAAGGTCAGGAGTTTGAGACCAGCCTGGCCAATATGGTGAAACCCCATCTCTACTAAAAATACAAAAAAAAAAAAAAAAAAAAAAAAATTTGCCGGGCATGGTGGTGCATGCCTGTAGTCCCAGCTACCTGGGAGGCTGAGGCAGAAGAATCACTTGAACCCGGGAGGTGGAGTTTGCAATGAGCCAAGATTGTGACACTGCACTGCCAGCCTGGGTGACAGAGCAAGACTGTCTCAAAAAATAATAATAATAATAATAATAATATTAAGCCTTCCCATTTATGCACATGGAGTGTTTTTCCATTTGTGTCTTTATTTCAGCAACATTTTATAGTTTTCAATGGACAAGTCTTTCACATCCTTAGTTAAGTTTATTTCTTAGTACCTAATTATTTTTGATGCTATTGTAAATGGAGTTATTTTTATAATTTTCTTTTCTGATTGCTTATTAGTGTATAGAAAAACCAGATTTTTATACAGTTTTACATATTTTTAAAGGTAAACATTGTATACAAACAATGTTTGGGAAATCTCCAGGATAAAATATCAAATAACAAATATATATTTCAGAACAATTCACTAAGATCCACCTTATATAAATGAATCTTCTTATACATGTATACAATACTACTCTGAATAATGAGCTTTTGTTTGTTTGTTTGTTTTCATTTTCCTTCCATATTGGGCCACAATATACCTGCCTTGGAAAAGGAGATTTCTCAGTTTCTATCTGTCTATGTTTCAGATCTTTTCTCCTAGAAAAACATGCTCACTTGCTCTATATATTATATTCTTAGCTTATCTCTCATAATTTGAATCAACCATGGGCCAAAGGCCCATTTGATTTGAAATGTATTTCTCCTTTTATGATGGGAAGACTTTTTGAATAGATTTTTTAAAACAATCAATAGCTGCCTTAAAACAAATGCAAAATGCAATTGTAGGGCTGCATGAGAATGGGGCAGTAGAAAAGGAAAGAGGACAAAGAAGGATGATACTCACTGGGACTAGCTGGATCCTGTGGTGGTATCACCTTCATGTTGGAATAATTCCTATTGATGAAAGGGTCTGGCTGGGGATTCTCTGGGGCCATTCTGTTCCTCATGGTTTCTGAAATCTGAGATGGAAGGCCTATGAGATAGGGAATGCTGATGAGGAATTCATTCGCTGGATAGCAATGTTTTCAAGGAGCCTGGGCTTGATGTATGACCTCTGGCAAGTGAGGTTAACCCCCAATTCCTCTACCTCAGCTGGAAAATGATTCATATTTTATACCATAGAGAAATACTCTAGCTGTACTTGTCAAAAATGAAACTTTAGAAATAACAAAAGAAATCCTGTGTCAATATCTTTGTGACTCAAAGTAGAGGGATATTTCTTTGATGAGATTGTTAAAGTGCAATCTATACACGAAAAGATAGAGATCAAATGACCACAGATTTCTCATCAGAAACAAAGACAGTTCTTTTAGCACTTCAAAGATTTTGTACCACTGTCAACTTAGATTGTTTTTTACACCACTTGCCATCACTCCCAATCAACTCAGATTCCGTATCCAGGGAAAATATCTTTCAGGAAAGAAGGTGAAATGAAGACATTCTCTGAACTATGAGAATCTGTGGCCAGTAGTCCTGTTCTGTGGAGTATTAAAGAAAATTCTTCCTAAGAGGGAAAATTGGAACTTCAAGAATAAAGGAAAAGCCACACATATGGTAAATATCTGCTTACATATAATAGGTCTTAAATGTTTAAAAGCTATTTGGAATATATATGAAGATTGAAAGCAAAAATTACCATGTTGTTTACTGGTTTTGTTTTGTTTACTTTTAATTTTGAACTAATTTCAGATTCACAAGAAATTGCAAAATAATATATATGGTTAAGGTGCTGCACACACTTCAGCTAGCCTCCCTCAATGGTGACATCTTGCATGTTATTTTACTTTTTCACTCTTATTCTATAACAAATGTACAGGGGAATAAATTTAGAAGAGCTTCTTAATTCATAAACCAATATTTTGCAAATGACCAGTATGTAATGTTACAAAATCCTGCATGGGTAAAAGATCCACTCAAAGTTCAATGTAGACCAATGGATTTTAATGTCACAGAATTTGGAAAGTTCATTCATATGATTTCAAATTTCACATTGCAGGACGGGCATGGTGGCTCACGCCTGTAATCTCAGCACTTTGAAAGGCCGAGGAGGGTGAATTACTTGAGGTCAGGAGTTTGAGACCAGCCTGACCAACATGGTAAAGCCCCATCTCTACTAAGAATACGAAAATTAGCTGGGCGTGGTGGCACGCACCTGTAGTCCCAGCTACTAGGGAGGCTGAGGCAGAAGAATCGCTTGAACCCAGGAGGCAGAGGTTGCAGTGAGCTGAGATCATGTCACTGCACTCCAGCCTGGGCGACAGAGCAAGACTCCGTCTCAAAAAAAAAAAAAAAAAAAAAGTTTTCACATTGCAACTCATCTTTAAGAAACTGCTACTTGTTGAGTTTGTGTTGTAATTTCAAAGAATATCCACAATTATTTCAAAGGCTACAAGAATACTCCTTTTTCTAGCATCATATCTGTATGAGGTCAGATTTTCTTCTTACACTTCAATAGAGTAATGCATCAGAAAAGGTGACTGCAAAAGCAGGAGAGAATTCTGCCATCTTCCATTAAGCCCTAAAGTACTAAAATGTAAAACAATGCCATTGGTCTCACAATTTTTTTTTGTGTGTGGAAAATATAGTTAACACGTCACGCATTTATCATTTTATTTTGAAAGGAATGAATAAATATATTTTAATCTCAGTTTTCACTTTGAATATGGTAAATATCTAGGTATATCCTATAGAAACAAAAGTTCTTTGGAGTCCTTAACAATTTTTAAGAATATAAAGAGGTTCTGAGACCAAAAAATTGGAACAGCAATAACAACAGATGGCCTAAGGCTTAGCATTTAATTGAAAAGAAATTAAACTTCACTAAGCATCTGTTCTTCAGTACAATCCTAAGAGTAAATAAATGATGCAGTAACATTCAGTAGCAACATTAGGATACCGTCAGACATCCAAGTGCTTCATATACATGATTCATGTGATCCTCGACAAACACATGGGGTAATGGACAATTATTATCAACCTCTTAAAGATGAAGAGACATGAGATCTAAAAGTTTGGCCAGGTAGAGAAGAAGCATAGCTGGGAATGAATCAGGTCTTACTGACTCTTGTACACACAGTCTAAACCCTGGCCCACTTTCCTGGGATGGGCATTGAGAGTCTGTAGCTTAAACTAGCATATTAAAGAAACAAAGAAGCAAACGATTCAACTGGTCTACAGTGCTTTCCCTGATCGAGGCTATCAAGAGCATAAGGCAGAATTGCCACTAGCAGAACCACATTTACTCAGCAATTTTTTATTGCCTTCTTCCTACAAATGGGCACTTACATAGGTCTGTGGATTCTGCAATGAACGAAGTACACAAAAATAGTTGCTATGATGGAGTTTACATTCTAATTAAGGATTTCCAAAGGCCTGGCTAACACAGATGGAGAAAGTTTGGGAGCCCTGCAGAACTGACAACCACACTCAGTAAGTAAGGAGTCTCACATTCACTCCCTGATTTTCATGAGGTGAACAGTCAGTCTTTCTGACCTTCCTTCTGTCCCCAACCATCTATATCATGTCCCTCTAATGTGAATGGGCTGAGTGGTTTGCATCCTTTAATATTGCTCCTTTGATTTTTCAAATCCTCTTTGAGCACTTAAAGCCCCACATTCTGGCTACCCTCCCCGCTCCCCCATGCTTACCTGTCACGAATCCCCTTAGAGTAACCATTTTCAGTCCTACGTGGTGTGTCTCTCTCTGGAAATGCAGTTTCCTTAGTGTGTCCTCATGCAGAAGACCCTGTATTTAAATGTAATTTTTATACAATCAGACCTCCTCCTGCCCCTGCACCACCCAGACACACCCTGATGTCCCACCCTTCATTCATTCATTTGTTCATTCAATATAAGTATGCTTAGAGCATAGTGTAACTGTTGCTGAAAATAGTAATTATTCTTTTTTTATACTCAAACTTCCTACCTTTGACAACCCTTCAAGGCGACTCCTGTGCTTTTTGATGCAACCACCTTTTTACTTTTACACTTGCGTTGTTCAAAGTTTTAGGTGTAAAATTCCTCTAGGCGTGGTAACACACGCCTGTGGTCTGAGTTATTCGGGAGGCTGAGGTGGAAGGATCACTTGGGCCTGGGAGGTTGAGGCTGCAGTGAGCCCTAATTGCACCAGTCTACTCCAGTCTGGGCAACAGAGCGAGACAGCAAGACCCTATCTCAAAAAAATAAAAGTAAAGTTTTAGGAGTGTATCTTTAAAATAGTGATCTGATCTAAGAATTTTCTTATGGAATAATCCATTTATGTTTGATAGGATAAGAACACAGTAATCCCACCTTATCCACAGTTTTGCTTTCTGTGGTTTCAGTCAACTGCCACCCAAAAATATTAAATGGAAACTTCCATAAATAAAAAATGTGTTAGTTTTCATTTCTTTTCTTTTCTTTTTGAGACGGAGTTTCACTCTTGTTGCCCAGGCTGGAGTGCAATGGCATCATCTCGGCTCACTGCAATATCCACCTCCCCGGTTCAAGCGATTCTCCTGCCTCAGCCTCCCAAGTAGCTACGATTAGAGGCATGTGCAACCCACCAGCTGTTTTTGTATTTTTTT
The DNA here is from genome assembly GCF_000001405.40 of Homo sapiens. Classification (NCBI taxonomy): domain Eukaryota; kingdom Metazoa; phylum Chordata; class Mammalia; order Primates; family Hominidae; genus Homo; species Homo sapiens. Next base: position 121,567,096 of record NC_000003.12, on the reverse strand, counting down.
TAGTAGAGACGGGGTTTCACCATGTTGATCAGGCTGTCTTGAACTTCTGACCTCAAGTGATCCGCCCGCCTTGGCCTCCCAGAGTGCTGGGATTACAGGCGTAAGCCACCGTGTCCAGCCCTTTTTTTTTAAATGCTCAAATTTTAAATTGGCTGTACTGCTCCGCCCAGGATGTGAATCATCCCTTTGTCCAGTGTATCCATGCTGTATAAGCTACCTGGCCTATACAATGCAGTCGTATAGGAAGAAACCGAGGATCCTGGAATGTATCCCCATGGATAATGGGGGGATCACTACTTATTTCTACCTAATTTCTTACAATCTTTGTGTGTTTTTAACTTTTCCAGCCTTCTGTTAGAATGGTTGCCTTTTATTTTCTCCCCCTCTCAAATGGTATGTAAGTTATATGCAAGATTTAAAGTTACATTATTTTTATTTCTTTATTCTTTGTTTAGAGATGGTATTCACTCTGTCACCCAAGCTGGACTGCAGTGGTGCCATCATGGCTCACTGCAGCCTTGACCTCCTGGGCTAGAATGATTCTCTCACTTCAGCCTCCCCAGTAGCTGGGACTACAGATATGCACCACCACCCCCAGCTAATTAAAAAAAATTTTTTTTTGTAAAGATGGGGTGTTGCTAGGTTGCCCAGGCTGGTCTAGAACTCCTGGGCCCAAGTGATCCTCCTGCCTTGGCCCCCCAAAATGCTGGGATTACAGGCATGAATCACTACGTCCAGCCTAAGTTTGCTTTTATGTTCCTAAAAGTGGTCATTATTATTTTTGTCATAAATATTTATTTAGATTTAACCATATGTTTATCAAGTACTTTGATCATCATTGCTTCTTTCATCCTCTTTCTTTTGGGCACAGTTTTATTTTTTCTGATGTAGAATCAAAAATAGTTCTTTTAACTGTAAACATTTTCAAACTTTCTTTGTCTAAAATATCTTTATTACGTTATCATTCTTGCATAATAGGTTAGGTGAGTACAGAAGCCATTTATTTGAGAAGTCTGCTAACATCCAAACTTTTATTCCTTTGCAGGTAATTGTTCTCTACTCTCTAGTTGCTTTTATTTTATTTTATTTTATTTTTCTAAGATGGAGTCTTGCTCTGTCACCCAGGCTGGAGTGCAGTGGCACAATCTCGGCTCACTGCAACCTCTGCCTCCCAGGTTCAAGCAATTCTCCTGCCTCAGCCTCCTGACTAGCTGAGATTACAGGCGCTAGCCACCATGTCCCAGCTATATATATACACACATATATATACACATATATATATATATATGTGTGTATATATATATATACACAAAATACAAAAAATACATATATATATACACACATATATATGTGTGTGTGTATATATATATATATATATATGTATTTTTTGTATTTTTTTAGTAGAGACGGGGTTTTACCATGTTGGCCAGGCTGGCCTCAAACTACTGATCTCGTGATCCGCCTGCCACGGCCTCCTAAAGTGCTGAGATTATAGGCATGAGCCACTGTGCCTGGCCTCTAGTTGCTTTTAAAAGATGTGCACTTTGTCCAGAGTGTCTCAGCCTCCCGAATAGCTGGGAGGCATACAGGCGCCCGCCACCGTGCCCAGCTAATTTTAGTATTTTTAGTAGAGACAGGGTTTCAGCATATTGGTCAGGCTGGTCTCAAACTCCTGACCTCAAGTGATCCTCCCATCTTGGCCTCCCAAAGTGTTGGAATTACAGGCGTGAGCCACCATGCCCAGCCTCTCCTGAACTTTCAGAGCTGCAGCTTGTTTAGCCATAATGCCAGAGTCTGATATGTATCTTTTATCACTGTGGCTGATACTTTTTCTTGACGTTAAATTTTGTTTTTTCTGTAGTACTGTGCCCACTCAGCCCTGCCACCATCTCCCTCAAAATGACTGGTCTTACTTATTCATCTGTTTATTTGTTTTTTAAATTTATTCATTCATTGATGACTTATTAATTGAGCACCTACTGGTAACAAGCACTATTCTGGGACTAAGCAGAGTGGAAGGGGTCTCCAATTATGACTATAACACAGTTGTCTCTTGCTTCCCACTTTGGTAGTACTATCAGCTTGCTAGCCTACACTTCTCTGGACCAGGGAGGGGGCTCTGACCCTTGATCCTTCCTGCTGCTCTGCCAGCTGGCCCAGAGGGCACAAGTCTTAGACTAATGTATCAGATCTAGAAACAAAACATGAAAGCTGTTGATCTGCATCCTACCAAAGAAAGAAGATTCACTCTTGTTGCCCAGGCTGGAGTGCAATAGCGTGATCTAGGCTCGCTGCAACCTCCCGGTTCAAGCGATTCTTCTGCCTCAGCCTCCCTAGTAGCTGGGACTACAGGCGCCTGCCACCACGCCTGGCTAATTTTTGTATTTTTAGTAGAGATGGGGTTTACCACGTTGACCAGGCTGGTCTTGAACTCCCGATCTCAGGTGATCCGCCCCCCTCAGCCTCCCAAAGTGCTGGGAATTACAGGCATGAGCCACCGCGCCCAGCAATGCCTAAATCTTTTGGCATTAAAAGATTTAGTCATTTTTGGCCGGGCATGGTGGCTCACGCCTGTAATCCCAGCACTTTGGGACGCTGAGGCGGGCAGATCACGAGGTCAGGAGATCGACACCATCCTGGCCAACATGGTGAAACCCCGTCTCTACTAAATACAAAAAATTAGCCGGGCGTGGTGGTGGGCGCCTATAGTCCCAGCTACTCGGGAGGCTGAGGCAGGGGAATCGCTTGAACCTGGGAGGCGGAGGTTGCAGTGAGCCGAGATTGTGCCACTGCACTCCAGCCTGGTGACAAAGTGAGACTCTGTCTCAAAAAAAAAAAAAAAAAAAAAAAAAGATTTAGGCATTAAAGGATTGATCCAAGAAATGGGACAATAATTGACAGATGTTGCAGAAAGAGCTAACACAGTAGCTACAGAGAAACCTCACAATTTAACCCAATATCTGTCTCAAAATCTCTATCTTATTCTTTTCAGCAGTATCTCACTCCTTTTTTTTTTTTTTATGAGACAGGTCTCCCCTGAAGACACTGCTGGTGTGATCATAGCTCACTGCAGCCTCAAACTCCAGTGCTCAAGTAATCCTCAAGTAAGCCTCTTGAGTAGCTGGGACTACAGATGCATGACACCACACCTATTATTATTATTATTATTATTATTATTATTATTATTATTATTTTGTAGAGATGGGATTTCCCTATGTTGCTTAGGCTTGGCTTCAAGAGATACTCCCAGGCTGGGCACGGTGGCTCATGCCTGTAATCCCAGTACTTTGGGAGGCCGAGGCGGGTGGATCATCTGAGGTTGGGTTTCAAGACCAGCCTGTCCAACATGGCAAAACCCCATCTCTACTAAAAATATGAAAATTAGCCAGGCCCAGTGGTGCGTGCCTGTAGTCCCAGCTAATACTACTCGGGAGGTGGAGGTGGGAGAATCGCTTGAACCAGGGAGGCAGAGGTTGCAGTGAGCCAAGATCAGGCCACTGAACTCCATCCTGGGCAAGGGACTGAGACTCCATGTCAAAAAAGAAAAGAGAGAGATGATCCTCCCACCTCAGCCACCCAAAGTGCTGGGATTATAGGCATGAGCCATCGTGTCCAGCCAACTTTCATTTATTTATGCATTTTTGAGACAGGATCTTGCTCTGTTGACCAGGCTGGAGTGCAGTGGCATGATCATAGCTCACTGCAGCCTTGACCTCCCAGACTCAAATGATCCTCCCACTCTAGACTCCAGAGTTGCTGGGACCATAGGTGTGAACCACTGCGCCCAGCCCCTCAGCCAACTTCTTAAATGTCTCTTGGTTATCTATGCCTACCAAATTCTCTTATTCCTGTCAGTCTGTTGCACTCCTATCCATCTCCTCCTTCCTCCTTCCCTCCCTTTCTCCTCTATTTCTCCTCTTTTACCCTTCCTCTCTCTAAATCTCTTTCAAAACTCAATTTCTCAGCCAGGCACGGTGGCTCATGCCTGTAATCCCAGCACTTGGGGAGGCAGAGGCGGGTGAATCACTTGAAGTCAGGAGTTCCAGAGAAGCCTGGCCAACATGTTGAAACTCCGTCTCTACTAAAAATATAAAAATTAGCTAGGCGCAGGGGTGCATGCCTGTAATCCTAGCTACTCGGGAGGCTGAGGCGGGAGGATTGCTTGAGGCTGGGAGGCAGAGGTTGCAGTAAGCTGAGATTGAGCCACTGCATTCCAGCCTGGGTGAGAGAACAAGACTCCATCTCAAAGAAAAAAAAAAAGGAAAATATACTGAAACAAAAAGGCCAATAAAGAAAAACCAAAATTAAAGAGAGAAGGAAGCAAACTATTAACAGGGTTTCTTAAGGGATTGGGATTCCCTTGAACAGACGCATAGTTCATTATTGTCATTTTTTTTTATAAGAATGAGAAAAAGACTGCGCGCAGTGGCTCACGCCTATAATCCCAACACTTTGGGAGTCCGAGGCAGGAGAATCACTTGAGCCCAGTAATTTGAGACTAGCCTGTGCAACATAGCCAGACCCTGTCTCTATTTAATTATTTTTTAATGAGAAAAAAATGAAAATTTAAAATAAATCAGATTTGCTGAACTCTTTCTGCATCTCTTCCCCATTTTCAGCCTGTTTATGTGCTGAGCTTTACCTTGAGTGGACCTAGGGTAGGGACAAGCCCAGCTTTGCCCTCAGGCAGCTCCTCCTTTCTTTTCTCTACCCTTCTGTTTTCCTAACTAGTGGGAAATGCAGATTCCTTTCTTGCAGATAGAAGCCAGTGTGTGAAGAGGTAAGACTGTAGGAGTGCCCTGTAGCACAAAGGGGAGAGAATGTCCTAGGTGAGAGCACCCCAGAAGACAGCAAAGATTCCCAGCTTCAGCAATGAGCCAGGAGAGAACTGTCAGCAGAGGTAGAAGCCCATGGCTTGTGTTGAAAGGGAGGGAAATTGTCTGGAAGGAGCCTTAGGGGCCTGCCCTTAATCTCCACTCCCACCCTGAGGGAAGATCCTGTGCAGCTATGTGGCATAGATTATGGTTGTTGGGGATATTGTGTCTTCATTCCAGTAAACCCATTTATTCATCCTAAAAGACTAGTGCCCTTGGGACAAGACCCTTATTCCAGGAGCTGGTCTTGTTTCTGAAAGTCTGATTGGCTCATTCTTTCTTATCCCCAGGTTGCTTCTTCTCCAGCTCGCCCTCCTCTGAGCTTGGCAGGGCCTAAGACTCCTCCCTAACTCCTGCCTGCCAGTGTCCTTGTTCAAACGTGAAGAGCTAAAAGAAGGCAAAGATGTAAATAAAACTTAGGCAGTTTCCCCAGAAGTAAAAGTATCTGCAAGATGAGGAGAAGGACAGAAAAGGAAGGATAAGGAGAGTGAGAAAATGTAGAAAACAGTGAGAATGGGCCCTGGAGCCAGAATATATGCATCTAGGCTCCACTATTTACTAGATGTGTGGCCTTGGGCATTTTTTTTTTTTTTTTTTTCAGACAGAGTCTCGCTCTGTCTCCCAGGCTGGAGTGCAGTAGCACAATCTCGGCTCACTGCAAGCTCCGCCTCCTGGCTTCACGCCATTCTCCTGCCTTACCCTCCCGAGTAGCTGGGACTAGCGCCCGCCACCGCGCCCGGCTAATGTTTTGCATTTTTAGTAGAGATGGGGTTTCACCATGTTAGCCAGGATGGTCTCAATCTCCTGACCTCGTGATCCGCCTGTCTCGGAATCCCAAAGTGCTGGGATTACAGGCGTGAGCCACCACGCCCGGCCAACCCTGGGCATGTTACCTAACCTTTTGGGGTGGTTCTGAGGTTGTCAACCCAAGTAACAAATGGAAAGAGGCCCTCTAAAAGGAAAAGATATAAATCTGGGAATAGAGCATTGCAAAGGGAATACACATGCCATAATAAATTATGGGCATATTCAGGGAGGTAGAGGAAGACAAAGATGTTTAAAGGAAGAAACGAAGAGAATTACATAATTATTTTGAAACAATTATCCCCGGCTACAAAAATCAATAACAAGGATGATGCCAGTCTGAGGTTGGACAGGCAGTTGCTAGGCAGATGTCCTTCCAGAAGTATCTTTTGTGTAAGATCGCGATGGCCACTGTGCAAGGTTGTATTTTTGGCAGAATCTTTTGTGATAGTTTTTGTTATCAGGCATATAAGCATGAGGACCTTCTATTCATGGCCTTCCCCAGCTCTTTTCGTCAGGATTTTTGTTTTTGTTTTTAACATTAATGACACCATTTTAGTTCTGATTACTTTCACAAGGTTAAAGCGATTAATATCACTGGAGCAATCAGAACATTAAATCATCTGTAATACTGTGATTTACAGTAAAATGTATATGCACATGTATATTTCCTGGCACAGAGCTCCGCAAAGTCAGAATCTCTGGAGTGATAATCGTGTGTTTTGTATGTCAACACAATGACTGGTAGCTGGCAGCCCTAGGTAGCTTCAGTGTGGGGCTGGTCACCAGAAAGACCAAGGCATGATTAGAGGATTGGGGCTTTCAGCCCCACCCTCCAATCTTCAAGGAGACGACAGAAGGCTAAAGGTTAAGATGGTCACTAATGGCCAATAATCCAGTCAATCATGCTTACATAATGAAACCTCCATAAAAACCCAAGAGGACAGGGTTTAGAAGAGTGTCTGGATAGCTGAACATGATGAAGTTCCTGAAGGGTGGTGAGCCCAGAGCAGGCATGGAAGCTCTGCACCCCTTCCCACAAACCTTGCCATAGGTATCCCTTCATCTGGCTCTTCAGTATCTTTTATTATATCCTTTATTAATAAACCAGTAAACATAAGTAAAGTGTTTACCAGGTGCAGTGGTGCATGCCTGTAATCCCAACACTTTGACAGACCGAGGTGGGAGGATCACTTGAAGCCAGAGGTTTGAGCCCAGTCTGGATAACATAGTGAGACTCCATCTCTACAAAAAAATAAAAAAAATTAGCTGGGCAAGGTGGCACATGCCTGCAGTGCCAGTTACTCAGGAGCTGAGGTGGGAGGATCCCTTGAGCCCAGGAGGTCCAGGCTGCAGTGAGCTAGGATTGCACCACTGCACTCCAGACTAGGCAACAGAATGAACCCTGTCTCAAAAACAAAACAAAACCATGTTTCTCTGAGTTCTGTGAGCCACTCAAGCAAATTAATTATACCCAAAGACAGGGTTGTGGGAACCCAAATTTATAGCCAGTGGGTCAAAGCATAGACCATAACCTGTGCTTGCAACAGGCATCTGAAGTGGGGACAGCCTTGTGGGACTGAGCTCTTGACCTGCTGGATCAGATGCTATTTCCAGGCAGGTAGTGTCGGAATTGAACTCAATTAGAGGACACTTAGCTGGTGCCCACTGGAGAATCTGCTGCAGAATTGGTTGCTGCTGGGGAGAAATCCCCACATACATTTTGGTGACCCCAGGTGAGGTGGTCTTTTTTTTTTTTTTTTTTTTTGAGACGGAGTCTCGCTCTGTTGCCCAGGCTGGAGTGCAGTGGTGTGATCTCATCTCACTGCAAGCTCCGCCTCCCGGGTTCAAGCAATTCTCCTGCCTCAGCCTCCCGAGTAGCTGGGACTACAGGCGTGTGCCACCATGCCCAGGTAATTTTTTGCATCTTTAGTAGAGATGGGGTTTCACCATGTTGGCCAGTCTGGTCTCGAACTCCTGACCTCGTGATCCACCTACCTCGGCCTCCCAAAGTGCTGGGATTACCCGCGTGAGCCACCGCGCCCGGCCAGATTATGTTCTTATCAGTAAGAAAAGTGGGGCTTATATGGATATGACAGTGTGCCCAAGGTTAGACTCAGGAGGTGGCAGAGCCGGGTTCTAATTCAAGACTTATCTGACTCCAAAGACTTTGTACACAACCCCCACTCTATATATAGAGATGAGTCACAAAAATTAGAAGTGTGAAAGAAGGAAAAAATTCAATGAGATTCAGAGATAGAAAAACAGAAAGTCAGACGCAGAGAAGGAGAAAATAGGAGGAGGGAGAGACAGCAAAACAGCCGGAGCAGTGACTGAGGGAAAGAAAGAAATTGAAACCCTTGAAGACGGAGGCAGAGAGAGAAAGAGATTTTTATTTTATTTTGTTTTATTTATTTATTTATTTATTTATTTATTTATTTATTTATTTATGTATTGACATGGACTCTCGCTCTGTCCCCTAGGCTGGAGTGCAGTGGTGCGATCTTGGCTCACTGCAAGCTCTGCCTCCTGGGTTCACGCCATTCTCCTGCCTCAGCCTCCTGAGTAGCTGGGACTACAGGCGCCCACCACCAAGCCTGGCTAATTTTTTTGGTATTTTTAGTATAGACGGGGTTTCACTGTGTTAGCCAGGATGGTCTTGATCTCCTGACCTCGTGATCTGCCCATCTTGGCCTTCCAAAGTGCTGGGATTATAGGCGTGAGCCACCGCGCCTGGCCAAGAAAGAGATTTTTTTTTTTTTTTTTTTTTTTTTGAGACGGAGTTTTGCTCTGTTGCCCAGGCTGGAGTGCAGTGGCGTGATCTTGGCTCATTGCAACCTCCGCCTCCCGGGTTCATGCCATTCCCCTGCCTCAGCCTCCCGAGCAGCTGGGACTACAGGCGCCCACCACCACGCCCAGCTAATTTTTTGTATTTTCAGTAGAGACGGGGTTTCACTGTGTTAGCCAGGATGGTCTCAATCTCCTGACCTCGTGATCCACCCGCCTCAGCCTCCGGAAGTCCTGGGATTACAGGCGTGAGCCACCGCGCCCGGCCCAAGAAAGAGATTTTTAAAAACATCTGGAAAAGAGACAGAGGCAGAGTTGACAAAGATGGAGACAAGATTAGACAGAAAAAGAAAGCACATGACTGGAATCTTTTTTATATTTATTTTTTGGAGACAGGGTCTCACTCTGTTGCCCAGGCTGCAGTGTAGTGGCATGATCATAGCTCACTGCAGCCTTGACCTCCTAAGCCCCCAAGCAATCCTCCAGCTTCAGCCTCCTGAGTAGCTGGGAGTATGAGTGTGCACCAACATGCCTGGCTCCTGTTTTTTTTTTGGAGACAGAGTCTCACTGCATCACCCAGGCTGGAGTGGAGTGCAGTGGTGCGATCTCAGCTCACTGCAAACTCCACCTCCTGGGTTCCAGCAATCCTTCCACCTCAGCCTCCCGAGTAGCTAGGATCACAGGCACGGGTCACCACGCCTGGCTAATTTTTGTATTTTTAGTAGAGATGGCGTTTCGCCATGTTGCTCAGGCTGGTCTGAAACTCCTGGGCTCCAGCGATCTACCCGCCTCAGCCTCCCAAAGTGCTAGGCTTACAGGTGTGAGCCACTGGAAATATAATTCTTGACCTTTGCCTCATTCTTCCTTCATTGGTGAAAGCCTCTTTCAAGGGTGTGGTGGTGCATGCCTGTAGTCCAGCTACTTGAGAGGATGAGGCAGGAAGATCACTGGAGCCTGGGCATTACAGGCTACAGTGTGCTGATTGTGCCTGTGAAAATCCACTGCAGTCCAGCCTGGAGAACACAGCGAGGCTTTGTCTCAAAAAAAAAAAAAAAAGTCTTCTTCAAGGTTTTCATAGCTATTCCCTCTCTCATTCCAGGAGGAAGAAAAAGGACAAATCAGACTAAGGAAATCAGGGCACAGATATCAAACTCCAAGAGAGTCAAAGTTTAGGAGTCATTCTCAAATGCTCACAACTCTTGTCTCTAATATGAGCGGTTAATATTTATGTCTCAGGGAACATAGCACACTCAGTAAAGCCTTCCTCAAACTAAACCTCTCTTTTTCCAAGTCAAAGAACAAAAGTGAAAAACTTTAGAAAACGTAGTCAGATGGTTTGAAATTGAGATTCACAAAAGGGGAGACTGGGTCCCATTCATTCATCACTGTATCCCAGAGCCCAGCAATGTGTCTGACATAGTGGTCACTCACTCATTCCAAATGTCTGTGAGTGTCTGCTATGTGTCATACATTGTACTAAGTGCTGGAGATAAGACATAGAAGGCAAAGTTCCTGCCTTCATGGAACTTACTTTCTGGTGAGGAAGTCTATAAAAATGTAAATAAATGCAAACGGCCAGGTGTGGTGGCTCATGCCTGTAATCCCAGCACTTTGGAAGGCCCAGGCAGGTGGACTGCTTGAGGCCAGGAGTTCAAGACCAGCTAGGTCAACATGGTGAAAAAAACGTGTCTACTAAAAATACAAAAATTGCTGGGTGTGGTGGTGCACGCCTGTAATCCCAGCTGCTTGGGAGGCTGAGGTGGAAGAATTGCTTGAACCCAGGAAGGGGAGGTTGCAGTTAGCAGAGACTATGCTACTTTACTCCAGCCTGGGTGACAGAGAAAGATTCTGTCTCAAAAAAAAAAAAAAAAGTTAAAAATGTAAACAAATAATACATTACAGAGACTTATAAGTGTTATGAAGAATATAAAGCAGAAGAAGAGAAAAGAGAGCTGAGCCAATGGGGGATATTTAGAAAGGGTGGTCAAGGAAGGCCTCACTGAGAAGATAACTTTTAAAGCAGAATATCTGTGGAATAATTGCATGAATTAATGTAATCTTTTTCTTTTTTTCTTTCTCATTTGTAAAAGAAATGGGTGGGCCTTGATCAACTACAATTTTGATTGTGACAAAATATTTTAGGAAAACCCTAAAATCAATGTTTAAAGTTGATCTTCCATAACTAAGTGAGCAGAAACCCATAAGTCCAAACAGTTTCCTGAAAGTTTTTCTTAAAGGGCACAAGATAGTTCATGGGAAGAGGAAATGCCAAGATCCCGGCTGCTGGGAATATCCTTTTCCCAAGGAGGAAGAAATTAAGTAATGGGGCCAGGCAAGGTGGCTCACGCCTGTAATCTCAGCACTTTGGGAGACCAAGATAGGGAAATCACCTGAGGTCAGGAGATCGAGGCCAGCCTGGCCAACATGGTGAAACCCCGTCTCTACTAAAAAATACAAAAAAAAATTAGCTGGGCGTGGTGGTGGGTACCTGTAATCCCAGCTACTGGGGAGGCTGAGGTAAGATAATTGCTTGAACCCAGGAGTCAGAGGTTGCACTGAGCCAAGATAACACCACTGCACTCTAGCCTGGGCAACAGAGCAGGACTCTGTCTCAAAAAAAAAGAAAAGAAAGAAAGAGAGAGAGAGAGAGAGAGAGGGAGGGAGGGAGGGAGGGAGGGAGGGAGAGAGAGAGAGAGAGAGAAAGAAATTAGGAAATGGGTGGGGATAATAGAGTAGGAAAGTCTAATGTATTTCTAATTAGAAATCTGGGCCAGGAGCGGTGGCTCACGCCTGTAATCCCAGCACTTTGGGAGGCCGAGGCTGGCGGATCATGAGGTCAGGAGATTGAGACCATCCTGGCTAACACGGTGAAACCCCGTCTCTACTAAAAATACAAAAAATTAGCCGGGCGAGGTGGCGGGCGCCTGTAGTCCCAGCTACTCGGGAGGCTGAGGCAGGAGAATGGCGTGAACCCCAGGGGGCGGAGCCTGCAGTGAGCCGAGATCGTGCAGCTGCACTCCAGCCTGGGCGACAGCAAGACTCCGTCTCAAAAAAAAAAAAAAAAAGAAATCTGGAAGAGAGAGACAATATATTTGAGCAGTGATACAGTTTGGATATTTGTCCCCACCCAGACCTCATGTTGAATTGTAATCCCCAGTGTTGGAGGTGGGGTCTGGTGGGAGGTTTGGATCATGGGGGCGGATACTTCATGAATGGCTTGGGCCATCCTCTTGGTGATAAGTGAGCTCCCAGACTCTGAGTTTATACAAGACCTGATCGTTTAAAAGTGTGTCACACCCCCACCCACCACCCATGCACTCTCTCTCTTGTTTGCTCCTTTCTCCATGTGAAGTGCTTGCTCCCCCTTTGCCTTCTACTATGATTATAAGCTTTCTGAGGCCTCCCTAGAAGTTGAGTAGATGCTAGCACTATGCTTCTTGTAAAGCCTGCAGAACTGTGAGCCAATTAAACTTCTTTCTTTTATAAATTACTCAGTCTCAGGTCTCCCTTTCCGTCCTTCCTTCCCTCCCTCCCTCCCTTCCTTCCTTTTTCTTTCTTTCTTTTCTTTTCTCTTTCTTTCTTTCTTTCTTTCTTTCTTTCTTTCTTTCTTTCTTTCTTTCTTTCTTTCCTTCCTTCCTTCCTTCTTTCATCTTTCTTTCTTTCCTTCTTTTTTCTTTCTTTCTTTTCTTTATTTCTTTCTTTCTGTCTGTCTGTCTGTCTGTCTTTCTTTCTGTCTCTCTCTCTCTCTCTCTTCTTTCTTTCTTTCATGGAGTTTCATTCACTCTTTTGCCCAGGCTGGAGTGAAGTGGCAAGATCTCCGCTCACTGCAACCTCCACCCCAGGGTTCAAGAGATTCTTCTGCCTCAGTCTCCCGAGTAGCTGGAATTACAGGCATGTGCCACCATGCCCAGCAAATTTTTGTATTTTTAGTAGAGATGGGGTTTCGCCACGTTGATCAGGCTCGTCTGGAACTCCTGACCCTTAGCGATCCACCCACCTCAGCCTCCCAAAGTGCTGGGATTACAGGCGTGAGCCACCGCATCCGGCCTTGTTTTGTTTGTTTGTTTGTTTTTTAGATGGAGTCTTTCTCTATTGGCCAGGCTGGAGTGCAGTGGCACGATCTTGGCTTGGCTGGAGTGCAGTGGCGTGATCTCGGCTCACTGCAACCTCTGCCCCCTGGCTTCAAGCGATTCTCTTGTCTCAGCCTCCCGAGTAGCTGAGATCACAGGCATACACCACCACGCCCAGCTCATTTCTGTATTTTTTGGTAGAGATGGGGTTTCACCATGTTAGCCAAGCTAATCTCAAACTCCTGACCACAGGTATCTGCCTGCCTTGGCCTCCTGAAGTGCTGGGATTATAGGCATGAGTCACTGTGCCTGGTATAATCTACTTATTTCTATTGAGTGTGTCTATGTGTTTATATTTTTCCAAAATATTTGTATCATGCTTCCTATTAAATTTTGCAAGCCACTTTTTCTCTTAAATATCAATATGAACAATTTTGCTTTTTGAAATTAATTGCTAATTCGCTTAGCTCCAACTGTCCCCTCATCTTCTAACTCATTTCTTTTTTTTTTTTTGAGATGGAGTCTCGCTCTGTTGCCCAGGCTGGAGTGCTGTGGCTCACTGCAACCTCCACCTCCTGGATTCAAGTGATTCTCCTGCCTCTGCCTACTGAGTAGCTGGGATCACAGGCACCCACCACCACACCCGGCAATTTTTTTTTTTTTTTGTATTTTTAGTAGAGACAGGGTTTCACCATCTTGACAGGCTGTTCTTGAACTCCTGATCTTGTGATCCACCCACCTCAGCCTCCCAAAGTGCTAGGATTACAGGCGTGAGCCACCACTCTTGGCGGTTTTTTTTTTTTTTTTTTGACAGAGTCTTGCTCTGTCGCCCAAACTGGAGTGCAATGTCGCCATCTGGGTTCACTGCAACCTCTGTCGCCTGGGTTCAATCGATTCTTGTGCCTCAGCCTCTTGAGTAGCTGGGGCTACAGGCGCGCAGCAACCATGGCCAGTTAATTTTTGTATTTTTAGTAGAGATGGAGTTTCACCATGTTGGCCAGGCTGGTCTTGAACTCCTGAACTCAAGTGATCCACCTGCCTCAGCCTCCCAAAGTGCTAAGTCACTGCTCTCAGCCTTAATTTTTTTTTTTTTTAATATAGAGACAAGAAGAGGAGCTTTCATTATTCTCTGCATGTCCCACTCAACTCTCCCTCCAATTTCTCTGATTTAGACTGGGTCTCTAAGAATGCTGTGGACAGGAGAACTTGAGCATTTTTCTACAGAAGACCAGGACAGGGACAGAAAGCTACTGGCAAGAGGGAGCACAGGGTGTGGCAGAGAACAGTGAGAATGGCAGAAGATAGTTGGGAGGAGTGAGATGTGTTCTGGTCTGAGCAACAGGGGAGGAGCACAATAAGATGGAAGGGCTGAGGTACCAAAGGAAAGCAGAAGATGCCCACCTTTGCTGTGAATTTTACACAGAGAAAATAATATATTTCTTTTACAAATTAAAGTATAAAATAGAGTAGGTAACATAAAAGAGTCTGAGGCAATGGAATTACGATACAAATTGCTTCTGTCTATTCTCTCTCATTGTGTTGCAAACCCTGTGCAAGTGCCTGCAAGTGCATGATCTTATGGAGTGTGCGAGGTTGGTACATTACTCCCACTTTGCTGATGAGATAATCGAAGCTTAGAGAGCTGAAGTGAGTTGAGATTAGCTTTGTCCACCTTGATATCACAGAAACACATTTAGAAAAATGGAAGGAGTAAAAGAGGAGAACCAGAGATGGTCAAAGGGGAAAAGGTAGCAGGGAAGTTGGAGGAGGGATGGTAGATAACAAATGCATAAATAGCATTAACCATAAGAGAAAAGATGGATAAATTCAGCACCATAAGTATCAAGAACATGGTCTCAGCTGCAGACTAGCTTCAGTCTCATTTCAGGAGGAAGCTCTGTAGCACGAATCTGCAGCATTGATAGCAGTCAGGCCCTGGCCGAAAGTGTAGATGGTGGTGCATAGGCCACACAAAGACAGCTTCTGTTTGTCCCTGAGATATTCCTCCAAGGAGGGGGCAGCTGTGAGTTATCAACCAACATGGCAGCCAGGGGTCGGGTCAAACAACCAGTAAAAGGGATCTGGGAAGGGCAGTATCATACACTGTAAATGTCTGTTTGTAAAAAGATGGTTAAAAGACTAAAAGGTGGGAATTCTGCTTCTGGGACGATGAAGTAGATATGCTTTCCCCCGTTCCTCCTGAGAAGTGGAACTAAAAGCCCTGACCATTATATGTAAACAAACATATGAAGATTCTGAAGGCAGACCAGGCAAGGACCTGGGGAACCAAAAAACTAAACTTTTGTGAATTGCTTGGGTTTTGTTTTTTTGTTTTATATATTCTAAACGGGACACTGGAGAGGCCAGCAACCTGGAAATGCCAATGAACACAAACCAAAACCAAAACCAAAACAAAACAAAACAACAACAACAACAACAAGAAGTCACAAGAAAATCCTAGTTTTCTCTAGTCCAGGGACAAAGGAAGGTCAGCCAAGCAAGAGAGACAAGACAGAAAACATATTTTTTTTTTTTTTTAAGATGGAGTCTCACTGTGTCACCCACGCTGGAGTGCAGTGGTGCGATTTTCCCCACTGCAACCTCTGCCTCCTGAGTTCAAGTGATTCTCCTGCCTCAGCCTCCAGAGTAACTGGGATTACAGGCACACACCACTACGCCTGGCTAATTTTGTATTTTTTGTAGAGATAGGGTTTCACCATGTGGGCCAGGCTGGTCTCAAACTTCTGACCTCAAGTGATCCACCCGCCTCGGCCTCCCGAAGTGCTGGGGTTACAGGGATGAGCCACTGCCCCCAGCCAACAATACATTTCAGTTGTTTATAAATTATGCAGTCAAAGGAATTTTACTATAGCAGCCAAACTAAGACAGGACTATGTATGAATCTGGAAGTTATGGGTTTGTGTTCTTACATGTTCAAGTAATTTAGTCTTTTTATTGGGATTCATTCTTTAGTTTTACTACCTTCAAGTTGGCTTTCTGATGTTTTAACTTAGACTTTTGAAGTTATTTCAGTTGTGCTTTCATCTGCATCTACAAGTAAGCTATTTCAACTAGTTCTTTGAGGCATTGTGGAAAAATAGGTCTTTGTCAGAGTTCCTTGTTAATTTAAGCCTCTTATTAAAACTTTCTCACTGAAGCCACCTGAATTCAAGTCAGCCTCATCCCTTGTGTGCACTGGTGGTTTTCTTTTCTTTTCTTTTTTTTTGAGATGGAGTCTCGCTCTGTCACCCAGGGTGGAGTGTAGTGGCGCGAACCCAGCTCACTGCAACCTCTGACTTCCGGGTTCAAGCGATTCTCCTGCCTCAGCCTCCCAAGTAGCTGGTATTACAGGTGCGCGCCACCAGGCCTGGCTAATTTTTTTTGTATTTTTAGTAGAGACAGGGTTTCACTGTGTTAGCCAGGATGGTCTTGATCTCCTGACCTCGTGATCCACCCGCCTCGGCCTCCCAAAGTGCTGGGGTTACAGGCATGAGACACCATGCCCGGCCTTTCTTTTCTTCTTTTCTTTTTTTTTAGTAGAGACAGGGTTTCTCCATGTTGGTCAGGCTGGTCTCGAACTCTCGACAACCTCACGTGATCCGCCCGCCTCGGCCTCCCAAAGTGCTGGGATTACAGGTGTGAGCCATCGCCCCCGGCCGCACTGGTAGTTTTCAATTCCAGCATGTCAGAATACCTGGGGAGCTTTTAAGACATGTCAGTGCCTGCACTCCATCCCAGATCAATTAACTCAGAATCTCCAGGGGTATTATAATATTTTAAAAGCTCCCTAGGGATTCTAATGTGTACCACTGGACTTGTTTTAGCTGAGAGTCACTGGATTTCAAACACAAAATCTCCTTAATTAGCATCTCCTTTGTTCTGAGTACCTCAGACCTAATCAGTACTACCCTTATTCCACGTTCGTTGTTTATTTTCCAGCTCCTTTCTTTCTTTGCCTTTTTGTAAATCACTTCCACTCACATCACATGAGAAACAGAGTTTTCAGTCTGGGTAGATAATTCTGTTTTAGTCAATTCACAAATGTAGTTTGAGTAATTTTTGTTTTTGTTTTTATTTTTATTTTTGAAACCGGGTCACTCGGGGGATTGCAGTGGTGCCATCACAACTCACTGCAGCCTCAATCTCCTGGGTTCAAGCAATCCTCTCTCCTCAACCTCCCTAGTAGCTGGGGCTACAGGCATGGGCCACCACTCCTGGCTGATTTTTAAATTTTTTGTAGAAATAGGGTTTCACTATGTTGTGCAGGCTAGGCTCAAACTCCTGGGCTCAAGTGATCTTCCCGCCTTGGCCTCCCAAAGTGCTAGGTTTATAGGTGTCAGCCACTGTGCCTGGCCTAATTTGGGTAAAATTTTATTTTTCCATATAACTTCTGAAATTTCCATGGGAAATCACTCTTGATAATTTATGTAAAGTTAAAAAAAATCAGATGATGTTTTTGAATGTACATCAATTATTGTTATTTGGGGGCTTTTTTTCTTCTGTTTTTAGCAATATTAAACTGAAAAAAAAAACCACTTCGAGTATGGCACATCTTCCTTAAAATTCTAAATATTATATTTTAAAAACTTTTAAAATTCATAACTAAGTTGATTAAAATCAGGGAATCCTTTGTAGGACAGAAATGTCAAACATATTCTAGAGGATTAAGAAAAGCACTAGACCCAAAGTTTTCCATAGTGATGCCTGCTGTTCCCCCTGGAGTCTAGAGCATGGATTATGGGCTCTGTTGTTCCCAGCAGGGTGAGAAGTAAGATCTAAAATTCTTTGCATAGGCCAGGTGTGGTGGCTCACACCTGTAATCACAGCACTTTGGGAGGCCAAGAGGGGTGGATCACTTGAGGTCAGGAGTTCAAGACTAGCCTGGCCAACATGGTGAAACCCCATCTCTACCAAAAAATACAAAAGTGAGCTGGGCGTGGTGATGCCCACCTGTGGTCCCAGCTACTCGGGAGGCTGAGGCACAAGAATCGCTTGAACCTGGGAGGCGGAGGTTGCAGTGAGCTGAGATCGCACCGCTGCACTCCAGCCTGGGCAACAGAGTGAGACTCTGTCTCAAAAAAAAAAAAAAAAAAATTTCTGCAGAAAGCCAAAACCCAAGAAAGGCAGCACTCTCAGTGAATGAAGCAGAGAAATATCTGTCCTGCAGATTGAGACAATAAGGATGCAAGCCTGCACAAACCTGACTCTGGGTATCTAGCATAATTCTACTACTTACATATTTTTTAAAAAGCCAAAGATTAAATTTAAAGTGATCCACAATTGGTATGTCTCCCAGGTAACTGGCAGAAGTATGTGTAAATTTTATTTGGAGGGGTTTGCTCAGACCTTGAAGAATTTTTTTTTTTTTTTGAGACTGAGTCTTGCTCTATCACCCAGGCTGGAGTGCAATGGTGTTGTAGCAGGATGAGCTGCAGACAAAACTTCTCAGACACCGAGTTGTAGAAGGAAGGGCTTTATTCAGCTGGGAGTATCAGTGAGCTACTATCTCAAAATCCAAGCTCCCCAAATGCACAGTTTCTGTCCTTTTTAAGGGCTCACGACACTAAAGTTTTCGTACGAAAGGATCGTGGTTGACTGAGCAGTCTAGGGGATACGTAACAGGGGTTTCATGCACTGGTATTCAGAAAGAAACAGAACAGGGCAAGGAGTTTCACGATGTTCTTCTATACAATGTGTGGAATCTATGAATAACATCAGTTTCTAAGTTATGAGTTGATTTTTAACTACTGGGTTGAGGCCTGGCAGGCCCAGGCCTGGTTTCGGGCGTGGCGCCGGGCTGCTGGTCTTTGGTTTTACTTCCTTGTTTTTTTTTTTTTTTTTAAAAAAAACAAGTACTGAGTATAATACAATATAAAACAATATGAGAGGGTCTCTCTCTTCCCAATATGAGAGGGTCTCTCTCTTCCCTCAGTGTGATCCTGGCTCACTGCAACCTCTACCTCCTAGATTCAAGCCATTCTCCTGCCTTAGCCTTCCAAGTAGCTGGGACCACAGGTGCACCACTAGGCCTGGCTAATTTTTGTATTTTTAGTAGAGATGGGGTTTCACCATGTTGGCCAGGCTGGTCTCGAACTCCTAACCTCAAATGATTCGGCCTGCCTTGGCCTCCCAAAGTGCTGGGATTACAGGTGTGAGCCACTGCACCCTGCCTCCTTGAGGAATTATCACAGACAAAATTCCAAGGAACACGAGTTTAGACACAATACAGATGGAAAATGCTTCTGGTATTTTAATATTAGTTATTATGATAACTGTTAGCATAAACATCTTTAATATTTTTGAGAAATAGCCTTCTATTCTCCATTTTCAGAGTTTTTCTGAAAAAATTAGAAATGTTGAACATTTAAAATAAATTATATATTTTAAAATATTCTCTAGGCTTTTGGTAGGATGACATAAAACTTTCAATTCCTTTCTAATTATTTTTCTGATTTGATCATAGTTCACCTAATAATAAAAACAGAATAGCTTTGTAAGAGATTTTTCTAGTTTAGCCTTTTCCCAGCAAAATGCTGAATTTAAATTGGGGGCTATATTAGAACATCTAAATATTTTCTCTGAATAGTATTTATTATGTGCCGGCACTATTCTAAGTACTTTACACATATTGACTTACTCAGTCCTCAAAATAACCAAATAGGTTGTTACAATTATTATCTCTATCATACAGATGAGGACATGGAGGCACAAAAGGGTTACGCTGTAATCCCAGCACTTTGGGAGGCGGAGGTGGACGGGTCATTTGAGGTCAGGAGTTCGAGACCAGCTTGACCAACATGGTGAAACCCTGTCTGTACTAAAAATACAAAAATTAGCCAGGTGTGGTGGTGCAGGCCTGTAATCCCAGCTACTTGGGAGGCTGAGGCAGGAGAAACGCTTGAACCTGGGAGGCAGAGGTTGCAGTCAGCAGAGATCAAGCCACTGCACTCCAGCCTGGGCGACAGAGTGGGACACTCCGTCTCAAAACAAACAAACAAACAAAAAATGGGTTAAGCAAGTTGCCCAAGATCTCACAGCTACTAAGTTTCAAACCTAGACTGACTGACTCCAGAGTTGCACTGTTAACCCTTAAGTTACACTGCATCTGAGAAAGTTCTTTCTTGGCTGCAATCTAGGGGTCTCTCTCTCTTTTTTTTTTTTTTCTTTTTTTGAGACGGAGTCTTTCTTTGTCGCACAGGTTGGAGTGCAGTGGTGCGATCTCGGCTCACTACAACCACCGCCTCCCAGGTTCAAGCAATTCTCCCGCCTCAGCCTCCAGAGTAGCTGGGATTACAGGCACCCGCCATCATACCCGGCTAATTTTTTGTATTTTTGTAGAGACGGGGTTTCACCATGTTGGCCAGGCTGGTCTAGAGCTCCTGACCTCAGGTGATGCACTCATCTCGGCCTCCCAAAGTGCTGGGATTACAGGCGTGAGCCACCACGGCCGGCGAGATCTCTTTTATTTCTTTAATAGTACTCTTCATTTCTGCCCAAGCATATGGCACACTTCATTAACTGACTTGTTTAATGTCTGCCTTATTCTCTAGACTCTTTCTCTTTGAGAGCAGGAACCATTTTATGCCATTTCACTGCCATTTACCCAGTGGCTAGCTTACAGTAGATACTCAGTAAATAGTTGTTGATTGCGTAAAAGGCCAAGAGAAAAATGTTTCATTCACGGAGTAATGTCGCCATCTCGTGGAACTTTAGAATATTGTCATTTAAATCAAAAAAATGTTTTCACGGAAGGAATTGATGGTTCGAATGCTATTTTCCAGATTGTATTCGAGTGTTTTTTTTTTTTTTAATTGGACTGGACCTTTTGAGATTTTTAGTGCTCTAGAACTGCACAGCCTCTTCAGGTCAGGCTTAGGGCCTACTAGTTTTGCTTGGTGAAATGAATTATGCAACTAGGTAATGAATGGTCACCGTTTTACGTTCAGAACTCGTTCGCTTCTACCTTTACAAAAGGGACAACACAGATGCATTACTAAGCTCTTGGCTCATAACGATCCCTGGGGTATATTCAGAGCCCCTTCCTCGCGGCGTTCATATAGTGTCTCAGGGGTCTGTCAGCCAGCAATCCCCAATTCCTCATTACATATTCCTCACAATGCATGCTGGCTAAAATGGAAATTGTGTTCAGAAATAGCCCTGCCCTACCATCATATACTAGGAGAAAGGAGGAAATTATGCTCTATTAGAAACCCTAGGCTATCTTGCATAATGCTTCTCAATCTGAAATAATTTTTTACAGAATACCAATACGTTAAGAAGAGCTACTTCCCTGATCTACCTATTATGGGCAGCCCATTTTATGAAGTTAGCATGGCCTTCCTATTCAAACCAGAAATGGACAAAAGGAGAAGGAAGGCTTTTAGGTCAGTATGGTTATAACTGTAGATTCTGTATTCTTCCTCTTTAATCTATCTCTCATATTAACCAACCAGGAGGTTGGAGGCCGGAAGTCTTAGACGCCAGCGAGAGCCGCTCCTTCCCCACGAGTCTATGGCTTTCGGGTTACTTAAGCCACGGAGAACTCTATGGTTCCGGGGCGGGCCGGGAGGTTTGAGTTTGAAGACTGGCGGGAAGATGTCCGCAGCTGTTGCCAGGCCAGGGTTCTCCCGAGAGGGAGGACGCTGGGACTGTGGCTTGCCCTGATCGGCCGAGAAGAGTTTGCCATGAATCTTCTGCGTCGGAGTGGGAAACGGCGGCGTTCAGAATCAGGCTCAGATTCGTTCTCGGGAAGCGGCGGTGACAGCAGTGCCAGCCCCCAGTTCCTCTCCGGGTCCGTGCTGAGCCCGCCGCCCGGCCTTGGTCGCTGCCTGAAGGCCGCAGCTGCAGGTGCTCCAGGAACCCGGGAGGCCGCGGGCAACGGGGGCAGCTCCGCCGGGCCATGGGTCGGGAGGTGTCCTCACCCCACGGGACTTGCTTCGTTGCATACCCCATTGGGCTTCTACTCCCCTTCTCTGTGACTGGGGCCTGGTGTGGCAGGTCACTTTCTGTTCAGACATACGCGTGTTTTCAGTGATCGCCTGGTATTAATGTTCACGTGGCTTCTGGATCTTTCGACCTTTAGAGAAACAACTTCCTAGTTAGCTTCATCCCATCATCTGTTGGGCGGCTCGTTCCTGGTAGTACCCAGTACTCCTTACAGACCCTTAAGACAGGATTGTTGGGCCTGGAGTACGGCACAGGCTGTTCGGCGTCCAGGGGAAGGCTGGAAGGGATTCGTAATGAGATTGGTTGGGTGTCCCGTGGATGTCGACCCAGTTTTTTAAAATCGTTAGTTGTGCAGTCGTCATGGAACTAAAACTTACTATAAATAGAAACTCACCTAACTTAGCTTTGTAATGCTTGCATATTGCCCTCCTCCCCCAACTACACCCGTAATTCCAACACTCTTTATCTACTGTGTATTGCACGCTTTTTTGTTCGTTTGAGGCTTTTAAGGAATTTTTATTATATGCAGTAAATAACAATTTATTACTTTTCTATACATGGTCAATTTCTCATAAGATTCTTGAAGTCAGGATGTGCTTTAAAGAGCTTCATTTCAACACATAGGAATTCCAACACACGGTGAAGGGCTAACTGTAAAACTCATATATTAGAAGTAAATTAAATTTTAATTTTTTCTTTTTCCTAAAAGGAGAATGCAAGCCTACAGTTCCTGACTACGAAAGAGACAAGCTACTATTGGCAAACTGGGGACTTCCTAAAGCAGTTCTGGAAAAATACCACAGTTTTGGTGTAAAAAAGATGTTTGAATGGCAGGCAGAGTGCCTTTTGCTTGGACAAGTCCTGGAAGGAAAGAATTTAGTTTATTCAGGTATCCAAATTTATGTAAACTAATTACTATTTTTAAGATATGAATGTAAAGAATACTCTATTGAGGTAGTTGTGGTTCGTTTAAAAGGTGAATGAGGCAGTGCTTTATAACTAGAGAAAATCGTACAATATGTGTGAAAAGTGGAGTTTTATTTATATTTAAATTACAAAAGTTTTATTGTTTGACTGGGGTGGAGGGAAGCAAGAAAAATGACAATTTAAAGAGTGGGCAATTCTGCCTGCCATTATTCTCAACAAACATATATCCCAGTGAGTGTGCAATGGGAGATGTAAATCTGCCCTTCCCCTGTTTGATCCTGGTTGCTTTTCAGGGTATGAGCATTATCATTACATGTTTGTTAATTTACCTTTTTTTTTTCTTGAGATAGAGTTTGTCTCCAGGCTGGAGTGCAGTGGCGCTATGTGGGCTTACTGCAACTTCCACCTCCCAGGTTCAAGTGATTCTCCTGCCTCAGCCTCCCAAGTAGCTGGAATTACAGGTGTGCGCCACCAGGCCCAGCTACTTTTTTGTATTTTTAGTAGAGATGGGATTTCACTGTGTTGGCCAGACTGGTCTTGAGCTTCTGACAAGTGATCTGCCTACCTTAGCCTCCCAAAGTGCTGGGATTATAGGTGTGAGTCACCGTGCCCAGCTATAGATTGACCTGTTTGTACAGGGTTGTATATACAAACAACAAGTAATATACTTTATATAAAATTTTTATGGGTTTTCTTTTTTTTTTTTGAGATGGAGTCTTGCTCTGTCGCCCAGACTGGAGTGCAATGGAGTTGTCTCGGCTCACGGCACCCTCTGCCTCCCGGGTTCAAGTGATTCACCTGCCTCAGCCTCCTGAGTACCTAGGATTACAGATGCCCGCTGCCATGCCTAGCTAATTTTTGTATTTTTAGTAGAGACGGGGTTTCACATCTTGGTCAGGCTGGTCTCGAACTCCTGACCTCAGGTGATCCACGCACCTCAGCCTCCCAAAGTCCTGGGATTACAGGCATGAGCCACCATGCCCGGCCCTATATGGGTTTTCATGGGCAACTATGGCATACACAATTTTTAACGCATGCTTACTACACTGACTTTAAATCTAATCATTTGGTAAGATGCAATTCCTTTGTGTCAGTTTTCTCCGAAATTATGAGTCACACAGATTTTTCATTATGGCTGTAAGGACGAATTAAATAATTATCAGCAGATATAAGTTCAGGCAGTGGAATTAGACTGGTTGGATTTGAAAACTATCACTTACTGGCTATGCAGCCTCACAGATTACTTAGGAAGAGTGAGAGAGTGTATATGTGTTTGTGAGTATGTGTGCCTCGGTAGTACTTAGAGTTGATTAAATTATTTCATATATAAAAGCTCAGAACAGTTTTTGGCACATAGAAAGTACTTGTATTGTGAAAAGGCATTACAAAAAATAAAATACTTGTAAATGCTAAGAAGTCATAGTTAGTGGCAGTGGCATAATTGCTTGACCATTTCAATTGCTTGAAACTGAAACTTGGGTATCATTCAGAACTCTGGTCACCAGCTTATACAATTAATCACCAAGTCCTGGTGTCTGTTACCTCATATATCTCTTGCTTCTGACTCCTTTCTGTTTTTAGGTCCATTACCTGGTACAGCTCATTATCATCTTTCTTCTAGATTATGCAATAGCTTTGAAACTAGTTCATTCTTTTCCTCTGATCTTGCCCTGCTCCTGCAGCCAAAGTGGTCTTTTTTTTTTGATGGAGTTTTGCTCTTGTTGCCCAGGCTGGAGTACAATGGCACAATCTCAGCTCACTGCAACCTCTGCCTCCCGGGTTCAAGTGATTCTCCTGCCTCAGCCTCCGGAGTAGCTGGAATTACATACAGGCGCCCGCCACCACGCCCGGCCCCAAAGTGGTCTTTTTAAAAAAAATTTTTGTTTAAATTTTTTGTAGAGATGGGGGTGGCACTGTGTTGTCCAGGCTGGTCTTGAACTCCTGGGCTCAAGTGATTCTCCCAAAGTTTTGAGATTACAGGCATGATTCACTGTGCCCAGTCCAAAGTGATCTTTATAAAGTACAAATATGATCTTGTCACTCCTTTTCATAAAACTCATCAGTCACACTGCATTGCTTTCAGGACAAGGTTTAAACTCCTTAAATGGTGGGATTATAAACCTTTCTTGTGGCACTTTCATATCTCTTCTTTTATACCCCTGGGGTACTTTATACTCCATGCTTACTAAATTACCTTCTGTGTCATCTGAACATGCCAGGCTTTCTTCTAGGCCTTTGTACCATATGCTGTTTCTTAGGCATGGCATTCCTTTCCTCTTCCTTTCTTTTTTCTTTTTTTGGAACAGAGTCTCACTGTATCACCCATGCTAGAGTGCAATGGCGTGACTGCAACTCACTGCAGCCTCCTCTTCCTGGGTTCATGTGATTCTCAGGCCTCAGCCTCCCAAGATGCTGGGATTACAGACATACAACACCTTGCCCATCGTGGCCTCCTCTTGCTTTCTTCCTTACCTTCTCATAAATTCTGTTTCATTTCCATAAGATTCCTTGCAACTTTTTTCCTTCCACTTCTTTTTTTTTTTTTTCCTTTTTGAGACGGAGTCTCTCACTGTCGCCCAGGCTGGAGTGCAGTGGGGTGATCTCGGCTCACTGCAACCTCTGCCTCCCAGGATCAAGCAATTCTTGTGCCTCAGCCTCCTGAGTAACTGGGATTACAGGTGCCCGCCACCACGCCCAGCTATTTTTTTTTTTGTTATTTTTATAGTAATAGAGATGGGGTTTTACCATGTTGTCCAGGATGGTTTCAAACTCCTGACCTCAAGTGATCCCCCGGCCTTGGCCTCCTAAAATGCTGGGATTACAGGCATGAGCCACCATGCCCAGCCCTTTTCTTCAACTTCGATCATAGCTCCTATCATAATAAAATTGTTCATCTACTTCCTCAAAGCAGGCCTTTTACCCATTTGGTACTTAAAGGAAAGGATCTTTAGGTATAAACTAGGTACTCAGTAGTATTCATCATATTGCTGATATAAAGATTTATTTACTCTGTTTTTAGTTGAGACTATTAAGACAGGTGGTTTAAAGTAAAGGGCATTTCAGGGTATAAAGATTTTAAGTGCTATTGGGCCCTTAGTGATTGGTTAGCCTTAGGCTCTGTAGTACTACACATGGCTTAAAACATTTATTAATGAATTGTACCGAATATTACTTTTTTCTTATAATCTTGTGGAATAATCATGTTTTAGCTCCTACAAGTGCTGGGAAGACTCTTGTGGCAGAATTACTTATTTTGAAGCGGGTTTTGGAAATGCGGAAGAAAGCTTTGTTTATTCTTCCCTTTGTTTCTGTGGCTAAAGAGAAGAAATACTACCTCCAGGTAATGTTTTTTACTAAGTTTGAAATAGTGAAAGGCTCATTATTGGCAGTCTTGGTTTCATTCATTTGAAATAGAATTATAAAAGCAAGTGGAAAACAAAGTTTCTTCATTGTGCCCTATGTAGCTTTAAGAGGCTACTGCCAAAAGCATTAAAAATTTACAGCAAGGGGCTGGGTGTGGTAGCTCACGCCTGTAATCCCAGCACTTTGGGAGGCCAAGGTGGGCGGATCATCTGAGGTCAGGAGATCGAGACCAGCCTGGCCAACATGGGGAAACCCCATCTCTACTAAAAATACAAAAATTAGCTGGGTGTTGTGGCGCACACCTGTAATTCCAGCTACTCGGGAGACTGAGGCTTGAACCTGGGAGGTGGAGGTTGCAGTGAGCCGAGATCACGCTATTGCACTCCAGCCTGGGCAACAGAGTAAGACTCTGTCTCAAAAAAAAAAAAATTAAAAAAATTTACAGAAGGAAATTAAAAGAAAATTATTATTGCATTAAGGAGAAGGGGCCATCAAATCAAAAGAATAATTGGTGAAAATTGTGTAAAAATTTGTAAACCTTTTCTTAGGAAATAAACAGAATATTTAAACTAGCATATAAACACGCACATTAAGAATCAGCATTTAACTGAACAGTAGGACTAGACTGAAGCATAGAAAGGAAAGAGTGTTTAAGGAAGTGTATCCTGCCCTAATTGAGGACTATTTAGGAATATTTAGGGGATGAAGGTCAAGATCCATTGGTGCTTAGGTAAAGCTCCAGGTATGTGATCTGTTCCTCTGTTCTGCAAAAATGACTAATAGTAGTTTACATCAATATGATGCTCACAGTTTTTAGGGCATTTTCACAAATACAATATTTTATTAAATGGAATAAATTTACTGTTGTGATTTCTGCAGTGAAAAATATGTGCTTTTGAAATGGAAAGATTGTTATACTGATTGTTAAAGAAATGTGGGTTCTAGTCCCAGTTTTGCCACTAACTATGTCTTTAGGCCGGGCATATAACTGGCTGGGCCTCAGTTTTTTTATTTGTAAAATTAGGATGTTAACCCTTAGCCCTGTGGGTTAACTTAGTAAACACTCAGGAAAATTTTATTGAATGAATAGCTCTAAATTTCTATGGTTCTATAAATCTTTTTAATAGTTATTTCAGAGGCACAGTAGCCAACAAAGCTGGTCATACATGGTAACATCACTCAACTTAGACCCAAAGTAACGAAATGATGAAAGGATCCTTTTTATTGAAAGGTATGTTAGTTAAAAGTTAAACTAAAAAAAAAAAAATTATTATTAAAGTCCCACTGAATTTGACTTTTAAAAACTTTTCTTCCAATTACATTAAAAAATTGGTCATTAGTAGGATAATGAGACTATTTTCCTCATGAAGTATAAATTTGTTTCTTTAAGTGTTATAGCTAGTTTCTTGCTATTTATTAGATTAAAAATGTTAGTGCTTAAGGTAGTTTTTCTCCAATTTTAATTCCTCTAAATAGCTCTTAGAAGTTTTTAGATTATTATGCTGTCATTAAAATGGCATAATTTTATTTGACTCTTAACAGTTTTGTCAGTTCTAAACTTTATATTTTTAGTATATGATCTAAAAAGAACCAGTGTGTCCTGGCCAGAAACAACTGATGACAGTAATCTGGTAGATGTCTTTAGATACTTATGTCTATGTTCTGGGATAGAACCAGTTTATAACTCTTGAATTTCAAGTTTTTTCACCTGTATTGTTCCTTTTTACTCAATTCAGAGTCTGTTTCAGGAAGTAGGAATAAAAGTAGACGGTTATATGGGCAGCACCTCTCCATCAAGGCATTTCTCTTCATTGGATATTGCAGTCTGCACAATTGAGAGAGCCAATGGTCTGATCAATCGCCTCATAGAGGAAAATAAGATGGATCTGTTAGGTAAGAAAGTTAGAAAATAAGTAAATACTTTCTATTGCTATTTTTGATGGAATGAAGTGGAGCTGTTGTGATTTCTCTAGGTCCCATTTGTTTTCCTATTGTCTATTATCTACTTCTGGAGGCAAGGATTGGCATCTGTAATGTTAGGAACGCTGTGTTTATAAGTTTTGTGTCCTGCTGCTGTTATTGACTCCGTTACGTTGCATTTTTGTACTTTACAAAACGTAGATTATATCCTTGAGCCCTCAATAATTTCTCCTTGCTTCTTTCCTATCTAAACTCTACCAGGAATAGAAGGAGGCCTGCTGGGCCAGATCTGCCATTTTGTGGTTAGTGTATATGGGTTTTTGTTATTATATTCTGCTGCTATGATGTCTATTTTGGGCTTGGACCCAGAGTCTGTCATTTAGCATGGAAATGGTAGGAAGCTAAAGAAACTGACACTCTATTTGAGCTTGGGATTGTGGGAAGATTTTCTATCTTAATGCATTTTTTTGCCATTATGGAAAGGCCATTATGTAGAGGTAGCAACAGGAATAGAAGGATTGCAGCAGCAGAAGTAGCAAGAATATCAGCTAATTATTGAGAAGCTGGTGAACTTAAAAATACCATGGTAAAGTTATGGTAGGGTAGGGGTGGAGGGTGGGAATCAGACATAGGCTATGCTCCATAAAGCTTGGAGAGAGAAATTGCAATTGATTTGTATCAGAATTGTCTTATTACTTGTGACCCCATTGGACTTTAAATATTTGAGAGTTGCAATAGACTCGTAGTAAGTGCTATTTCCAATGTACCTAGCACAGTGCTTGGCACACGGCAGGCAGAATACTTTTTTTTTTTTTTTTTTGGTGAATGAATGAGTAAGTGCTAAAATAACTCATCAGACAGTACAATTTTGGAGACAGCTTATTGATAGGAAAAAGAACATCATGTGTCATTAGGAAGTTTCCTATTGTCTCCTTAAATTCCTTTTCACCAGAAAGTTGTCTTTTGGTGGGGAGAATTTGGGGTGGGGAGAATACCAGTACATGTGGAAACTATGTTGTTATGAAAATGTTTAACTAAAGAAAGTATTAGTTGATACTGAATTTTCAGTAATTCTTAAGAATTATTCCAAGTATATACATTGGTTAAATTCTCCAAGTAGTGAAGGACATTGTGATCATATTTATGTTTTGCAGTATGATGACTCACTAGCTTACCATATTAAAAAAAAACTCTTAAAATTGTCTTTTTCTTCTGGACCCTCTTATGTTTTTTCTAAGCTACTTTCTAACATGAGTATGTATGTTTTCCCACTGAAAAGTCAATACATTGAAAACTGACATAGATGTCTTTGATATTTCATTGTATGTTTATTTCGGTGAAGTTGCCAATTTAGAAGAGTAATGAGAGGCAGTTTTCCCTGGGTTTGTTTAGCCCTGAGTAAGCTAATAATTGATTTTTAGATCAGTATACCTTGTAGTACGACTGCCTGTAATACCTGAAACATCTTGGAAAAGAATTGCCCATTATAAGGAATATGATTTTTGATTTATGGTTTGAAGTTTGCATCACTTGCAATGTATTATATAGTGTATTATATCTTATATCACTGTGTGGGAAAGTTAGAAAATAAGTAAATACTTTCTATTGCTATTTTTGATGGAATGAAGTGGAGCCGTTGTGATTTCTCTAGGTCCCATTTGTTTTTCTCTTGTCTATTATCTACTTCTGGAGGCAAGAATTGGCATCTCAATATCTTATTTCAAAGATATTGAGTCTTTTAAATGTCTTCTTGGCGCAGTCATAAAAAGAATGAAATCATGTCCTTTGTAGCAAAGCCACATGGATGCAGCTGGAGCCATTATCCTAAGCCAATTAATGCAGGAACAGAAAACCAAGTACCACATGTTCTCACTCGTAAGTGGGAATTAACCTTTGAGTACTCATGGACATAAAGATAGCGACAACAGAAACTGGGGACTACTAGAAGGGAACAAGGGTTGAAAAACTAACTATTTAATAATAGGGTACTATTGCTAAGTACCTGGGTGATGGGATCATTTGTATCCAAACCTCAGCATTACACAATATACCCAGGTAACAGACCTTCACATGTACCCCCAAATCTAAAATAAAAGTTGATATAAAGGAAATTAAATAGAGTGAAATAAAGGTTGGAAAAAAATTCTTCATGGATGTGACATTCTGTAAAAACCTAGTATCTGGAAAATCTTTTTAGGAATGGTGGTTGTGGATGAATTACATATGCTGGGAGACTCTCACCGAGGGTATCTGCTGGAACTTTTGCTGACCAAGATTTGCTATATTACTCGGAAATCAGCATCTTGGTAAGTACGTGAAATAACTGAGTTCCTGAGATTTCAAACAATGTTGAGGAAGTGTCTGAAAAATGCATAAGTATGAGTTAAATAAATTAAGGGAGTGTAATATTTTTCTTATTGAGAAAACTTATGTATAGTAGTTTGTTTTTGTTCCAGAAGTCAGTCCAGGCATGGTGGCTGACACCTGTAATCCCAGCACTTTGGAAGGCTGATGTGGGAGGATCACTTGAGCCTGAGTTCCAGACCAGCCTGGGCAACACAGTGAGACCCCATTTCTATAAATAATAAAAAAAATTAGCTGGGCATGGTGGCACACACCTGTAGTCCCAGCTTCTCAGTAGGCTGAGGCAGGAGGATTACTTAAGCCCAAGAGTTCCAGGCTGCAATGAGGTATGATTGTGCCACTTTACTCTAGCCTGGGCAACAGAGCAAGACCATGTCTCTAACAACAACAGAAAAAGTATTTCAGGTTGCAACTGATTTTAGATTACTGTGTAAACATTCTTAATTTTCTGACTGCTCACCTTTCAATGTATACATTTTTATTATAGATTTTTAAAAATCTAGTTTCTGTATTTGTCATCTATATATATATAAGTAGTCAGGCTAATTTTGAAAAAAATATTATTTTTTTAGCCCTCACTTCTCAGAGGCAACTACCTTTCAACTCTTCTAGCTTTTTAAAAATATTTACAGCAGCATCTCTAATTGTGGCTACTTAATTTTTTAAATTTCAGACCTTATATCTTGACTTTTACTATGAAAGATGAAGATCTAGCTTTCTTTTAAATTTTTTACTAACCACTACCCAATCTTCTCCCTTCTCTGCAGTCTCTCCTTATCCTCTCATTATCTTCCTATTCTTCAAATATAGTTATGTTATGATTTTGCTTAGATCATTATTCAGTGTTACACTATTATGACTATATAAATGACATTGGTAACTGGGCTATAGTGTAATATGATTACTTCTGCTTTTCTAAACAACTTTTTGTTTTCTCTGAAATTAATAACTGTCTTTTTTGTTTGATGGCTTGGTTTTCCAGATACTTACTGCTAATTTATCCCTAGCCTCCTCCCCAGTTGTGTATTCTACCACATTTGCTATTCTGCCAGTCATCTTCTTGAAGATTTTCCTGAAGCCCTTCAAGTTGTTCCAATCTAGATAGGTGGTTAATCTATATATGTGCTATATAGCAATCATCTTGGGATTCCCTTCCCCCTACCAATTTTTTGACCATATGTCTGTCTTGATTTACCATCTCATTTTGGTGGGAATATCTTCCAGGAACTTCTACTTTATTTCAGTGAACACACATAGGTATAAACTTTTTGAGAACTTGCATGTCTGAAAATGCCTCATAATTCTTTCTTTTTTTTTTTTTTTTTTGAGATGGAGTTCCGCTCTTTTGCCCAGGCTGGAGTGAAGTGGCGTGATCTCGGCTCACTGCAACCTCCATCTCCCAGGTTCAAGCGATTCTCCTGCCTGAGCCTCCTGAGTAGCTGGGATTATAGGCGCCTGCCACCACACCCAGCTAATTTGTGTATTTTTAGTAGAGACAGGGTTTCACCATGTTGGCCAGGCTGGTCTCGAATGCCTGACCTCAGGTGATCTACCCACCTCGGCCTCCCAAAGTGCTAGGTTTATAGGCATGAGCCACTGTGCCCGGCCTCCATAATTATGGACTGTCCAGGTATAAAAGTCAAGATTAGAAATACTTTTCCTTCAGAGTTGTCAAGGCATTACTTCATTTTCTCATTGCTATTGAGAAATTCAGTGCTATGCTGGTTTTTCATCCTTTGTAAACAATTTTTTAAATTCTGTCTGGGAATTTTTAGGCACTCCTCTTTTTCCACAGTGCTGTGAAATTTCATACTGATGTGTGTTGGTGTTGGTCTATTTTTAATCATTGTGCTGGGTACTCAATAGATTCTTTTCAGTTAAGGGAGAATTGAACACATCTCTCTTGTGATAGAACAAGCAGATAACCATCTATATCCCAAATCACTAGGGATATAGAAAATCTGATTAATATAATCAGCAAATTTGACCTAATGGATATATATTGAACAATTACCTCAAAACAGCAGAGTACCTGTGCATTTGAGTTACACATGGAACATTTATCAAAAAGTTTTCCATATACTGGACCATAAAGCAAGTCTTAACATATTTTAATGGATTCATATCATTTATTTTCTAACAATAGTGAATTTAGCTATAAGAAAAGCATAACTAGGACATGTCTACATGACTAGAAATAAACACATTTTTGACACACTTTTAGATCAAAAAAGTAATCACAACAGAAGTTAGAAAATAGTTTGAACTGAAAGTATAATAAAAATATCTCTTAACAAAACTTGTGAAGGGCAGCAAAAGTTGTTTTTAAAAGGAAATTGATAGCATAAAGTGTATATATTATTAAGGAAGAGAGACTGAGAATCAATTATTTAATTATCCATCCCAATAACTTAGAAAAAAGGCCAAGCATGGTGGCTCATGCCTGTAATCCCAGCACTTTGGGAGGCCAAGGCAGGCAGATCACTTGAGGCCAGTTCTAGATGAGCCTGCCCAACATGGCAAAACCCTGTCTCTACTAAAAATACAAAATTTGGCTGGGCGTGGTGATGCATACCTGCAATCCCAGCTACTCAGGTGGCATAAGAATCACTTGAACCCTGGAGGTAGAGGTTGCCATGAGCCAAGATCGTGCCTTTGCACTCCAGCCTGGGTGACAGAGCTAGACCCTGTCTCAAAAAAAAAAAAAGTAAAATAATGCAACAGAAAGCTTGATAAACTAATAAAAACAGAGCAAAAAATGAAAGAGGAAATTCACTATCCAGACATTTAAAAATTCTACAAATGAATAAGAAAAACACAACCCACTATATCAATGGACAAAAAAACAGGCTTTTGAAACAGTATCGGCTGGGCGTGGTGGCTCACGCCTGTAATTCCAACACTTTGGGAGGCTGAGGTGGGTGGATCACGAGGTCAGGAGATCGAGACCATCCTGGCTAACATGGTGAAAACCCGTCTCTACTAAAAATACAAAAAATTAGCCAGGCGTGGTGGTGGGCGCCTGTAGTCCCAGCTACTCGGGAGGCTGAGGCAGGAGAATGGCAGGAACCCAGGAGACGGAGCTTGCAGTGAGTGGGCAACAGAGCAAGACTCCGTCTCAAAAAAAAAAAAAAAAAAGGGTATCCACATGGTTCATACACATGAAGTGATGCTCAGTAGTCTCATTGGTTATCAGGGAACTGTAAATTACTTCTTCAAAGAAATACTGGCTGGGCACAGTGGCTCACACCTGTAATCCCAGCACTTCGGGAGGCCGAGGTGGGTAAATCACAAGGTCGGGAGTTCGAGACCAGCCTGGCCAACACAGTGAAACCCTGTCTCTGCTAAACATACAAAAATTAGCCAGGTGTGGTGGTACACACCTATAGTCCCAGCTACTTGGGAGGCTAAGGCAGGAGAATCACTTGAACCTGGGAGGCGGAGGTTGCAGTGAGCCGAGACAGGTCCATTGCACTCCAGCCTGGGTGACAGAGCAAGACCCTGTCTAAAAAAAAAGAAATACTACCACGTACTGTCTATAACTGCCAACATTAAAAAGATTGACAATACCAAGTGGTGACAAGATTATGGAACAATAGAAAACACAGATTGTGGAGGTGTTACTTTGGAAAACAATGTGGGATTATCTACTAAAATTGAAGATCTTCTGTGACTCAGTAATCTGTGGCTCAGTAATTTTATTCTTAGGTATATATCCTAAAGAAATGTATGCATGTGTGTACCAAAGGGCATAACCAAGAATATTGTTAGCAACACTAATTATTAATGTATTATATATCTTTTAATGTTCTTTTCATTTGTTTTTTTACAGTCAGGCAGATCTAGCCAGTTCTCTGTCTAATGCTGTGCAAATCGTTGGCATGAGTGCTACCCTTCCTAATTTGGAGCTTGTGGCTTCCTGGTTGAATGCTGAACTCTACCATACCGACTTTCGCCCTGTACCGCTTTTGGAGTCAGTAAAAGTTGGAAATTCCATATATGACTCTTCAATGAAACTTGTGAGGGAATTTGAGCCCATGCTACAAGTGAAGGTAAATCAATATATGTACATCACTACTATTTTTATCTGTGTGTTTGATTTCATTTTCTAGCAAATTGCTAACAAATTCTGAATGATGTAATTGGGAGTTACATATACATTAGGATTAATATTAAGCTAACTGGTTTCCTCTTAAAGAATTGGTGGTGAGCTGGGTGTGGTGGCTGACGTCTGTAATCCCAACATGTTGGGAGGCCAAGGCGGGTGGATCACTTGAGGTCAAGAGTTAGAGACCATCATGGCCAACATGTGAAACCCTGTCGCTACTAAAAATACAAAAATTAGCTGGGTGTGGTGGTGGGCGCCTGTAATCCCAGCTACTCGGGAGGCTGAGGCAGGAGAATTGCTTGAACATGGGAGGCTGAGGCAGGAGAATTGCTTGAACATGGGAGGCAGAGGCTGCAGTGAGCCGAGATCATGCCACTGCACTCCAGCCTGGGCAACAGAGTAAGACTCCATCCCCCACCAAAAAAAATATTAGCGGTGATGGTGAGAGAGGAAATGTAGTTGTACCTTTAATTTAAATAAATAGTTGTTTCCTGATATATAATATAAACATTTAAAAAAAATAACTGATCTTGTAGCGTTTTCTTTTTACTGGGAAAAGATTTTCTTATGGTTTAGTTTACACTAACTGCTAGTGTGCAAGATTAACTTTTTTGTTAAATGGTAGGTATAATATATAGTAGAGTGAAAATATTATTTTTGTAGTCTGATAGATCTACCTCTGATACTTAATAGAGATACTTGATATGGCTGAGATAGTAGTTGAATCACAAAACCTATCTGAACCTCATATCTTCACCTGTTAAATAGGATATTATAATCCCTATCTTGAATATTGTAAGAATTAAATATGATTTTTAAAAATTATCTGGCATCTAGAAAGTTACTTGATAAATAAGTACCCTCCCATACTCCCAAATACACTTTAATCCTGAGGTTAAAGAACTGACTCATGTACATTGGTGGAGTGAGGCATCTGCTGTTTTTGTGCAGAGTTGTGCCTCTGAGTACTAAAACAGCTAAGGGTCATTTTAGAATTGGAAATAGAATTGGAAATTCATGTGTTTCACTAACTACCTAGGTATGCATTTGTAGTTTCTGCATACTTGGTATGGAATCTTGCTTGCTTTGCTCTGTGCCCCATATTTCGCCTGGCTATGCCTTGGTTACTTCAATACATTTATGTGTGAACACATTCATTTGCTCTCCTGTTAATTTTTTTCTTCTTTTACCATGTCTGTGCCTCCACCCTTTTGAACCACTTATATTTCTTACCTGGATTATTGAAATATTTCCTAATTGTTCTCTCTGCTTCTGACCTTGTCCCTTTCAGTCTGTGCTTACAGGAGCTAGTGATCTATTTAAAATGAACATCAGATCATGTTACCCTTCTTCTCAGAAACTTGCAGTGGCTTTCTGTTTCATTTAGAATAAAAGCCAGTGTCTTCTTAGTAGTCTATAAGGTCCTACATGATCTACATCCCCCACCCCTCTTAGTGCTCTGACTCTATCTACTATGTTCCCTCTCACTTCCTTCACACTGGCCTCTGCTGTTTTTTAATACAACAAGAGTTTCTGGCCTCAGGTTCTCTTTTTCTAGAATACTTTCCCCTTAGGGCCATCAGTGTGGTTTACTCTTTCACCTTTGGACTTTTTTACTCAAATGTCACCATCTTAGACCTTCCCTGGCCAACTTGTCTAAATTATAGTGTTCTCCCTTACATGGTCTCTATTTCTTTTCCCTTAGCACTTTTCAAAACCAAACATATTATTATTATTATTATTTTTGAGATGGAGTTTTGCTCTTGTTGCCCAGGCTGGAGTGCAATGGCGCGATCTCAGCTCACCGCAACCTCCGCCTCCCGGGTTCAAGTGATTCTTTTGCCTCAGCCTCCCGAGTAGCTGGGATTACAGACATGCGCCACCATGCCCAACTAATTTTGTATTTTTACTAGAGGCGGAGCTTCTCCATGTTGGTCAGGCTGGTCTCGAGCTCCTGACCTCAGGCCTCGGCCTCCCAAAGTGCTGGGATTACAGGAGTGAGCCACTGCGCCCTGTCCCTTATGTATTTTACTTACCTCATATTTGTAATTATCTATCTCTTCCTACTGGAGTAGAAACATTATGAGGGTAGAGCTTTTTTTCTGCTTTGTTCGCAGCTCCATCCCCAGTACCTAGAACAATATTTGACAAATAGTAAATATTTGTTTAATGAGTGAATAGATGGATGCATTAATCCAGTTTTTAATACATACATTGACATACTTCCAGTATGGAGAACTTGCAGGGCCACCACAGTGGATTCACATGTGCCCTTTTGTTCATTTGAAATGTGTTGCCTTTCTTTGAGATAATGTTTCCCCACCTTCACATCTCAGCTAAATTGTTTTCTCAGGACAATTTTTCTTTCAGATCTTTCTGTCAAATATGAGGCCTCAAAACACCGTAAAACTCTCTTTTAATGGTATATATTATTGTTGTATTTTATATTTATTTATTTAGTACACATGCTCTTCGACTTATGATAGGGTTATATCCTGATAAACTCATTGTAAGTTGAAAATGCCTTTAATACATTTAACCTACTGAATATCATAGCTTAGCCTAGCCTACCTTAAATGTTCTCAGAACATTTACATCAGCCTATAGTTGGGCAAAATCATTTAGCACAAAGCCTGTTTTATAATAAAGTGTTTAATATCTTATAATTTAACGAATACTGTGCTGAGAGTGAAAAATAGAAGAGTTGTATGGGCACCCAAAGTATGGTTTCTATTGAGTGCATACTGCTTTTGCACCACTGTAAAATAAAAAAAAATCATAAAGTCCAATCATTTTAAGTTGAGGATATCTGTATTTTAATGTGTCTCTTGGTGAGACTATAAACCCCTTGACTATTAGGATCTTGACTTTCTTTTTACTCAATATTGTATTCCCATTGCCTGAGGGTTGGAGCTCAGTAAATATTAGTTGAATGAATAGTAAGTATTTCTTTCACCTTTCATCATTAGGAGTTTATTTTTTCTTCTTTTTTTCCTTTCTTTTGTTATTGACTTTGTAACTGATTTTCATTATGCCTTAAAGAAGAAAAAGCTTCCCCAGAAAGGAAAATGAGTGCTTTTAAACTGATGTGAGAATCTTTTGAAAGGACCACTAAAGTGGTTATTTATCTTTCTGTTTTAGGGAGATGAGGACCATGTTGTTAGTTTATGTTATGAGACGATTTGTGATAACCATTCAGTATTACTTTTTTGTCCATCAAAGAAATGGTGTGAGAAGCTGGCAGATATCATTGCTCGAGAGTTTTATAATCTACATCATCAAGCTGAGGGTGAGTTATGGATGGAAAGGAAAGCCTTCATGCTTAGTACATTTGCTTGAAAGTAATGGTAGTGATTATATTAGCAAAAACATGGCTTTTGTTCATCATTGTCACTGCCTGCCCACTAGGTGGTATCCTTTTTACCAAACTGTGCTTTTGCGATTCTAATAATATTCCGTCCCTAGTATAGACTATGTATACACACACATGCTTAGACTAATCAGCTTTAGATTTTTAGAATACTGGGTATATACTATAGTTCTTTATCAGGGATCCATGGGCTTTAAGAGTTTGATCTTTGGAGCCCCTAAATTGGATGCAAAACTTCACATGTAGACATTTCTTTGGGGAAAGTAACCATATCTTTCTTTATATTTCCAAAGGAATGTGTAACTCTGAAAAGAATCATACACACATACATACATATGTATAAGTTGACCCTTGAATGACATGGGTTTGAATTGCGTGCGTTCATTTATATGTGGATTTTTTTTCAATACATAATATATTAGAAAATGTTTTGGTGATTTGTGTTAATTTGAAAAAACTGACAAGCTATGTAGCCTAGAAACATGAAAACATTAAAAAACAAAAAGAAAAAGGTATGTCATGTAGCCTAAAACATATGTAGATACTAGTCTATTTTATCACATACTACCTTAAAATATACACAAATCTATTATTTATTTATTATTATTTTTTGAGACAGAGTCTCGCACGGTCGCTTAGGCTGGAATACAATGGCATGATCTCGGCTCACTGCAACCTCTGCCTCCTGGGTTCAAGTGATTCTTCCATCTTAGCCTCCCCAGTAGCTGGGATTACAAGCACCCGCCATCATGCCCGGCTAATTTTTGTATTTGTGTAGAGATGAGGTTTCACCATGTTAGCCAAGATGGTCTTGAACTCCTGATCTGAAGTGATCCGCCTGCCTTGGCCTCCCAAAATGCTGGGATTACAGGCATGAGCCACTGTGCCCGGCCCAAATCTTTTATTAAGAATTAAAATTTCTGCCAGGCGTGGTGGCTCATGCCTGTAATCCCAGCACTTTGGGAGGCTGAGGAGGGTGGATCACCTGAGGTCAGGAGTTCGAGACCAGCCTGGCTAACATAGTGAAACCCCGTTTGTACTAAATACAAAAAATTAGCTGGGTGTGGTGGTGCACGCCTGTAATCCCAGCTACTCGGGAGGCTGAGGTGGGAGAATCACTTGAACCCGGGAGGCAGAGGTTGCAGTGAGCTGAGATCATGCCATTGCACTCCAGCTTGGGCAACAAGAGCGAAACTCCATCTCAAAAAAAAAAAAAAAATTAAAATTTCCAGCCCAGCCAACATAGTGAAACCCCATCTCTCCTAAATACAAAAATTAGCTGGATGTGATGTCGGGTACCTGTAATCCTACCTACATGGGAGGATAAGGCAGGAGAATCACTTGAACCTGGGAGGTGGAGGCTGCAGTGAGCCGAGATCACGCCACTTTACTCTAACCTAGGTGACAGAGTGAGACCCTCTCTCGAATAAATAAATAAATATTTATCAAAACTTAGGCACACAGACACAGACCATACATAGCCCCATTCACAGAAGAAAAATGTAAACAAATGTAAAGAGGCAGTGTTAAATCATAACTGCATAAAATTAACTGGTATATACTGTACTACTACTGTAATAATTTTATAGCCACCTCCTGCTGCTGTTGCAGTAAGCTCACGTGTTGTAAGTATGCACTTAAAATATGACGCTTATCACCTTCATATGAGCAGTTTGTGTCTCATAAATTTCATATTGCAGTAAAAAGTAATTTATCATGTTTCTTATGTACTTTTCATCATATTTAGTGCAGTACTGTAAACCTTGAATAATACCATGGGACCAATTTGAGGTGCCACTAGTGATGCTGGAAGTGTTCCGAAGAAGCAGAGAAAAGTAGTGGCATTCTAAGAAAAAATTGAATTGCTTGCTATGTACCATAAGTTGAGGTCTGCAGCTGCATTTACTATTTTAAGATAAATGCATCGAGCTTAAGTACTACTGTAAAAAAAGAAGGAAATTTGTGAAGCTATTGCTGCAGCTTTGCACATTTTATGAAATACTTCTTCATCTGATTTTGAAAATGCAGTTTTATGTGGCTGCAGGATCACTATATGAAAGGCATACCTGCTGGGTGAGGTGGCTTATGTCAATAATTCCAGCACTTTGGAAGGCCAAGGCAGGAGGATCACTTGTGTCCAGGAGTTCGAGACCAGCATAGGCAACATAGTGAGACCTTATCTCTACAAAAGTTAAAAAATTAGGCCGGGCATGGTGGTTCACACCTGTAATCCCAGCACTTTGGGAGGATGAGGTGGGCGGATCACCTGAGGTCAGGAGTTTGAGACCAGCCTGGACAACATGGTGAAACCCTGTCTCTACTAAAAAATATAAAAATTAGCCAGGCGTGGTGGGGCATACCTGTAGTCCCAGCCACTTGGGAGGCTGAGGCAGGAGAATTGCTTGAACCTGGGAGGCAGAGGTTGCAGTGAGCCGAGATCGTGCCACCGCACTCCACCCTGGGCGATGGAGCGAGACTCCATCTCAAAAAAAAATATCCAGGTGTGGTGATGTGTGCCTATAGTTCCAGCTACTTGGGAGGCTGAGGTGGGAGGATCGTTTGAGCCTGGGAGGTAAAGGGTGCAGTCAGCCATGATCGTGCCACTGTGCTCAGCTCAGTCTGGGTGGCAGAGTGAGATCCTGTCGCCACAGATGCACGTGCGTGCGCGCGCGCACACACACACACACATACAGAGACACACACGCACACACACAGAAGAAATACATACCTATAGACTCTACTACGATTTGAGAAAAAATGAAGTCCATATGGCAACTTAAAGCAAAAGGATCTAAAGCTGGAGAATTTAATGCCAGCAAAAGATGGTTGGATAATTTTAGAAAGAGGTTTATATGTGGATTTTTTTCAATACATAATATATTGGAAAATTTTTTGGTGATTTGTATGAATTTGAAAAAATGTCAAGATAACAGGAGATGCAAGACCAAGAGGCTGCAGATGAGTTCCAAGATACCATTAAGAAAATTATTGAGGAGAAAGGATATCTGCCTGAACAGATTTTTAATGCAGATGAAAGTGCCCTATTCTGAGAAAAAAAAATTGCCACAAAGAACCCATTTATTAGTAAGAAAGAGAAGAAAGCACCAGGATTTAAGGCAGGAAGGGATAGGCTAACTCTTGTTTTGTGCAAATGCAGTTGGGTTTATGATCAGGACTACTCATGTCTATAAAACAGCTAATACTCAAGCCTTAGAGGGAATAGATAAACACTGGTTGCCAGTCTTTTGGTTGTACAAGAAGGACTGGAGAGTGAGAACCCCTTCTCTGGATTCGTTTCATCGATGCTTTGTTTCTGAAGTCAGGAAATACATTGCCAGTAAGGGACTGCCTTTTAACTTTCTTTTGATACTGAACAATGCCTTGGGCCATCCAGAACCCCTTGAGTTCAACACTTAAGGCATCAAAGTGATCTACTTACCCCCAAACACAGCATCTCTAATTTGGTCTGTAGATCAAGGGGTCATGAGGATGTTTAAAGCTCATTACGCACTGTACTCTATGGAAAGGACTGTCAACATTATGGAAGAGAACCCCGATAGAACCTTGTGAAAGTCTTGAACGAAAATCATGAAAAAGATTGTGAAAATGGCAAAAAAAGGTGGAGGTATGAACGAAATCATGAAAAAGATTGTGAAAATGGCAAAAAAAAGGTGGAGGTAAAGGGTTTCAAGATATGAATCTTGGAGAAATTCAAGAGCTAGTAGACACCACACCAGAGGAATTAACAGAAGATGACTTGAAGGAAATGAGTGCTTCCAAACAAGTGCCAGATGATGAGTAAGAAGACACAGAAGAAGCAGTACCATAAAACAAGTTGACAT
Organism: Homo sapiens; assembly: GCF_000001405.40. Classification (NCBI taxonomy): domain Eukaryota; kingdom Metazoa; phylum Chordata; class Mammalia; order Primates; family Hominidae; genus Homo; species Homo sapiens. The sequence continues at coordinate 121,525,721 of NC_000003.12, read as the reverse complement.
TAGACAATTTGGCAGGATTCTAATTATTCAAGACTGCTTCTGACTTTTTTTATGGCACGGACCCTTCTATGATATCGGCACTGAAACGACAGCAAATGGCGAAAGGATTGGTACCGTATATAAACATTTTTAGAGAATGAAAAAGCAAAAACAGGCAGAAATTATAATGTATTTGCGTAAAGTTACACCAAGCGTGCCTGCCTCTACTGCCACCACTTCTGCCTCTGCCACCCCTGAGACAGCAAGATGAACCCCTTCTGTTTCTCCTTCATCAGCCTACTCAAGGTAAAGATGATGAAGATGGAGACTTTTATGATGATCTACTTCCAGTTAATGAATAGTAAATGTATTTTCTCTTTTTTGTTTTCTTTTTTTTTTTTTGAGACGGAGTCTCCGTCTTTTGCCCAGGCTGGAGTGTAGTGGCGCTATCTTGGCCCACTGCAAGCTCCGCCTCCCAGGTTCACGCCATTCTCCTGCCTCAGCCTCCCGAGTAGCTGGGACTACAGGTGCCCACCACCACGCCCAGCTAATTTTTTGTATTTTTAGTAGAGACGGGGTTTCACCGTGTTAGCCAGGATGGTCTCGATCTCCTAACCTCGTGATCCACTCGCCTTGGACTCCCAAAGTGCTGGGATTACAGTTGTGAGACACCACCTATTAGTAGTTAACTTTTGGGGAAGTCAAGTTGTGTGCGGATTTTTGACTGGGGGTTTCTGTGTTTCTAACTCCTGTGTTGTTTGACAGTCAACTCTGTGTGTGTGTGTGTGTGTGTGTGTGTGTGTGTATTTATACACAAATATACACGCACATGCATGTATATACAAATGTATTTTAAAATAAGCTCTGAGGTATTATTTATAAGAAAATGTACCCATTTTGTATGTATATGATAAATTTTAACAGATGCATACATCTGTTTAACCATAATATAATCAACACCTAGAACATTTTCATTACCCTAAAATATTCTCTTTTCTTTTGCTGTCTCTTCCCTCTATTCCAGACTTAGGCAACTGTTGATCTCTGCTTGCTGTCACTTTAGATTACTTGTGCTTTTCTAAAAATTCCACGTAAATAAAGTCATACAGTATGTATGTGTCTTTTGTATCTAGCTTGCTTTCACTCAGCCTGGTGTGATTGATGTTCACCCAGGTTGTTAATTTATCAGTTTGTTCCTTTTTTGTTGCCAGATGGTGATCTAGTATATACTAATGGCTATAATCATAGTATATATTTTTACTGATTCTAGAGTGAACACTGTTGCCTCACTATTTTTACTAGTCTGTGGTGCTCAAGATAAATACAAGGAAGACAGGGACCAGTTCTAGTCACAGAATATTAGGATATTTTATTAATTAATTATACCAGTCACATCATGAGGATAAGTGATGGAAATCTCAAGCCTAGCTCTAACAAGTAAACTTTGCCTGAAGTTTATATTGGCTAGGCTGTTGTCTAACAGTGTATCATCTCTTCCAGTTTCCCCTTAACTGGTACCTTCTACACCGGGTTAGCTTATTTCCTTACATTTTACCATGGCCATTTATAATCCTTAATAACCAGAATCATCATCATTTTCTTTTCTTGAGATTTTGTTATCTTGGTTTGTAGCAGTGGTTCCCAAATGCTCCTGCTTGGACTGGAGCCTGGTCTATGATGAGATTTTTATCAGAAAAGTAAAGACAAGGCAGCACATTATTTATAAAGCTGCAGTTTACATTCTGAAATTATTCCTACTCATTTTTTAATCTTAAATGTCTTTTTTTGAAGTAAAAATATTGATAGGTAAGGTTTTAAAAAATTAATTGCCCTCAGCAAAATAAAACATTGGCAACTCTCTGTGATTCCTTAAAATTTTTTAAAAAGTTTACCTAAAAATTTAAAAATGTATGAAATATAAGGTACATATTTAAATATACATATTTTTATTTTCAACTGACATATAATAATTCTAGAACATACATTTATTTATTTTCCTTTTTGTTTTTTTGTTTTTATTTTTGTTTTGAGACAGGGTCTTGCTCTGTTGTCCAGGATGGAATGCAGTGGCATGATCTCAGCTCACTGTAATCTCTACCTCATGGGCTCAAGTGATCCTCCCACTTCAGCCTCCCGAGTAGCTGGGTCTATAGGTGCATGCCACCATGCCTGGCTAATTTTTTTGTATTTTTTTTTAGAGATGGGATTTTGCCACATTTCCCAGGCTGGTCTCAAACTCCTGGATTCAACTGATCTGCCCACTTTGGCCTCCCAAAGTTCTGGGATTACGGGTGTCAGCCACCGTGCCCAGCCATATATTTACTGTTTATGAAAAGTTTTACAAGTTCAAAAATCCAAAAGTCTGGAAAATTTTTAAAGACAACATATAAGTATGTAAAGCTTTTACTGCATATAAGAAAGTTAAGGCTGGGTGGTGGCTCATGCCTGTAATCTCAGCACTTTGGGAGGCCAAGGTGGGAGGATTGCTTAAGCCCAGGAATTTGAAACCAGCCTGGGCAACCTAGGGAGACCCTATCTCTACAAGTGAAAAAAAAAAATGCTAGCTGGGCATAGTGGCTCGTGTGTCTGGTCCTAACTAACCAGGAGACTGAGGTAGGAGGATTGCTTGAGCCCAGGAGGTCAAGGCTGCCATGAGCAGGGATTGTGCCACTGTACTCCAGCCTGGGTGACAGAGTGAGACCCTGTCTCAAAAAAACGTTAAGCTCTTACTGGGGGAGAAGACAAAAAACAGAGGGTACTATTTAATTAGCTACCAGATTAATGCCAAAGAGGCAAGAATAATTTCACAGAGGAGTAGGCTTTTTCGTGACGGGATTGGTGAAACCCTCTGATACTGCTACTGCTGGTTGGTGGTACACACCTTGAGCAAGGGTTTTGATTTTGGGGCTTTGAGTGGTAATCAGTATCCGTAATACTCTGCTTCCTCAGCAGGTTCCTTTGATCCCCTCCTGTGGGCTTCGTCTTACCCTTACACAGTTTCCTAAACTTTGGCGCACATTGGAATTGCCTGGGGAGATTTAAAAATTCTTCATGTCCAGGTCACATCCCACACCAATTATATAACAATGTCCAGGATTAAGAACCAGGCATCAGTATTCTTAAAAGATCTCCAGCCGGGCGCGGTGGCTCACGCCTGTAATCCCAGCACTTTGGGAGGCCGAGGCGGGTGGATCATGAGGTCAGGAGATCGAGACCATCCTGGCTAACAAGGTGAAACCCCGTCTCTACTAAAAATACAAAAAATTAGCCGGGCGCGGTGGCAGGCGCCTGTAGTCCCAGCTACTCGGGAGGCTGAGGCAGGAGAATGGCGTGAACCCGGGAAGCGGAGCTTGCAGTGAGCCGAGATTGCGCCACTGCAGTCCGCAGTCCGGCCTGGGCGACAGAGCGAGACTCCGTCTCAAAAAAAAAAAAAAAAAAAAAAAAAAAAAAAAAAAAAAGATCTCCAGGGGATTATATAGTATGCAGCAGTTTCAGAACCATTCCCCTGCTATTTAGCTCTATTATGATTTAGACAGATACACTTAAAGAAGCTGAGTTAGAAGCAAATGGTGTTGATAATTTTTTTGTGACAGGATTGGTGAAACCCTCTGAATGCCCACCAGTAATTCTGGAACAAAAAGAACTCCTGGAAGTGATGGATCAGTTAAGACGTTTGCCTTCAGGACTGGACTCTGTATTACAGAAAACTGTACCATGGGGAGTAGCATTTCATCATGCAGGTATTTCATATTTATAATGTTATTAAGAAACCTCCAAAATTCCTCATACTGTCTTAACTTTTATATTTGTGTACATTTATTTCTTGTTAAACACACTTAATGTCCTTAGATTTCTTTTTAAGAAATTGTGTGGGCTGGGCGTGGTGGCTCACTCCTGTAATCCCAGCACTTTGGGAGGCCGAAGCAAGTGGATCACCTGAGATCAGGAGTTTAAGACCAGCCTGGCCAACATGGTGAAACCCCATCTCTACTAAAAATACAAAAATCAGCTGGGCGTTGTGGCACGCACCTGTAATTCCAGCTTCTCAGGAGGCTGAGGCAGGGAGAATTGCTTGAACCCAGGAGGCGGAGGTTACAGTGAGCCGAGATCGTGCCACTGTACTCCAACCTGGGTGACAGAGCGAAATTGTGTGATAGATTAAAGAAGAGTAAAACGAACCTGTTTCAGTTTACTTATTTCTATATAGTAGTCTCCCCTTGTTCACTGAAGCTATGTTCCAAGACCCCCAGTGGATATCTGAAACCATAGATAGTACCAGCCCCACATATATGATGTTTTTTCATAGCATGTTAAAACTTTTAAATGCATTAGAAATGTGTGTGTGTGAGGGGGTATATATATGGTATATAGTAGTCCTTTGTGAGGAATATGTTCCAAGATCCTCAGTGGATGCCTGAAACCACAGATAGTACCAAACCCTCTATATACTATGTTCTTTCCTATATAGTCACATTATATAGTGCCGGTAGTGTATACAGCATGGATACACTGAATAAAGGGATAATTCATGTCCTGGGTGGTAGGACATGCAATTTAAAACTTATGAGTTGCTTATTTCTGGAATTTTCCTCTTTATATTTTTGACTTTGGGTAACTAAAACTATAGAAAGCAAAACCACAGATGGGGGAAAACTACTATATACACACACACAGAATTTACATTGTATGTAATTTATGATGCATACTAAAAAAGTGAACACCTGTGTACCCATCACTTAATTTTAAAACTAGAACCCCAGCCCTTTAAATTTTTAAATAAAATTGAAAATGAGCCAGCTAAGTATATATTCTATACACTGTTTTTCATTTACTCATGTTTTTGTTCATCACGTATTTATGTCAGAGGTATATCTGACCAATGTGATGCATAGGCCCTGAAGATATCTTGATGAATAAGGCATATCACTACCCACAAGGAGTTCATTGTTTAGAACAGTGGTTAGCAAGTTACAGTCTGCTGGTCAAGTCTAGCCTACCATCTGTTTTTGTAAATAAAGTTTTATTGGAACACAGTCATGCCCATTTGTTCTGTTGCTGCTTTCATGTCACAGTGGCAGGGTGGGATAGTTGCAGCGGAGACCTGCTGTTTTCCACAGGAACAGGAAAAGTTTGTGGACCCCTGGTCTAGAAAATAAGGTAGAGGTATACTAGAGGCAGCAGATTCTACTCTTTTTTTGTTATTGTTGTTGTTGTTTTCTCGCTCTGTTGCCCAGGCTGGAGTGCAGTGATGTGATCTCAGCTCACTGCAAACTCTGCCTCCCAGGTTCAAGTGATTCTCCTGCCTCAGCCTCCTGATTAGCTGGGATTACAGGCACCCACCACCATGCACAGCTAATTTTTATATTTTTAGTAGAGGCAGGGTTTCACCATGTTGGCCAGGCTGGTCTCGAACTCCTGACCTCAAGCGATCCACCTGCCTCAGCCTCCCACACTGCTGGGATTACAGACATGAGCCACCGCGCCCGGCCAGATTATGCTGTTAAAGAGATAGACTGTGATGACTCCTTTGTCAACAGTCATAACAATAGTTTCAAAAATCTTCAGAGGCTTGAAGCAGACTCTCAAATCCATTTGTAAGTGAACACGTATAATATTTTCGTTATATATCAATAAATATATAAAAACCTCCTTTTTTTAGGTCTTACTTTTGAGGAGAGGGATATCATTGAAGGAGCCTTTCGTCAAGGTCTCATTCGGGTCTTGGCGGCAACTTCTACTCTTTCTTCTGGGGTGAATTTACCTGCACGTCGTGTGATTATTCGAACCCCTATTTTTGGTGGTCGACCTCTAGATATTCTTACTTATAAGCAGATGGTTGGCCGTGCTGGCAGGAAAGGAGTGGACACAGTAGGTAAGTGAGTTTGAATTTAATTGTAGCAGCATTGCTGAAGGACAGTGTCTACTTGAAATTTGACTAGTGTCTGGCAACCTGTTTCTCATCATGCTGTATTTCTTTATTATCCAATGCACTAGTGTCATCATTTTGGATTCACTTAATATTTATAGTGAGTATGAGTTATAATTTTCTTTTTTTTTTTTTTTTTTTGAGACGGAGTCTCGCTCTGTCGCCCAGGCTGCAGTGCAGTGGCGCGATCTTGGCCCACTGCAAGCTCTGCCTTCCGGGTTCATGCCATTCTCCTGCCTCAGCCTCCCAAGTAGCTGGGACTACAGGCGCCTGCCACCATGCCCGGCTAATTTTTTTGTATTTTTAGTAGAGACGGGGTCTCACCATGTTAGCCAGGATGGTCTCGATCTCCTGGCCTCGTGATCCGCCTGCCTCGGCCTCCCAAAGTGCTGGGATTACAGGCTTGAGCCACCGCGCCTGGCATAATTTTCATATATATATATATATATATATATATCATCAACTGTTGATTTTCTACAAATGTTGAATTAAGTTTTTCTTTCGTATTGTATACAATAAAATGATTTAGTATTATGTAAATCAAGATGACTTCTTATTACTTAGCTGGAAGATGATTTTTAATTTCTAGGTGTAGTCTACTCTTTAGCACTAATTAATTTTCACAGATGTTAATTCAACTTAGGTGACTGGTCTCAGAAATCAGACAAGGATGCTGGGATGCACCCTCACACTTTGGGAATAGGAACTTGACATCCCATCTTTTTTCTCGAAATTGGTGCTGGCTCTGAAAAAACACCTTTTCATTTTTTTTTACCTTGTATCAGCAAGTTATGATTGTTTTTACCAGCAATCCAAACAAAAGTTTTGTCTTAAGCAGTAAGGAAGAGGTTTGTTTGAATTAAATGTCAAAACGGCAGCAAATTTTATTTCTAACGTGCTGTATCATTATATGTAACTAAATCATTATCAGCCATCTAACATTGAAGAACCTTGGGAGGAACATTCCCTGCCACTTTCTACTCTAGGACATAATTGTCATCTTTCTACTGTAGGACATAATTGACTCCAGTATTTTATTAGATATGTCAAAAAAAAACAAAACAGGCAAACAGTTCTGTGGCTACTGAAGAGAAATTAGGAAATCCAGGAGAATAAGGAAAGTGGATGGGAAATGGATATTCTGGGCAGAGGAAGCTGGGTAGTACACTGAGGAAGTAACTTTTAGAATAAACTGACTTGTCACATGAAGTCCCCAAATATGTCAGTTCTCATTATTCATGGATTCCATATTTGAATTTTCCACCTTAACAGAATTTATTCAGAATCCCGAAATAATACCTCTGGGGCTTTTGTGGACATATGCAGATCTGCGAAAAATTTGAATCTTTCCAAGCACACTTTCCCTGCTGTGGTTGAACAAGCCAAAGCTCTGCGTTCTTGTTTCAGCTCTTATACTGTGAACAAGCTTCTTTTTAATGGGCTAGTTAGTGCCATATTTTTCACATTTTTGTGCTTTTAGTTGGTGATTTTGCTGTTTAACATGACCCCCAAGCAAAGTACTGAAATGCTATCTAATGTTCCCTAGTGCCTTAAGGCTGTGATGTGCCTTATGGAGAAAATATGTGATAAGTTTTCTTTAGGCATGAATTATAATGCTGTTGGCTGGAGCTCAATGTAAACAACTATATACATTAAATAAGATGTCTTTAAACAGAAACATGCATAAAACAAGGTTTTGTATTGATGAAGTGATGAAAATGTTTTTACTAGAGGCTTGCAGGAACCTAATCATCTGTTTTCCTTGGCAGCAAGGGTTCAGTATTCTGTGTTCGTGGCAGCTTTATAGAACATGACTACCACAAATACCAAAAATTGACCGTAATTTATTGGTATCTGGATTAGTTAGAATATAAATTCACTGCTGTAACAAAAACCAATACAATAAGTGTTTAACAAGATAGATGTTAATTTCTTTCTCATATAACAGTAAAATTCTATTCTAGGCCTTATATGATGTAATTGTAATTTAGGCCTTATATGATGGCTGTAGTGTGTCGGGGACCTAGTCTTCTATTTTGTTTTAACATTTTCAGCAATGTAGTTTCTATCCTCGGTATATGATGGCCAGTCCAGTCTCTGTCATCACATCTGCATTTCAGCCATCAGGAAGGGAAGATGAGGAAGCAAAGAGCATGCCCTGCCCTTTAAGGCCGCTGCTCAGAAGTTGCACATAGTATTTCTCTTCACATACAATGGGCCAGAACTTTCACATGATTACATTCCCCAACTATAAGAGAGGCTGGGAAATATAATCTTTAGCTTGGGTGGCCACGTGCTCCACTAATACTTAAGAAGATGTGCATGGCTATTGGAACAGCTTTCAGTCTCAGCACCAGTAATAAATGACCCATTTACAATCCCTGAAGGGCATTGGTCAGCCTTTCTTTTAAGCCCTGAAAATTTTGATGATTTAAAAAAAAAAAACAAAACTTCCAATTTGTTGGATTTTTCCTACAGCTGACATCAGAGACGTTTATCCTGTTTCTCTCTTACTTTACCTACAGAATATGCAGATTGCATGTATATGCTTAAAAAGAGTTGAGGGAAGAGAGTGAGATTCTTCCTTCCCATTCCTATTTGCCTACCTCTGTCCATCCCCAATTTTCAGTGGACTCACACCTCTGGGGAATGGAGTATAAGTCCATTTTACATAGATAATTGTCTCTCGGGACAGAGGGTCTTTTAGTTAATGTAGAAGATAAGGAGAAATAAGACAAGAAATAAGCTGAGATCTTATTTGCCTTGTTATGTTCTTAGCTTATATTTATTATGGGAAAGAACAATTGGAAGGTTAGTGCCCTGGGCTAATTATCAAGCCTTAAATCAGACAACTCTCAAACAGAACTAAAATATACTGTAATAAGTTCATTTCTGAGGTCTTAAAGACTTCCAAGCTTTTGATCTTGCATATCATTGTATTTCAGGATGTCATATGACTTGCTCATAACTTCAAGCTAATGAAGAATGTAGGAATATAGTGGTTTATATTCACTATGGAGACTTAAATACTTGGTCATGCTTTTTGTATCGTGTAGCATCATTGGAAATTCTGTGCATTTTATATTCCTGGACAGCACATGGTGTTTTATTTAGATGACACTTCAGTCTTTCCATAGACTACTTAGAAGCTTCTAGTATAGGATGATGGTGCTTGGTGCCAAAATAGCGATTTGTAAGTTCAGCAGTCAGTAATAAATTATTTGATTCTAAATAATTTCAACTTCCCTCTTGTGATGTGGATGAGTCCTCCCTAGACAGGTGGTTGCAGGAACCTGTACATATATACTGATGTTCATTTGGACATTTTATAAACCTTGCCCATTCAGGAAAAGGGCAGTTCATTTTGTTGAAGAATCAAAGCCCCGAAAGACCTTTAAACAGCCCAAAGTGGCTTGTTTATCTTGCTGCTAATGCTAGTTGATTCATTTTCTAGGTAATTTATATGTGTGTGTTTTCTTTCTTAAGCTGGGCTGTTTTGTAGCCATTGCAAGAGTCAGGTGTTATATTCATGTGATTTTTAAAAATTGGATATTGACAAATTATAATTGTATATATTTTTGAGGCACAGAGTGATGCTATCTGTATACAATGCAAAATGATGGAATTAAGCCAGTTAACATATCACCCCCAAATACTTATCATTTATTCTTCCTGTCTAACTGAAACATTGTACTCTTTGACCATCTTCTCATCCCTCCAACTCCCTAATCTCTCTCTCTTCTGCTTGATTGAGCCTGCTGCTAAAGCTTTGATTGCATTTTTCAGTTCACTCATTGTACTCTTCATCTCTAAGATTTCTCTTTCTTTTTTATTGTTTCTATTTCTTTGTCAAACTTCTTGTTTTGTTTGTATATTGTTTTCCAAATTTTATTTAATTTTTTATCCATATATCCTTGTAGTTCATTGGACTTTTTTAGGATAATTATTCTGGATTCTTTCTCATTTCACAGATCTTCATTTCTTTAGGGTTCATTGTTGGAGCTTTGTTAGTTTCTTTTGAAGGTATCTTGGCTTCCTGGTTCTTTGTAATCTGTGTTCTTGTGTTGGTATCTGCACATTTGAGGAGACAGCTACCTCTTTGGCTTTTATAGGTGTTCTTTGGCAGGGATAGAACTTCACTTGTCTAGCCTTTGATTCTGAATAGGCCAACTGGCAGCAGCCCTGAGCAGGCAAAGCTTGCTTTGGATTCTGTAGATAGTTGGGCTGCTGCCTTTGCTCTGAGTTTGGGTGGGACTGCTGGCTGGGCTCTGCTATCAGGTGAACCCACAAGCTGAGCTCTGCAGTCAGGCAGAGTTGCTGGTTTGAAACTGCAATCGCCTCTTGGCTGGGCCCCAGAGTGTATTCCTTGGCCAGATGGTACCCCTATTTGAGATCTGTACTTGGACAGTGTTGCAGGCTGGGCCTCGAGGTTAGGTGGAGTTGCTATTCTGGACCAGTGGGCCAGCTGCTATGCTCAGTGGAAATGCATGATTGAGCATGGTGGCTCATGACTGTAATCCCAGTGACTTGGGAGGCTGAGATGGAAGGATCGCTTGAGCCCAGGAGTTTCAGGCTTCAGTGAGTTATGATCATGCCACTGCACTCCTATGTGAGTGACAGAGATCCCACCTCTAAAAATAAAATAAAAAAAATGCACATCTGAGGTTTGCCTCCCTGCCTAGGTGGGGACTTGGAGTGGGCTTTGAGACTGAACTGAGGGCTGTTTAAACTTCCACCCTTGGCAGAACTAGTCCCTGCACTTTGCAAAAATACAGTATGATAGGCATCTTCCACCTGGGGCAGGTCCTTGAGGCTGAGCTTGAGCACTGTTTAAAATCCCAGGTTTGGCAGAACTAGCCCCTGCTTCTTTCCAGAATGCACTGTGATGGTCATCTCCTTTCCTGGGCAGGGTCCTCATGAGCTTTGACGCTGGGCCTGGAGGCTGGCCATCTAAAGATTCAAGCCAGGTAGAATTTCCTACCACTTCTAGAAGTGATCAGTTTGGCTTTGTCCTGGGCTACACTGTTTAGCTGTTAGCTGGTACCTCTGATTGGGCACCACCACTGGCAGGTACACAGAGCTACCACCAAGATCTGCATGCTGGTTGCCGTGAGCTCTACCTCCTTGCTTTGTTTCTGCCTGACCCCAGGTGATCTAGCCATGCTGTTACCCAGCATGTTCTCTGTGAGGCGAGACTGGAGTTGGCTTCTTGGGAAGCCTCTTGGAATGCTAGGGAAGCTCTGTGTTCTCTGGTTTTCTTTTCCCACTGTAGAAGCCATGAGCCCTGGGGATTCCTTTCTGTGTGATACTGTGCTGACTTAGGGGAGTGGAAGGGGTGATGAGGTCAAAGTGAGATAGTTTATCTTACTATATCTTGCAATTTTTATGTAGTTTTGTGGTCTATGCATAAGTTTCAGACTTATTCCCAAGTTTTGGGTTTTTTTTTTTTTTTTTTGGTTATTGTTGTTGTTGTTGTTTTTTTTTTTAATACACGGAATTTTACTCTTGTTGCCCAGGCTGTAGTGCGATGGCGCAATCTTGGTTCACTGCAACCTCCACCTCCTGGGCTCAAGCGATTCTCTTGCCTCAGCCTCCCAAGTAGCTGGAATTATAGGAATGTGCCATCATGCCTGGCTAATTTTGTATTTTTAGTAGAGATGGGGTTTCACCATGTTGGTTAGGCTAGTCTTGAACTCCTGACCTCAGGTGATCCGTCCACCTTGGCCTCCCACAGTGCTGGAATTACAGGCATGAGCCACCATGCCTGGCCTCTTTTTTTTTTTTTTTTTTTTTTGAGATGGAGTTTCACTCTTGTTGCCCAGGCTGGAGTGCAGTGGCACAATCTCGGCTCACTGCAACCTCCACCTCCAGGGCTCAAGCGATTCTCCTGCCTCAGCCTCCCAAGTAGCTGAGATTACAGGAATGTGCCATCATGCCTGGCTAATTTTGTATTTCTAGTAGAGACGGGGTTTCACCATGTTGGTTAGGCTGGTCTCGAACTCCTGACCTAAGTGAGCCACACTCCTTGGCCTCCCAAAATGCTGGGATTACAGGCATAAGCCACTGGGCCTGGCAGTTTTGGGGTTTTCACAAAGGTGTTCTTGTCTGCAGATAGAAGCTAGTTGAAGCTTCTGGGGAGGGGGGTAGTAAAGCCTCCTAAACCACCATCTTGCTGACATCTTGTTTTCCTTTTTTTTTTTTTTTTTTTTTTTTTTTGAGATAGAGTCTCTCTCTGTTGCCAGGCTGGAGTGCAGTGGCGTGATCTCAGCTCACTGCAACCTCTGCCTCCTGGGTTCAAGTGATTCTCGTGCCTCAGCCTCCTGAGTAGCTGGGACTACAGGTGCGTGCCACCATGCCCAGCTAATTTTTGTATTTTTAGTAGAGGCGGGGTTTCACCATGTTGGCCAGGCTGGTCTCCATCTCTTGACCTCGTGATCTGCCCTCCTCGGCCTCCCAAAGTGCTGGGATTAAAGGTGTGAGCCACCGCGCCTGGCTGTTTTGCTTTTTTAATGGTGCCTATCTTTATAATCATTTCTGGGATAAACAGCCATTGATAATCAAGTTTATAATCCCTTCACTTTATCCTATCTTGATTCTCAGTTTGGCAATTGGGAAGGATAATCTGTACCTTCTCTTTGCCTCGGGTGGTAAGGATATTCCAGCACTGTGCCAGTTTTATTTAAAAAAAAAAGTATTCTTCATTTGTCTTTTTGAACCTCTTACCTGCTTTCTTTCCCACAGTATTGGATTCATTTTTGAAGAAAAATTATGATTCTCTCTAGTCATAATTGTTGCAATAATAGTTTGTATTTGTTCAAATTGTATAGTTGTATATGGCTTTAACATATAAGTGCTTTCATGTATTTTTGTTCATTTGGTTCTCACAATAAAGCATTTAGATTAGTAAATGTTGTAATATAAATTTTGGGTATCTACAAGTATTTTTGAATTTATTTTATCATATAACTGGTAACAATTTACATTTGCATTTTACTTTATAGGTTTGAAAGTACCTCTATTAATTACTTCATTATTCAATAATAATGGTTAATCCTGTAGGGGAAGAAAAAGACTTTTCCTCTACTTTCTTAGGTTCTGCAGTTGGGACCTGCTAATTAAATTGACAGATTAACAGGAGAAAAGGCATATAAACTTTATTTGATGCTAATATTTTAATTTTTATGTACATGGAAGCCTTTATAGAAAAGGATTGAAGACCTGAGAAACTGTTTAACCTGGGGTCTTATATAACATTTTAACAATGGGCAGTAAATTGTGGAGAAGCAACAAGAAAAAGGAAAAGGTATCTGGGCTTCTAGGGGCAACAAATTGTGAGAAGGTAAATATATGGGGCAAACTAATGGAAGATAGAAGTTATTTTAGTAGGTAGAGTTTGTTTGTGCAGACCCATCTCAGTGCTGACCTGTCTCCAGTGATAAGGGTTGTTGTCCTGTGTGGGAGAGGGAATGGAAAACATCATCACAAAGGGAAAAATTTATTCTTGCTTTTAGGCAGATAGGGAGAGGACAAAGAGTTCTTTCTGTGTTTGCTGCTTCCCAATGGCCTTCAGCTCAAAATAATCCTTATGCTGAAGTGGCATATTTTGGAGTGGCATATTCTGATCCCCTTCTGTCCAAAGTTCAAAAAATAGCCATAATTTTATTACCATAACAACCACTATCATCTCTTGTCTGCTTTTAAGCAAAGTAAGGCAACTTAAAATCTCTTTAGCAGATATCTTATGGAACTATATTGGGATTTTGCAAATGTGTATCTTTTGGTTATAGGCGAGAGTATCTTAATTTGTAAGAACTCTGAGAAATCAAAAGGCATAGCTCTCCTTCAGGGTTCTCTAAAGCCTGTTCGCAGCTGTCTGCAAAGACGAGAAGGAGAAGAAGTAACTGGCAGCATGATACGAGCTATTCTGGAGGTAAGAGAGAATTTACTAAATTACCATTTGCTCTTTTATGCCTAAATTAGTAAAATGTTAGTATATGAAAATCTTAGCTTTATTTATTTATTTTTTTTAATTTATTTTTGAGACAGAGTCTCACTCTGTTACCCAGGCCGGAGTACAATGGCATGATCTCAGCTCACTGCAACCTCCGCCTCCCGGGTTCAAGCAATTCTCCTGCCCCAGCCTCCCGAGTAGCTGGGATTACAGGCACACACCATCATCCCTGGCTAATTTTTGTACTTTTAATAGAGATGGGATTTCACCATTTTGGCCAGGCTGGTCTTGAACCAGCCTTCAGGTGATCTGCCTGCCTTGGCCTCCCAAAGTGCTGGGATTACAGGTGTTAGCCACTGTGCCCGGTGCTTTATGTTTTTTTTGTTTTGTTTTTGAGATGGAGTCTCGCTGTGTTATCCAAAATTTCAGATGAATTTAATGATTCATTTCTTTTTCTTTCTTTGTTTTTGAGATGAAGTCTCGCTCTGTTGCCAGGCTGGAGTGCAGTGGTGCAATCTCAGCTCACTGCAACCTCTGGCTCCTGGGTTCAAGGAATTCTCGTGCCTCAGCCTCCTGAGTAGCTGGGACTACAGGTGCCTGCCACCACACCCAGTTAATTTTTTTTTTTTTTTTTTTTTTGGAGACGGAGTCTCGCTCTGTCACCCAGGCTGGAGTGCAGTGGTGCAATCTCGGCTCACTGCAAACTCCGCCTCCTGATTTCACACCATTCTCCTGCCTCAGCCTCCCGAGTAGTTGGGACTACAGGCGCCCGCCACCACGCCTGGCTTATTTTTGTATTTTCAGTAGAGATGGGGTTTCACCGTGTTAGCCAGGAAGGTTTCGATCTCCTGACCTCGTGATCCGCCTGCCTCGGCCTCCCAGAGTGCTGGGATTACGGGCGTGAGCTACTGCGCCTGGCTCACCCAGTTAATTTTTGTATTTTCAGTAGAGACGGAGTTTCACTGTGTTGGCCAGGATGGTCTTGATCTCCTGACCTCGTGATCTGCCCGCCTTGGCATCCCAAAGTGCTGGGATTACAGGCGTGAGCCACCGTGCCTGGCCCACTTATTTTTCTTTTTAAGAAAATATTTTATCTACTTTAAGGAGAACTTTTCTGTTGTCATTAGGTGTTACCAACAGTTACAGTGAGTGGTGATGGGAAAGTAAATAAAGAATCTCTACATTAAGATTCTAAGAACATTTAAAAAAATGAGAATGAAATAGCTTGCTTTATTTTATATTCAGAGGGCTTGCATGTTTTATTTATTTTTTTTTTTAATTGTTTTTTTGAGATGGAGTCTCGCTCTGTCGCCCAGGCTGGAGTGCAGTGGCGTGATCTTGGCTCACCGCAAGCTTCGCCTCTTGGGTTCATGCCATTCTCCTGCCTCAGCCTCCCAAGTAGCTGGGACTACAGGCGCCTGCCACCAGCCTGGCTAATTTTTTTGTATTTTTAGTAGAGACGGGGTTTCACCGTGTTAACCAGGATGGTCTCCATCTCCAGACCTCGTGATCCGCCCGCCTCGGACTCCCAAAGTGCTGGGATTACAGGCATGAGCCACCGCGCCCGGTGGCTTGCATGTTTTCTTAAAAAGCTACAGAAATTTCCAAATATCTTCTTTCAGATAATAGTTGGTGGAGTGGCAAGTACATCACAAGATATGCATACTTATGCTGCCTGCACATTTTTGGCTGCAAGTATGAAAGAAGGGAAGCAAGGAATTCAGAGAAATCAAGAGTCTGTTCAGCTTGGAGCGATTGAGGCCTGTGTGATGTGGCTACTAGAAAATGAATTCATCCAGAGTACAGAAGCCAGTGATGGAACAGAAGGTAAGTGTGACTTCTCAGTTGCAATTTACTCACTTTTTCTTCTTTAGTGAGGTTGTATGACTGCTCAGTGAATGGAAATTGTCTTTTCATGTAGTATAAAAGGAATTTGATTTTTTGAGCAGTGTATCAACTCATTTTTAGTAAATCAGTATTGTATTTAGCAACTTCAGACCATTATGATAGAGCCTGCTCATACATTTTCATGCTCTGGATAAGGTACTATTTGTAAAATTTATCAGCCGGGAGGGTTAGCATGGAAAACAGAAAGATAGTATTTTGTTTTATTTTATTTTGAATGTTTGTTCCTCTGTTTCCTCACCCTAACCCTAAACCAGGAAAGGTGTATCATCCAACACATCTTGGTTCGGCCACTCTTTCTTCTTCACTTTCTCCAGCTGATACTTTAGATATTTTTGCTGACCTGCAAAGAGCAATGAAGGGCTTTGTTTTAGAGAATGATCTTCATATTCTCTATCTGGTAAGTTCTGTTTTAACAATTATGTTTGTGAAAATAGGGAGAAAAAAATAGATATATAATCCTGAACATCAAAGATACCCTAACAGAACATCTCGTCTGTTTTCCATGCCTAGGTTAGTACTGGTGGGAATAGAGAAGAGGTAAGAAGATAATTGTTTTAAAGTAATAATCTAAATGTTCTAGTTACCTTTAAATTTATTTTCTCCAACCTCCTTTCAAAAAAGATTTGAGTTGTTTTATAAAAAATATATATTTTTACAACGTATAAAAGAACAGCAAAGAAAAATGGGATATCAGAAAATTAAAGATCGGATCATGATGTAAAACTCAAGCAAAGGTCAGTACACAAACATGCGTGCCATTAAGTCATGTCCAATGCTGTTGTCAACTTTGATTCTGGGTTTTCTAGCAACTAAAAGAAAGAGGAAAGCTTGATTAGTGTTAATATTCATAAGATAAAAAACAAAACAAGTTTAGGAAAAACATTGCATTTCCCTGCCTAAGAGAAATTTAGTCCTAAAAGGATACTTTGGAACTTAACATTGTTTGATAAAAATCTCTATAATAAATGCAATAAGGAATTTTAAGTTTGTTTATATTAGACAATGCTCTGTGAATATTATTTTGTATAACAAAGATATTAATAAGAATTGGATAGTGTTTAAGGTCATGTTCTCTGGCAAGAACCTGATCAGAAATAATTAATTTTGTCAGTTAAGAGCAGATGCATGCATTTTGATAAGCAAGTGATAAGGGGAGGTGAGTAAAATTGAAATTCTCATTAGAATGAAGGGGGCTTATCAGGAAATGTGTTTCAATAAAAATCGCTATGTAGTGAGCAGAGGGGAAATGTCTAGACAGTACCAATTTTCTTTTATTACAAACTCGCATAATACATGGGTGATAATAGGCTCAAAGGTCTGTGCCCAAGAATGTGGCTGGGAGGAATCTCAAAGCAGGTTTCACCGGTCATCTATCATGGCCTTAAAAATAAGTCATTTATTATACAGTGGCTGAGATTGTGGGCTCTAGGATCAGACTGCCTTAGTTCAACTTTTGGCCTCATCACTTAGTAATCATATAACCTTGGGTAAGTATTTAACCTCTCTTACGATTCCATTTCCTCATTTGTAAAATGGAGATAATAATACCCACCTCAGGGCTGATAGTCTTTGATGAATGTTTGGTATCTGAATAAATGTTTAATAACATCTATTATTTCTAGTAAATTCTCCCATAAACATTATGTAAGTCATTTGCCAAATTACCTAACTACTCCTACTCCTGTTCCCTCTCTAAAACGTGAAGACTGTTGGCAGTGTTAGTATGCTGAATGCTTGTGGTTAGTGGTCTTGTATACTTCTCTCACCATTCGAGTTGTATGCCCTTCAAGAGTTAGTTGTGTTCCCAAACTTGTTCATGTCAGTTTGCTTCTGAGAAAATTAGGCTGAGGCAGAAGGATCACCTGAGTCCAGGAATTTGAGACCAGCATGGGAAACAGAGCAAGAATCTGTCGCTACCAAACAAAAAAAAAAAAAAAAAAATTGTGTATGGTGGTGCATGCCGGTAATCCCAGCTACTTGGAAGGCTGAGACAGAAGAATCACTTGAGCCCAGGAGTTCTAGGTTATAGTGAGCTATGATCGTGCCACCATGCTCCAGCCTTGGTGACAGCAAGAGACCTCGTGTCTTAAAAACAAGCAAAAAAATATAAGTGAGATAACTGAAAGCTCTGAGAAAAAGTTATAGGAATTTAGACAGGGAGGAAACTAAAAGGACACTGCTCAAAGTTTATTTTGCAGTTATCTTTAATTTTTATTTATTTATTTATTTTTTGAGTAGAGTCTCACTCTGTTGCCCAGGCTGGAGTGCAGTGGCACAGTCTTGGCTCATTGCAACCTCTGCCTCCCAGGTTCAAGCGATTCTTCTGCCTTAGCCTCCTGAGTAGCTGGGACTACAGGTGCATGCCACCACACCTGGCTAATTTTTGTATTTTTAGTAGAGACAGAGTTTTACCATGTTGGCCAGGCTGGTCTTGAAGTCCTGACCTCAAGTGATCCACCCTCCTCGGCCTCCCAAAGTGCTGGGATTACAGGTGTGAGCCATTGCACCCAGCCAATGATTATCTTTAATATCTAACTTCACATTACAAAACAGAAACTGGATTTCTTAGACAATATATTGTGGTTATGGTTTAAGAAAGCCATGGTAAATTCTAATCAACAGACTCATGCTCAAAAGGCCTTGACCCCTAGCTCAAAGCATTGGCAATTAAAATACATTTATGTTTTAAGTTAGACAAAACATTTAGTGTTTGCATGTACTATTTTATATTTTGAATATATAAAACATTTCTGTGATTCAAAAGTCAGAACTATATAAACAGGAATAGTCAGAGAAGTCTGACTCCTATATCCATCCCTTCCATGCCTTTTCCACCTACCTTTCATAGATGACTGTTTTCATTCATTTTTTAATGTATCTCTTCTCTTTTTTAATTTTACAGAAATTATCAGACATACATATCCTTCACCTTTTTTATACAGAGGGTAGCATGCTGTATACATTATACCTTTTTTTTTCTTAACAGTGTATCTTGGAAATCACTTCATATCAATTCATTTTTTATTCTTTTTTATAACCTATAATTCTGTCGTGTAGGTGGATGTACCGTTGTTTATTCTATCAGTTCCCTATTGATGGACATTTGGATCATTTTCAATATTTTCTTGTGGCAAATTATGCTTCAGTAAGTAACATGGTACACACAGTGTTTAGTTTTTATGGAGGTGTATCTTTAGGAAAGACTGAAATGTAAAACCATAAGTGATTTTGGTAAAATGTAAAACCAAAGAGTGAAATGTAAAACCATAAGTGATTTTGGTTTTGCAAAGTTGACCTCTGTAGAGTTTGTATCACTTTCCTGTTTTACCAGAGATATATTAGAGTAGTTGTTTTTTCACAGCTTCACAAGTAGAGAGTATATGGTCAAACTTTTGTATTTTTGAGTGTAGTTTTAGTTTACATTTTTTTACATTATGAGTAAATTTGAACATTTTCCCCATTTATATAAAATGTCCAGAATGGCAGTCTATAGAAACAAAAAGTACCTTTAGTGCATTAGTAGTTACCCAGGGCTGGGGGAATGTGAGGAGGTTGGATGAAAATGGAGAGTGATTGCTAATGGGTACAGGGCTCCCCACCTCCCTCCCCAGTGAATTGTCCATGTCTTTTGCTCATTGTTCTGTTGTGTGTGTGTTTTTTTGTTTTTGTTTTTGTTTTGTTTTGTTTTTAGTTTTAAAGGTTTTTTTATATATTAGGGAGATTGGTGCTTTGTGGTATAAGTAGAATGATTTTCCTCTTGATTTTTCACTTGTCTTTTGACTTTGCTTATTGTATGTTTTGTCTAGTAGTTGAATATATGGACTTTTGAATTAGTGAGAAATTTTTTTTGCTCTGAAATTATTAAGGAATTCACCCACATTTTCTTCAAGTAATTGTATAGTTGTGATCCCCCTATTTTTTTTTTTTTTTTTTTTGAGATGGAGTTTCGCTCTTGTCACCCAGGCTGGAGTGCAATGGTGCAATCTCGGCTCACTGCAACCTCCGCCTCCTGGGTTCAAGCGATTCTCCTGCCTCAGCCTCCTGAGTAGCTGGGATTACAGACATGCGCCATCACACCTGGCTAATTTTGTATTTTTTTTTTTTTTTTTTTAGTAGAGATGGGGTTTCTCCATATTGGTCAGGCTGGTCTTGAACTTCTAACCTCAGGTGATCCACCTGCCTTGGCCTCCCAAAGTGCTGGGATTACAGGCATGAGCCACTGTGCCTGGCCTGCCCCTATTTTGAGCTCTGCTTCATTTGGAGTGTATTCTAGTACATGGTTCTTCAGTTTCATGTTTTTTTCATAATGGCTATCTGTAATCTCAGCATCATTTATTAAAAAATTCATTTATACAATGACTCAAGATGGCAACTTTTATCTTCTGTATTTCCATTTGTATTTGGGTACATTTCTAATTCCATTTGTCATTGTGTATATTCCTGTTTCACTTGTTAGTCTGACAAAAGACCAGTTTGACTGATTTTTGTGCCAGTGCCTCTGTTTTAATTAAAAACTTTCTGGTAGGGCAAGTTTCCCTTCATTGCTCTGCTTTTCAGTGTTCATAGCTATTCTTTTTGGCTTACTGTATTAGTCCATTCTCACACTGCTATAAAGAAATTATGGAGACTGGGATATTTATAAAGAAAAGAGGTTTAATTGGCTCATGATTCTGCAGGCTGTACAGGAAGCACAGTGGCTTCTGCTTCTGGGGAGGCCTCAGAAAGCTTCCAATCATGGCAGAAAGTGAAGGGGAAGCAGGCACATCTTATATGGCCAGAGCAAGAGGAAGAGAGTGAGAGAGAGGCGGGAAGTGCCACTTACTTTTAAACAACCAGATCTCACGAGAACTCTCCATTGCAACGACAGCACCAAGTGGGGTGGTGTTAAACCATAAGAAACGGTCTTCATGATCCAGTCACCTGCCACCAGGCACTATCTCCAGCATTGGAGATTATATTTCAACATGAAATTCGGTGGGGACACATATCTATACTATATAAATCTACACTTGGGCCCCTAAATCTCATGACCTTCTCACATTCCAAAATACAATCATCCCTTCCCAACAGTCCCCCGGAGTCTTAACTCATTGCATCATTAACTCAGAAGTCCAAAGTCTCATCTGAGAGAAGGCTAGTGCTTTCCACTGATGAGCCTGTGAAATAAAAAAACTAAGTTAGTTACTCCCAAGATGCAATGGGGTTACAGGCATTGGATAAATACTTCCATTCCAAAAGGGAGTATCTGACTTGGTTAGGTTGTATAATCCTTTTTATGTTGCTGGATTTGGTTTGCTGGTATTTTATTGCTAGTATTTTATTTGGTTTGCTAGTATTTTTGTCATAAGATATATTGACCTGTAGTTCTGTTTTCTCGTGATGTCTTTGTGTGGTTTTGGAGTAATACTAACTGCACAGTATGATTTAGGATATATTTCTTCCTCTTCTGTTTCTTTTGAAGAATTTGTTAAAGATTGCTATTAATTGTTATTTAAATGTTTAGTAGATTTCACCAGTCAAGCCACTTGGGCCTGGGCTTTACTTTGGAGTAAATGTTTTGATGATGAATTTAATCTTTTTACTTTTTATAACTATTCAGAGTTTCGATTTTTTCTTCAATCGGTTTTGGTAGTTTGTGTATTTCCAGAAAATAGTCCACGTAGATTATCTAATTTGTTGGCATTTACTTGTTCATAGTATTCCCTTATAATCCTTTTTATTTATGTGAGGATGGTGGGGTTGGTTCCTCTTTCATTCCTGATTTTAGTAATTTGAATCTTCCTGCATCATTTCTTGATCAGTCCAGCTAAATATTTTTCAATTTTGTTTTCTTTTCATTCTTTCAGCGGATCATCTGAGGTCAGGTGTTCGAGACCAGCCTGGCCAACATGGTGAAACCCTGTCTGTACTAAAAATACAAAATTACAAAATACAAAAATTAGCTGGGCATGGTGGCACTCGCCTGTAATCCCAGCTACTCAGGAGGCTGAGGCAGAAGAATCACCTGAACCTGGGAGGCAGAGGTTGCAGTGAGCCGAGATTATGCCACTGCACTCCAGCCTGGGTGACAGAGTGAGACTCCATCTCAAAAAAATTTTTTTCTGTACTGAACATACAGTTTATTTTGTCATTATTCCCTAAACAATACAGTATATCAGCTATTTACGTAGTATTTATGTGGTATTAGGTATTATAATTACGCTAGATGATTACTCTGTATATGGCAGGATGTGCATAGGTTATATACAGACACTATCATTTTATATCAGAGACTTGAGCATCCATGGATTTTGTTATCTGCAGGAGGTCCTGGAACCAGTCCCCCACAGATAACAAGAGACAGCTATACATTTTGCTATGGTTTGGTGGAGTTCTATAGATGTCTCTTAGGTCTAATTGACTTAGAATGTTATTTTAGTCTTCTATTTCCTTTTGATTTTCTTAGTAGTTCTATTCATTGTTGAAAGTCGGGTATTGAAGTTTTCAACTACAGTCGGTATTCTCAGGGAATTTGTTCCCCTGTACCTCTTTTACTGCTCTTTTTTGAATGAAGGGAATATATTCTAGTATAGTCATTATTGCTTAAGGACAGTGATACATTCTGAGAATTGCATCTTTAGCTAATTTCATTGTTGTGTGAATATTACAGAGTGTGCTTACACAAATGTAGATGGTATAGCCTGCTACACACCTAGGATATATGGTATAACCTTACTGCTTCTAGGCTACAAACTTGTTTGGCATGTTACTCTACTGAGTACTGTAGGCAGTTGTAATACAATGGTAAGTATTTGTGTATCTAGACATTTCTAAACATAGAAAAGGTAATGCAACATGCTAGATATTTGATGACTATGATGTCACTAGGCAATATTAATTTTTCAGCTCCATTATAATCTTATGGGACTGCTGTCATATATGCAGTTTGTCATTGACCAAAAATGTCATTATGCAGCACAAAACACTATAACATTTTAATTTTGTACATTTTTCTCTATATTTTTTGCCATTTTTTTTTTTAGTGTTTACTCAAGGGTTTATCAGGTACAGCTTAAAATTTATACTAACTTAATTGCAGTGAAATAAAGAAGTATTCTTAAATAACTCTATTTTGATTCCTTTTTTTGTGCCATTGTTATACTTATTACATCATTATGTGTTGCAAACCTAACAGTACGTTGTTATACTTAGTATTTTATGTAATTTAATGTTTTTAGAGAAGCTGAGAGAAGAAAGGAGAGCAAATATACATTTACAGAGTTTGCTTCATTAACATTCTTATTTATGATTGTGTTTTTTTTCTTCATTTATTTCTATGGATTTGGGACACCATCTCTTGTCATTTCCTTAGTCCAGTACAGCTTTGCTTCCACCTGCCTCCTGTGGGCTGATACTGTCAAATATATTGTGAATTTTATATGTTATGGACCCAACAATTCAATTATATGCATATTGGCAGGTTGTAGTGGCTCATGCCTGTAATCTCAGCACTTCGGTAGGCTGAGGCGGGTGGACCACTTGAGGTCAGGAGTTCAAGACCAGCCTGGTCATCATGGTGAGGCCCCATCTTTACTAAAAATACAAAAATGAGCTGGGTGTGGTGGTGCATACCTGTAATTCTAGCTACTCAGGAGGCTGAAGCACAAGAATCACTTGAACCTGGGAGGTAGAGGTTGCAGTGAGCTGAGATTGTGTCCAGCCTGGGCAACTGAGTGAGACCCTGTCTCAAACAAACTAACAAACAAACCCAATACAGTACAAAAATATGCATATTGTTTTATAAGTTGCCTTTTAAATCAGTCAGGAGAAGAAAAGAGAAATATGTAATGATACTGTTTTTATATGTACCCACATAATTTCCTTTGTTGACTTTCTTTTTTTGGTTTGGAATTGAAATATGGTTTTGGTGAGTTTCTTTCAACCTGAAGAGCTTTCTTTAGTATTTCTTTGCTTTTTTTTTTTTTTTTGGAGACAGAGTCTCATTCTGTTGCCCAGGCTGGAGTGCGGTGGTGCAGTCTCTGCTCACTGCAACCTCCGCCTCCCAGGTTCAAGCAATTCTCATGCCTCAGCCTCCCGAGTCCCTGGGATTACAGGCATGCGCCACCACTCCTGGGTAATTTTTTTTTGTATTTTTAGTAGAGACAGGGTTTCGCCATGTTGACCAGGCTAGTCTTGAACTCCTGACCTCAAGTGATCCAAACCCCGCCCACCCAGCCTCCCAAAGTTCTGGGATTACAGGCATGAGCCGCTGCGCCTGGCTAGCATTTCTTTTTTTTTTTTTTTTTTTTTTTTTTTTGAGACGGAGTCTCGCTCTGTCGCCCAGGCTGGAGTGCAGTGGCGGGATCTCGGCTCACTGCAAGCTCCGCCTCCCGGGTTCACGCCATTCTCCTCCTGCCTCAGCCTCCCAAGTAGCTGGGACTACAGGCGCCCGCCACTACGCCCAGCTAATTTTTTGTATTTTTAGTAGAGACGGGGTTTCACCGTTTTAGCCGGGATGGTCTCGATCTCCTGACCTCGTGATCCGCCCGCCTCGGCCTCCCAAAGTGCTGGGATTACAGGCGTGAGCCACCGCGCCCGGCCTAGCATTTCTTATAAAATGGATTTGCTAGCAAAATTTTCTCGGGTTTTGTTTATCTGGAAATGTTTGTTATTTTTATTTTTGAAAAATAACTCTCCTTTATATAATATTCTTAGTTGAGGCTGGGCGTGGTAGCTCATGCCTGTAATCCCAGCACTTTGGGAGGCTGAGGCAGGTAGATGGCTTGAGCCTAGAAGTTTGAGACCAGCAACATGGTGAAACTCTGTCTTTACCAGAAAAATACAAAAATTAGCCAGGTGTGGTGGTATGCATCTGTAGTCCCAGCTACCTGGGAGGCTGAGGTGGGAGGATGGCTTCCGCCCAGGAGGTGGAGGTTGCAGTGAGCTGAGATCGTGCCACTGCACTCCAGCCAGGGTGACAGAGCCAGACCCTGTTTCAAAAGAAAAAACAATGTTTAGTTGACAGATTTTTTTTTCTTTGAGCAGTTTGAATATGTCATCTCACTGCATTTAGAATATGTCATCTCACTGGCCTTCTTGTTGCTGGTGAGAAGTTAGCTCTTAACCTTATCAGGTTTCTCTTACATAGGATGACTTTTTCTTGCTGTTTTCAAGATTTTTTTTCTTCAGTTTTAATGTTTTGACTGTGATGCGTCTTTGTATGGATGCCTTTGTATGTATCCTGCTTGGAGTTCACTGAGTTTCTTGGATATGTAGGTTAATGTTGTCCATCAAATTTGGAATACTTTTAGCCATAATTTCTTCAGATGATTTTCCTTTTCCTTTCTATCTTCTCCTGGTACTCATTATGCATATGTTGGTACACTTAATGTTTCCCATATTCCTTTAAGACTCTGTTCATTTTTTCTGCTTTCTCCTCTCCCTCTTTCAGATTGCATAGTCTTTATTAATCTATTCATGTTTGCTGATTCTTTCTTATGCCAGCTTGGATATACTGTTGATCTCTCTAGTAAATTATCCATTTTAGGTCCAGGTTTGGTGGCTCACGCCTTTAATCCTAGCACTTTGGAAGGCCAAGGCCAAGGCAGGAGTGTTATTTGAGTTCAAGAATTCAAGACCAACCTGGGCAACATAATAAACCCCATTTTAGTTACTGCACTTTTTTTTTTTTTTTTTTTTTGAGACATATTCTTGCTCTGTTGCCCAAACAAGAGTACAGTGGCACAATTACGGCTCACTGCAGCCTTGACCTGGGCTCAAGCAGTCTTCCCACTTCAGCCTCCCAAGTAGCTGGGACCACAGGCATGTGCCATCATCCCTGGCTAATTTTTGTATTTTTTTGTAGAGACAGTGTTTCACCATGTTGCCCATGCTGATCTCAAACTCCTGAGCTCAAGTGGTCCTCCCCTCTCAGCCTCCCAAAGTGCTGGCTTTATAGGCATGAGCCACTGTGCCTGGCCAGTTATTGTACTTTTAACTCCAGAATTTTCATTTGGTTCTTTTAAAAATAATTTTGTCTTTATTGTATTCTCTACTTAATGAGACATTGGCATCATGCCTTTTACTTCAAGCATGGTTTTTGTTTTTGTTTTTACCATATTTATAATATTTGCTTTGAAGTCTTTACTTATTTCAATAGCTGGACCCTCTCAAAGGTATTTCTTTTTATTTCTTTTGCCTGCTTTTCCCCCTGTGTTTGAGACATACTTTCCTATTTCTTATATGTTTCATAATTTTTGTTGAATCTTGACATTTTGGGTAATATATCAACTCTGAATATTGATTCTTCCCTTATCTCCTCTATGTTATTGATTCTTTCTTGAAAATTACTCAGAATACTTAAGATTGTACCTACAGTTAGAATATTGATATTAGAAGTGTCTATAATTAAAAACTTAGGTTCTGGCCGGGCGCAGTGGCTGATGCCTGTAATCCCAGCATTTTGAGAGTCTGAGGCAGGAGAATTGCTTGAGGCCAGGAGTCTGAGACCAACCTGGGCAACAGAATAAAACCCAGTTTCACCAAAAAAATTTAAAAATTAGGCAGACGTGGTGGCACTCACCTTGTAGCCCCAGCTACTTGGGAGGCTGACTTGGGAGGATTGCTTGAGCACAGGAGGTTGAAGCTTCAGTGAACTAGATCCCAGCCTGGATGATAGAACAAGACCTTGTCTCAAAAAAAAAAAAAAAAAGACTTGGGTTCTATAAAATCCAGTTTGTATGCTTAGTGATCTCTTTCCATTTGTCCTGGCAGTGCATTGTTTGTGAATAAATGATGTTTCCATATGAATGAGGTATTATCACAGTTAGACATTTTTGTAAATCCTGAGGCCTTTGTCTTTTTATTTTAAGTAATTTTATTTTATTGTAATTTTTTTTGAGATGGAGTCTTGCTCTGTTGCCCAGGCTGGAGTGATGTGGCACAGTCATAGCTTACTGCAGCCTCAAACTCCTGGGCTCAAGCGATCCTCCTGCCTTGGCCTCCTACAGCATTGGGATTACAGGCATGAACCACCACAGTCAGCCATTTTATTTATTTTATTTTATTTCATTTTTTTAGAGACAGAGTCTCACCTGGTCAGTTGAGCTAGAGTGCAGTGGCACAGTCATAGCTCACTGTGGCCTCAAACTTTTGGGTTCAAGCAATCTTTCCATCTCAGCCTTCTGAGTAGCTAGGACTACAGGCACATACCATCATGCCTGGCTTTTGTCTTTAATATGAAGGTTGTATATAATGGTTTTTTGTAATATAATAGTTTTAGTTAATGAATAATACTTCTTCCTTTTAGGTTACACCTATGTTTGAGGATTGGACTACTATTGATTGGTATCGATTTTTCTGTTTATGGGAGAAGTTGCCAACTTCAATGAAAAGGGTGGCAGAGCTAGTGGGAGTTGAAGAGGGGTTCTTGGCCCGTTGTGTGAAAGGAAAAGTAGTAGCCAGAACTGAGAGACAGCATCGACAAATGGCCATCCATAAAAGGTAAACGTCAAGGTCTCTGGGCTCTCCGGTATTTAACACAGTGTCTTGCATGTAGTAGACGCCCAGTTTATTGTAGTCACTTTCATTGTCAATAAAATCAAAATTTTGGCAGAGTATAAGATTTTTCAGTTTTCTTTTTTTTCATTTTCTTTTTTTTTTTAATTTTGAAATGGAGTTTTGTTCTTGTTGCCCAGGCTGGAGTGCAATAGCGCGATCTCAGCTCACCGCAACCTCCGCCTCCCAGGTTCAAGCGATTCTGCTGCCTCAGCCTCCTGAGTAGCTGGGATTACAGGCATGTGCCACCATGCCTGGCTCATTTTATATTTTTAATAGAGATGGGGTTTCTCCATGTTGGTCAGGCTGGTCTTAAACTCCTGACCTCAGGTGATCCACCCGCCTCCGCCTCCCAAAGTGCTGGGATTACAGGCGTGAGCCACCACACCCAACAAGTTTTCTGTATTTACTAAATTTATTGGTATTTTAGTTTCTTTCTGCAGCTCACAGTTTAGCAGCCATTATATATAAAGACCTTATCTTTTAAGGTAGAATATTTAATTACCTCTCTTTTGTAAAGAAGGTGTTGATCAGAAGAACCACCAACTTACTGTGACTTCACCTGGGGTTATGCTTTATATCATACTTAAAAGTGATTCATTACCAATAGAGGAGAAGAGCTAATTAAAAGATTCAGGTGGAAAAATTGGTACAGGCTGTTAGCTTCTTTGAAATATAATGAAATTGGCTGGGTGCAGTGGCTCATGCCTGTAATCCCAGCACTTTGGGAGGCCAAAGTGGGCGGATCACTTGAGGTCAGGAGTTTGAGACCAGCCTGGCCAATGTGGTAAAACCCTGTCTCTAGTAAAAATACAAAAATTAGCCGTTTGTGGTGGTGTGC
This sequence comes from Homo sapiens, assembly GCF_000001405.40. Lineage (NCBI taxonomy): Eukaryota > Metazoa > Chordata > Mammalia > Primates > Hominidae > Homo > Homo sapiens. The sequence continues at coordinate 121,497,581 of NC_000003.12, read as the reverse complement.
ACCTGTAATCCCAGCTACTTGGGAGGCTGAGGTGGGGGAATTGCTTGAACCCAGGAGATGGAGGTTGCAGTGAGCCAAGATTGCGCCACTGCACTCCAGCCTGGGCAACACAGTGAGACTCCGTCTCAAAAAAAAAGAAATAATAATGAAATGATTTTTCTTAAAAAACAGTCTCTAATATATTATTTATAATATGGTTAAGTATAAATTTTATATACTTGGATTTATATACTTGGATTACTTTTGCTACCGTTGCCTTTCAAATCAAAATTGGATGCTATATTTATATTGTCATTTTATTGGAGTAATGATATACATGTAGCTGTATATCAAGTTATCTTTTTAATTTTTGTGTCATCACATTTCTTGAACCAAGTCTCATTTCTTGTTAGCAGCAGTTTTGAATATGGGCAGGTTTTTGTTATACAGACATTAGTTCTTTACTATAGTACTAATGCATGTCAAAACTTGCTTTGCAAGCATTGATCTCAGCCTTTGTCCAGTAATCCTATTTTCTATTAAGAATCTCACCACAATGTATTATATAAGCCCTCTGTTGCCTTTCCAGTTCTTAGTCATTTTTCAACACACTGTATCGCCTAGTAGACGTGAAGGATCTCTTACCACGCTTTTGATGATTTATTCCCAGGTTTTTCACCAGTCTTGTGCTATTAGATTTAATCAGTGAAGTTCCCTTAAGGGAAATAAATCAGAAATATGGATGCAATCGTGGGCAGATTCAATCTTTGCAACAGTCAGCTGCTGTTTATGCAGGTCAGTTAAACAAAGGGTTTCACATTTATTTAATACTGTGATTTGAGGTCGAGTTAAGATTACTTTTTTTTTCAAATTCCATTTTATTGTAGGCTTCTTTAAAAGTGCTAAAACTTTGTACAGTTCTTGTCATCATCAGAAAATTCAAAACTATGGCTCCTCAGGGCTCAGTACCATGTTACAGAGGATTGGTAACTAGCTGAATGTCTTGGCCTCTATTCCTTAGCAACCTGCTGACTATCCTCCTTTCTGTTTTCCTTTTCTTTTTCCTGTTGCAAGAAGAAACAGAAACAAAGTTCTCTGTGGTCTCCCCTTTCTCATTAAGGTACTGATTGCCGGGCGCGGTGGCTCATGCCTGTAATCCCAGCACTTTGGGAGGCCGAGTCGGGTGGATCACGAGGTCAGGAGTTCAAGACCAGCCTGGCCAAGATGGTGAAACCCCATCTCTACTGAAAATACAAAAAATTAGCCAGGTGTGGCGGTGGGCGCTTATAATCCCAGCTACTGGGGAGGCTGAGGCAGAGAATTGCTTGAACCCGGGAGGCAGAGGTTGCAGTGAGCTGAGATCGCACCACTGCACTCTAGCCTGGGTGACAGAGCGAGACTCTGTCTCAAAAAAAAAAAAAGGTACTGATTAATCCATATTGTTGAGGAGAAGGACGGAAGATGGAGAGGGATTTCTGAACTCCTGTCTGACTGTTATAAAAATGATCTAAGGAACCACTGGTCTGCCTTAATGTATTAAACCCTAAGCAAACGAGAAATTCTGGGTCTGATTTTACTAAGGAATCCTTACAAGCCCTTAAGAAGGAAACTATGGGCTACAAGAGGGTGTGTTATATGTATAATAGGTTTCATCGTGAAGATATGTGCTTATGAGGGAGTACTGCGGGGAAGATGAGAAGAGATAGTGGTAGGAAGGGAGGCACTCACTCTTTTTTTTTTTTTTTTTTTTTTTTGAGACAGAGTCTTGCTCTGTCTCCCAGGCTGGAGTGCAGTGGCGCCATCTCGGCTCACTGAAAGCTCTGCCTCCCAGGTTAATGCCATTCTGCTGCCTCAGCCTCCCGAGTAGCTGGGACTACAGGTGCCCGGCACCACGCCCGGCTAATTTTTTTTTTTGTATTTTTAGTGGAGATGGGGTTCCACTGTGTTAGCCAGGATGGTCTCGATCTCCTGACCTCGTGGACCACCCGCCTCGGCCTCCTAAAGTACTGGGATTACAGGTATAAGCCACCCGCGCCCGGCCGGGAGGGACTCACTCTTAGACTCACTGGTATCAAAGATGAAAGACTGCCTCTAGGGGTTTATGTTCTTGTAGGGAAGTGTAACAAAATTTTAATTCAACAAATGTCTTTATGACATGGCACTTGTTTTGGTTTCTTTATTCCAAGACAGTGCAGCTATTGAGCTCAGCAACCTTTCTTTGAAGAAAATGCAGGTGGGAACTTCACTCTTTCTAGTTCTCTCAGCACTTGAATATTTAAACCAACTCTTGTTTTCCTCTAGGTGGAAAGAGTCCCTTACTTTTTTTTTTTTGAGATGGAGTTTCTCTCTTGTTGCCCAGGCTGGAGTGCAATGGCACGATCTCGGCTCACCACAACCCCCGCCTCCCAAGTTCAAGTGGTTCTCCTGCCTCAGCCTCCCGAGGAACTGGGATTACAGGCATGCACCGCCATGCCTGGCTAATTTTGTATTTTTAGTAGAGATGGGGTTTCTCCATGTTGGTCAGGCTGGTCTCAAAGTCCTGACCTCAGATGATCTGCTCGACTTGGCCTTCCAAAGTGCTGGGATTACAGGCGTGAGCCACTGCGCCCAGCATCTTTACATGCTTTTTTTTTTTTTTTGAAAATTTGTATTATTTTAATTATTTTTATATACAGAAAACTCAACAGTGTACATTTAACCCAGTTTAGTGGCAAGTTCTTTAGCCTTTGCCTTTTCGAGCTTGGTGATACGAGCCACAGACTTAGGACCCAGGACGTTGCCGCCCCAGTGACGGTGGGTCTCATCCTATCTGTCGTTGTAATTGGTCCTGATAACTTCCACCAGCTTAGCCAAAGTGCCTTTGTCTTCCGAGTTCACCTGTGTGAAGGCGACAGTGGTGCAGGTCTTCCTGTGGACTAGACGTCCCAGTCTTGCCTTCCCCTTGGTAATGCAGTAAGGGACCCCCATTTTACGACACAGGGCAGGCAAGAAGACAGCCAGCTTGATGGGATCCGCGTTGTGTGCAATCACCACCAGCTGAGCTTTCTTGTTCTCCACCAAGGTGGTGACGGTGTTAACTCCTGTTCGAAGGACAGGTGGTCTCTTGGTGGGGACGTCCCCTCTGCCAGCAGCTTTCTTCTTGGCCCAGGCCAACAGCCTCTGCTTCTTCTCTTGCCTTGACTCTGGTCTGTACTTGTGGGCCAGCTTAAGCAGCTGAGTAGCTGTTTGGCGGTCCAGGGCCTGGGTGAACTGGTTAATCGCAGGAGGCACTTTCAGCCGCTTATAGAGGATGGCTCTCTGCCGCTGCAACCTGATATAGCGGGGCCGTTTCACAAAGCGGGTGAGGTCTCTTTTGGGCTGGATGTCCTGTCCAGTGCCAAAATTCTTAGGCCTTTTCACAAACGGGATTCACCACTTTCTTAGCCTCCTGCTTCTTCACGACAGCAGGGGCCGGAGCCACCTTCGTTCCCTTGGCCTTCTTTCCTTTCGGCATCTTGGGTGGCGGGAAGAGAGAGACCTTTACATGTTTTTAAGAGTTCTCTTTTGCTTAAGAAAGAGAGAGAGAGAGGAATGAATTAGGGTGAGGGCTTCTTGTTTGTTTTGTGTTTATGTGCTCTGCCTCAGTTTTCATGTATTAACTTGAGGATTAAGAATAAATAAGATGACATTTAATGTCATCTCATAAAACTTAGCACATTTATTGTCCAATTAGTTAAGGCTCTTAATATATATCTGCTCCCTTGTTAACTTACACCTTGGGCCTTGTTAAATCTTACAATTTTGCAGGGAAAAAACAAAAGAAAATATAAATACATCTAAAGAAATGGAGAATTCGTCTGTAAAAAAAATTGAATTCAACAAATATTCTATGAATGTTCTAGGGATGATTACAGTATTTTCCAACCGTCTGGGCTGGCACAACATGGAACTACTACTTTCCCAATTTCAGAAGCGTCTTACGTTTGGCATCCAGAGGGAGCTGTGTGACCTGGTTCGGGTATCCTTACTAAATGCTCAGAGAGCCAGGGTTCTCTATGCTTCTGGCTTTCATACTGTGGCAGACCTTGCTAGAGCAAATATTGTGGAGGTGGAGGTGATTCTGAAAAATGCTGTGCCTTTCAAAAGGTAAGAAAATACCTTTACCTACATGGGCTTATGAAATAAAAAAAAAATGTCAATTTTAAAATAATAGATAATGTATTAAAGTTATTTTTCTCTTAAATAATCTTATTATATACTTGGTGTAAGTGGAAGAAAATATGGCTACTTTTTCCCCATTGCAGATTACTTTTTTTTTTTTGAGATGAAGTCTCACTCTTGTTACCCAGGCTGGAGTGCAATGGTGCGATCTCGGCTCACTGCGACCTCCACCTCCTGGGTTCAAGCGATTCTCCTGCCTCAGCCTCCTGAGTAGCTGGGATTATAGGCACCCACCACCAGGCCCAGCTAATTTTTGTATTTTTAGTAGAGACAGGGTTTCACCATGTTGGCCAGGCTGGTCTTGAACTCCTGACCTCAGCCAATCCCCCTGCCTCAGCCTCCCAAAGTGCTGGGATTATAGGCGTGAGCCAAAGTGCCCGGCTGCAGATTACTTTTTATTTTGTATATTTAAAAAATAATACATGACTTAAAAACATTCCTGCTAGAACGTCTGAGTGGGGCTGGGCACAGTGACTCACTCCTGTAATCCCAGTACTTTGGGAGGCTGAGGCTGATTGTTTGAGCTTAGGAGTTCAAGACTAGCCTGAGCAACATAGCAAGATCTCATCGCTACTAAAACTGAAAAAAAAAAAAAAAAAAATAGCTGGGCATGGTGGCATGTGCCTATAGTCCCAGCTACTTGGGGATGTGAGGCTGGAGAGTTGGTTGAGCCCGGGAGGTCGAGGCTGCAGTGAGCCCTGATAGTGCCACTGAACTCCAGCCTGGGTGACAGAGTAAGATCGTGTCTCAAAAAAAAAAAAAAAAGTACTGAGCAAAAGTTTGGTATCAATGCTTTCTGCTTTGCTAAATTTTGATTTTGATCTGCTTTGATGGATTTTGATAATTTTGATGTGATTTCATTATATATCTCAGGCTCATCTTACACTTTAGGCAAGAGCATTTTAAAATACATTCCTCTGAAATGTTCTTTGGAATGCTAGTGTCCCTCAAAACAATTTGTGAGAAGATTCCTTGATTATTTTTTTGTGTGTATGTCTGAATAACCAATTTATTGAATGGGCTAGACTCAGTATATAAATCAAGGAATAGCTTAATTATTTTTTCTACCACTGTTTTTTGAACTCAGTCTTATATGAAATCTCAGGCAGATTCTATAGGTATTTAGTTACTTTCAGGTACTAACAACCAGTTTTATTTTCAGGTATTAAACAATTTGTTTTAGATGGAAGCATCAATCTCATTTCCAATTAGTGTTTCTTCCCTCCCACTCACTTTAAACCTGACTCCCAGCTCTGAGACCTTAACCTGTGTGGGAAGGGATGGGGTATAGTATTTTACTATCCTCTTTGCTCTTGCATATCTCTTGCCCATGGAAGACAATTTTTCCACAGACCGGGGGTGGAGGTGGGGGTAGGGGGGTGGTGGAGATGGTTTGGTTTTAGGATGAAACAAAACAATTAGATTCTCATAAGGAGCACGCAACCTAGATTCCTTGCATGTACAATTCACAGTAGGGTTTCCTGCAGCTGATCTGACAGGAGGCGGAGCTCAGGCAGCAATGCTCCCTTGCCTGTAGCTCACCTCCTGCTGTGCGGCCCAGTTCCTAACAGGCCATGGACTGGTACTGGTCTGCATCTCGGGGGTTGAGGACCCCTGGTTTAGACTTTTAACTGGCCACTTGGAATCTGTCCACACTTGCACGGTTTAGAGGTCAGTGAGAGATTTGGGCAGAGTTTATATGAAGAATTACGAGTTGTTCCTCTCTAGTTATCTGTTCTAGACTGCCTTAAATTTCCAACTAATGTAGTTACTCTTAACTCTCTTCTGACTTCTGTCAATCAGTGAACTCCAGGTTGTTATCTAAGTTTTTAGCCAACCTACAGGGTGCTGACTGGGCCCTGCCTTCAGGTAAAAAGTGAAAATTAACCCACTGCCATTTTCTTTCTTCCAAGTCTCAACCCCACTCCAATTTCTGCTTTCTTTTGTTCATTTTCTAGTCCCTTCATATATTTTGCCCAGAGTTTATATTGTGTATTGTACAGAAGCATTCGTTTTCTTTCTTGTCTTGTCTTTTTTTTTTTTTTTTTTTTTTTTTGTGACAGTCTCGCTCTGTCGCCCTGGAGTGCAATGGCGTAATCTCGGCTCACTGCAACCTCTGCGTCCTGGGTTCAAGCAATTCTTCTGTCTTAGCCTCCCAAGTAGCTGGGACTACAGGCACATGTCACCACACCCGGCCAATTTTTGTATTTTTAGTAGAGAAAGAGTTTTACCATATTGGTCAGGCTGGTCTTGAACTCCTGACCTCAGGTGATCTACCCACCTTGGCCTCCCAAAGTGCTGGGATTACAGGCATGAGCCACTGCGCACAGCCTTTTAAAAAATTTTTTTAATGAGACAGGGTCCTGTTCTGTCACCCTGGCTGGAGTGCAGTGGTGTGATCTTGTCTCACTGTAACGCCTCCTGGGTTCGAGTGATTCTCATGCCTCAGCCTCCCAAGCAGCTGTAATTACAGGTACCCGCTACCATGCCTGGCTGATTTTTTGTATTTTTAGTAGAGACAGTGTTTCACCATGTTGGCCAGGCTGGTCTCGAACTCGTTGCCTCAAGTGATTCGCCTTCCTTGGTCTCCCAAAGTGCTGGGTTTACAAGTGTGAGCTACCGCGCCCGGCCGGATGTTTTTCAATGAAAGTTTTATGGCTTTCACTTTTTTAAAGGCTTCTACTTAAAGAATCTGTCTTAGTGAAGCCTTCCTTTATTATGCCATTTAAAAACTACAGAACCACCCACCACCCCTTTCTGGTGCCTTATTTTTGTATACAACTCTTATCACCAGGTAATATAGAATGCATTTTAAACTTTTTGTTTATTTTCTGAATTCCCCAGCTAGAATGTGCCATGAGAGCAGATACATTTCTCTCTCTTCTTCATTGTTATTTTTTCAGTTCCTGGTAACAGCTCAGATTGCATGTTTAATAAATACTTGCCTTACGAATGAATGAATTCATTTCTGTCTTTTCCCATCTCCTTGTGTAGTGCCCGGAAGGCAGTGGATGAGGAAGAGGAAGCAGTTGAAGAACGTCGCAATATGCGAACTATCTGGGTGACTGGCAGAAAAGGTTTAACTGAAAGGGAAGCAGCAGCCCTTATAGTGGAAGAAGCCAGAATGATTCTGCAGCAGGACTTAGTTGAAATGGGAGTGCAATGGAATCCATGTGCCCTGTTACATTCTAGTACATGCTCATTGACTCATAGTGAGTCCGAAGTAAAGGAACACACATTTATATCCCAAACTAAGAGTTCTTATAAAAAATTAACATCAAAGAACAAAAGTAACACAATATTTAGTGATTCTTATATTAAGCATTCACCAAATATAGTGCAAGACTTAAATAAAAGTAGAGAGCATACAAGTTCCTTTAATTGTAATTTCCAGAATGGGAATCAAGAACATCAGACATGTTCCATTTTCAGAGCAAGAAAACGGGCCTCTTTAGATATAAATAAAGAGAAGCCAGGAGCCTCTCAGAATGAGGGGAAAACAAGTGATAAGAAAGTTGTTCAGACTTTTTCACAGAAAACAAAAAAGGCACCTTTGAATTTCAATTCAGAAAAGATGAGCAGAAGTTTTCGATCTTGGAAACGTAGAAAGCATCTAAAGCGATCTAGGGACAGCAGCCCCCTGAAAGACTCTGGAGCGTGTAGAATCCATTTACAAGGACAGACTCTGTCTAATCCTAGTCTTTGTGAAGACCCGTTTACCTTAGATGAGAAGAAAACGGAATTTAGAAATTCAGGGCCATTTGCTAAAAATGTATCTTTGAGTGGTAAGGAAAAAGATAATAAAACATCATTCCCATTACAAATAAAGCAAAATTGTTCATGGAACATAACACTAACTAATGATAATTTTGTGGAGCATATTGTCACAGGATCTCAGAGTAAAAATGTGACTTGTCAGGCCACTAGTGTGGTTAGTGAAAAGGGCAGAGGAGTAGCTGTTGAGGCAGAAAAAATAAATGAAGTGCTGATACAAAATGGTTCAAAAAACCAGAATGTTTATATGAAACACCATGACATCCATCCAATTAACCAGTACCTGCGAAAGCAATCTCATGAACAGACAAGCACTATTACCAAACAGAAAAATATAATAGAGAGACAAATGCCCTGTGAAGCAGTCAGTAGTTACATAAATAGAGACTCAAATGTTACTATCAATTGTGAAAGGATAAAGCTTAATACAGAGGAAAATAAACCAAGTCATTTTCAGGCATTAGGAGATGATATAAGCAGAACTGTGATACCCAGTGAAGTACTTCCATCAGCTGGAGCATTTAGCAAATCAGAAGGCCAGCATGAGAATTTTCTAAATATTTCTAGACTACAAGAAAAAACAGGTACTTATACAACAAACAAAACTAAAAATAATCATGTTTCTGACTTAGGTTTAGTCCTCTGTGATTTTGAAGATAGTTTCTATCTGGATACTCAGTCAGAGAAAATAATACAACAGATGGCAACTGAAAATGCCAAACTAGGAGCAAAGGACACCAACCTGGCAGCAGGGATAATGCAGAAGAGCTTAGTCCAACAGAACTCAATGAACTCTTTTCAGAAGGAGTGTCACATTCCTTTTCCTGCTGAACAGCACCCTCTAGGAGCGACTAAGATAGATCATTTGGACCTTAAGACTGTAGGTACTATGAAACAAAGCAGTGATTCACATGGGGTTGATATCCTGACTCCAGAAAGCCCGATTTTCCATTCTCCAATACTATTGGAGGAAAATGGTCTTTTTTTAAAAAAGAATGAAGTTTCTGTTACTGATTCACAATTAAATAGTTTTCTTCAAGGTTATCAAACACAAGAAACTGTGAAACCAGTTATACTTCTGATTCCTCAAAAGAGAACTCCCACTGGTGTAGAAGGAGAATGTCTTCCAGTTCCTGAAACAAGTTTGAATATGAGTGATAGTTTACTATTTGATAGCTTCAGTGATGACTATCTAGTAAAAGAACAATTACCTGATATGCAAATGAAAGAACCCCTTCCTTCAGAAGTAACATCAAACCATTTTAGTGATTCTCTGTGTCTACAAGAAGACCTAATTAAAAAATCAAATGTAAATGAGAATCAAGATACCCACCAGCAGTTGACTTGTTCCAATGATGAATCTATTATATTTTCAGAAATGGATTCTGTTCAGATGGTTGAAGCTTTGGACAATGTGGATATATTTCCTGTCCAAGAGAAGAATCATACTGTAGTATCTCCTAGAGCATTAGAACTAAGTGATCCAGTACTTGATGAGCACCACCAAGGTGATCAAGATGGAGGAGATCAAGATGAAAGGGCTGAAAAATCAAAATTAACTGGGACCAGGCAAAATCATTCATTCATATGGTCAGGGGCATCATTTGATCTAAGTCCAGGACTGCAAAGGATTTTAGATAAAGTATCCAGTCCTCTAGAAAATGAAAAGCTAAAATCAATGACTATAAACTTTTCCAGTTTGAATAGAAAAAATACAGAGTTAAATGAAGAACAAGAAGTTATTTCAAACTTGGAGACAAAACAAGTGCAGGGAATTTCATTTTCTTCTAATAATGAAGTAAAAAGCAAGATTGAGATGCTAGAAAACAATGCCAATCATGATGAAACCTCATCCCTCTTACCTCGTAAAGAAAGTAATATAGTTGATGATAATGGTCTCATTCCTCCTACACCCATTCCAACATCTGCTTCTAAGCTGACATTTCCAGGGATTCTTGAAACACCTGTAAACCCTTGGAAAACTAATAATGTTTTACAACCTGGTGAAAGTTATTTATTTGGCTCACCTTCAGATATTAAAAACCACGATTTAAGTCCAGGGAGTAGAAATGGGTTCAAAGACAACAGCCCTATTAGTGACACAAGCTTTTCACTTCAGTTATCACAGGATGGATTACAGTTAACTCCAGCCTCAAGCAGTTCAGAAAGTTTGTCCATAATTGATGTAGCAAGTGACCAAAATCTTTTCCAAACATTCATTAAGGAGTGGCGGTGCAAAAAGCGATTTTCCATCTCACTGGCTTGTGAAAAGATTAGAAGTTTGACATCTTCTAAAACTGCTACTATTGGCAGTAGGTTTAAGCAAGGTAAGAATTTTTTTAATTTTATTTTTTCATATTTATAAACTACTTAGTAGACTGAGATAAGAGTTAGATTTCTCAATGTTAGATATTAAATATAATCTATTCAAGTTGTAGTATGTATCTCCTCTGTGGATTTATGTGTAGAACAGCCTTATTTATTCAGCATACCTAAATTAATTAATGATAGTTGCCCTCCAGTATAAGAGGTGCATGTAATATATATTAGAATAAAAGTTTATAAAAATAAAGATAATACATATTTTGAATATGAACGTGACATTTCTTTTATGGTATATTAATGTTGTAACATAATGGTTTTTATTAATCACCAGTGCTCATGAATTCTTTTCTTTTTTCTTTTTCTCCTTTCTTTTCTTTTCTTTCTCTCTCTCTCTCTCTCTCTCTCTCTCTGTCTCTCTTTCTTTCTTTCTTTCCTCTTTCTTTGTCTTGTTCAGTTGCCCAGGCTGGAGTGCAGTGGTGTGATCTTGATCTTCGCTCACTGCAACCTCCACCTTCTGAGTTCAAGCAATTCTCCTGCCTCAGCCTCCCAAGTAGCTAGAAGTACAGGCATGTGCACCATGCCCAGCTAATTTTTGTATTTTTAGTAGAGATAGGGTTTCACCATGTTGTCCAGGGTGGTCTCAAACTCCGGACCTCAAGTGATCCACCTGTGTTGGCCTTTCAAAGTGCTGGGATTACCGGCATGAGCCACTGCGCCCAGCCCCATGAATTATTATTATTATTATTATTTTTTAGACAGAATCTCGCTATTGGCCAGGCTGGAGTACAGTGGCATGATGTCGGCTCACTGCAACCTCTGCCTCTCGGGTTCAAGCAATTCTCCTGCCTCAGCCTCCTGAGTAGCTGGGACTACAGGTGCATGCCATCATGCCTGGCTAATTTTTTATTTTGTATTTTAGTACAGATGGGGTTTCACTGTGTTAGCCAGGATGGTCTCAATCCCCTGACCTCGTGATCCACCCACCTCGGCCTCCCAAAGTGCTGGGATTACAGGCGTGAGCCACCATGCCCGGCCTCATAAATTATTTTCTATTAAATTGTAATATCCTTGTTTGCTTATGTAATTACAAAATTACATTGCTAATAGGAACTTTGTTCTTCACAGTGTACATTAGCTACATTTTCCAAGATTTATCTTGAGTAGAACTTAGACCTCCATGATAGTCATGAATTGTATACTGAAATGTTGCTTCCAAAACCTTGCAGAGCTCTTCCAGGTTTTGAGAGAGTTGAACCTTTTGGTCAAATAAGGCTATGTATATTCCTGTCTTATTGCGTGAGCTCTGCCTTCTGGATTGTGGGGACCAGTTGTAGTCAGCTGTGGAAATCAGGTGTTTGATTAGATTTATTAAACCTTGCTATTTTATGAATTAATTTGTTCATAAAGGTTTGAGTATTTGTCTGATTTTCAATTCATGAAGCAGATGTGTTAACCACAACTTTTATGTACTTTTAGTGTTGAATAGCACTTTCCATTTTTGATGTAACAAACAAAATTGAGCACATTTTCTGTATCAGGCTATATAATAGAGGCTAGAGGGATAAAAAAGTTCACCTAAATTTAATAAATATGTACTAAGTTCCTATGTGCCAGTTATTTTCCTGCTACTAGGGATATAATTATCAATAAGACGGATTGATTCTTGACCTTTATAAAATTGGAGATACATTATTTTAGGAATAAAACATTGACTCTAGATACAAAATTATGCTTCTTCACTAAGGAGTAATAGTCTTTATTTTTCTGGAGTTTCTTAGCTAAGAATTGCTGAATTTGCTGCAAAATATTTGTAGTATGCAAATGATCTGTATTTTTGTTTGAGTTATAAAATTTGAAATGCAGCCTCCCTTTCTTGACGTTAATCATTATAGATTTATTTTAACAAATCCTTGATAGCTTTTTCATAGTGACAGTTATCTTAATTGATGGGAAGCCTGGAAAGATCTTACTTATACTTAAAATGACTGTCCAAATGCATATTTTAAGATCTGGAAATTTTGCCTATCAAAGATAGGTTTTTTATTATAATTGTTTTAACAATTTATGTAATGTCTTTATTTTTAGAGATTTTTAACTGTTTCACTTTTGTTTTACTTAGCTAGCTCACCTCAGGAAATTCCTATTAGAGATGATGGATTTCCCATTAAAGGTTGTGATGACACCTTGGTGGTTGGACTGGCAGTATGCTGGGGTGGAAGGGATGCCTATTATTTTTCACTGCAGAAGGAACAAAAGCATTCTGGTAAGTAATGAGTATTTGGCTAAGTCACTATGTAATTACTGTAACATCCATTAGGGTAGTGATCTTATATTTTGAGAATAATTTCCTGATATTTACCTAGGATTTATTTTTAGAGTTAAATTTTTTTTTGTTTGTTTTTTGAGACAGAATGTCACTCTTTTGCCCAGGCTGGAGTACAGTGGCATGATCTTGGCTCACTACAACCTTCACCTCCTGGGTTCAAGCGATTCTCCTGCCTCAGCCTCCCAAGTAGCTGCTATTACAAGCATGTGCCACTGCGCCGGCTAATTTTGTATTTTTTTAGTAGAGACAGGGTTTTACCATGTTGGTCAGGCTGGTCTTGAACTCCTTACCTCAGGTGATCCACCCGCCTTGGCCTCCCAAAGTGTTGGGATTACAGGTGTGAGCCACTGTGCCTGGCAAAAATTGTAATTTTTTGGAGAGCAGCTGGCATGTACATTATTGCATATATTAACTAGAATTAATGTTTTAAGAAGCACTTCCTTACTTCTCCCTGCCTGTCACACGAGGCTATTCATGCTATGGGTTTTTCCTCTGAGGGGGCAGTGAAGACTCAGGGACTCTCTTGCCACCTTTAGGGTTTGCTTTTGAAGACTAAACGATGGCAGTTTATTTTCAGTCTTCTGTCCTACCATTGAATGGGTCTGAAACTCATCTAGAGGGAATGTTGAGCTAGAGATCTATAGTAGTCGAATTATATAAACTTTGGAGAAGTCTTTAGAGTGGAAAGGATGTAATCTGGAAATACCCTGTGATCTGAATGTGGATGTTGGATACCCCAGCTGATAGGTTGGTTTTGGACAGGAGCAAAATTAATAAGGAAACATTTTAAAGGATGCTGTATAGTGTCTGTTCCTTAGTAAGCATGAAATATTTTCAGTTGTTTTGCAGGAAAATATGTTGGGGTGAGTAGTTACTTAAGCTTTTTTTAGGAGCAAAATTAATAAGGAAACATTTTAAAGGATGCTGTATAGTGTCTGTTCCTTAGTAAGCATGAAATATTTTCAGTTGTTTTGCAGGAAAATATGTTGGGGTGAGTAGTTACTTAAGCTTTTTTTTTATTTTGGATAGAATAGTATGTGTTCATACTAAATCTCTCTTTAAAATTCATTTCCAAATACTTTTCCTGTCTTTAACTCCTCATTTTGGGAAATGTAATTTTGTTTTTACAAGTATTAATATTTAATATTTTCTCCCACCTAATTAAGTAGAGCATTAAAAATCTTCTAGCCCAAGTCATAATTTTTAGATATATGATGCACTTCATCTACATAGCTGATATGACCTGGATAAGATGCTGAATTACTCGTCACATGGAACCAGACCCTTAGCCTTCTGAGTCTTTTTCAGTCTTTCTACTAAAGATTGCTGCTTCAAATGAATGCATGTAATTTTTGCCTTAAAAATGTTTTTTCCTTTTTTTTTTTTTTTTTAAAGAAATTAGTGCCAGTTTGGTTCCACCTTCTTTAGATCCAAGCCTGACTTTGAAAGACAGGATGTGGTACCTTCAATCTTGCTTGCGAAAGGAATCTGATAAAGAATGTTCTGTTGTCATCTATGACTTCATCCAGAGCTATAAAATTCTTCTTCTTTCTTGTGGCATCTCCTTGGAGCAAAGTTATGAAGATCCTAAGGTTCTATGTCTAATTTAATTTTTATATACTTAAAACAACATTTTTAGTGTTAATTCTTAAATGACTTGGTATTTACTTAGCATCAATAATGCAGCTTAAAAGTATTTTAGAGTAGTCACTTCTTTATTCAATAATCTCATCTACCCAGAATAGAATATCATGCACCAAATATCTCTGTGTAGATAAAAACAGAGATGTCACAAATTTGGAGCCCTAAAGTTTATGTCTTTCCTCAGAGATTTTTAAAAAATTTTAATTTGGGTCATAAGTCCTAAGTTTTCTGTCTGATAGTAAATTGGAAGTGAAATGAGAACAGATTTAGGTGTATGATAGCAGGAGGTCTTAAATATTCATGAGGGTGGAGGCAGAAAATTGGAAAAGAGTGTGAATAAGATGACAAAAAGGATTGTAGTTAGTGGCCATTTAGCATAGAGGCAAATCCCCTTACTGGCTCCTGAGAACTTTCCTTTATAATAGCAAAGTATGATGCACTCTTCGTAATGATGACTCAGTTAAGAAACATGTTAACTTTTACATCAGACTATTTCACTCAATATTCCCCTATAAAACTTTATTCTTAACCTACAAAAGAAAGAATTGAGTCATATAGTAAAGTAATTGTCAGAATTATGAACAGGGCTTAGATTCCCTTATTCTAATCCAGTTAATGATCTGCCTGATCTAGTATTAGAAACTACAGGACTCCTAGTCTTATGAGGAAGTTGGAAATAGCAATCAAATGAATAATTGGATGATTCTGGTGACAGACCCCCCCCATTCTGAGGGGAAAGTGTAGAGGCTTTCTGAAACTCTGGATATAAACTTTTAATGGTAAAACATTTATGCGTCACTTTTTTTTTTTTTTGAGACGAAGTTTTGCTCTTGTTGCCCAGGCTGGAGTGCAGTGGTGCAATCTCGGCTCACTGCAACCTCCGCCTCCCAGGTTCAAGCGATTCTTTTGCCTCAGCCTCCTGAGTAGCTGGGATTACAGGTGCCCACCACCATGCCCAGCTAATTTTTTGTATATTTAGTAGAGACAGGGTTTCACCATGTTGACCAGGCTAGTCTTGAACTTCTGACCTCAGGTGATCAACCCGCCTCAGTCTCCCAAAGTGCTGGGATTACAGGTGTCAGCCACTGCGCCCGGCGCCTCACTTCTTTTGATGATGAAAGAACTAAATATACCTAAAACCTCACAGGCCCATCTTTATTACAGTAGCTTAGCCCAAATTAGCCTTAGTGGAGGAGTCCATCTTCATTTTCAGACACATGGTTTGAGTTTGCTGAGACACACTTGTTTTTCAAGCCTACTGCTAAACTGGATCGGCCTGAGCATTGTAGGAATGGAATAGTTACAACTTTCCTTTCTTTGAAAGCTACTGCTGTTGTTGCTACCAAAAATGAGTCCTGTTACAATTATTCTTTCCTTCTTTCCTGGGAAGACCACTGAATAAATATTAAATGAAAATGAGTGAGGTTAGAAATGAGCTTTGTTTTTTTCCCTTTTCATTTAGAGGTACATAAGTGTCTTTGAAAAAAATCAGGAAAATATTCTCATTGCTATCCCATTCAGGTGGCATGCTGGTTACTAGATCCAGATTCTCAGGAGCCGACTCTTCATAGCATAGTTACCAGTTTTCTTCCTCATGAGCTTCCACTCCTAGAAGGGATGGAGACCAGCCAAGGGATTCAAAGCCTGGGGCTAAATGCTGGCAGTGAGCATTCTGGGCGATACAGAGCATCTGTGGAGTCCATTCTCATCTTCAACTCTATGAATCAGCTCAACTCTTTGTTGCAGAAGGAAAACCTTCAAGGTAAAAACCAAGTTTCTGGCATTTTTATGTTATAGATTAGAGATAGAGATTTAGCCACTCTTTATCAAAAATGGGTAAATTACACATTTATGCAAATCCTACCTTTGGATTGTCTAGTGCTTTTTTTCTGTAAAAGGCCAGAGAGTAAATATTTTTGGCTTTGTAAACTAAACAATCTCTATCACAAATACTCAACTCTGCCATTGTAGCAAAAGAGCAGCTGTAGACAAGACCAAAACAAATGGCTGTCTTCCAATAACACTTTACAAAAACATGCATCTAATGTTAGTTTGGCCATAATTTGCTGACTTCTGGCCCTTGTGTGAAGAAGAGAATTACAAAATCGCATTTATGCAGTTGTTGGTAATTTTGTATTTGAACTTTATCAAAGGATTTTTATTCACCCTTAGAAGACATCCTTAATGGATTTCAAAAAGTTAACTCTTTTCTTTTTGGAACTATTAACAAACAGATGTTTTTTCACAGCAAGGGATAATCATGAGAGTCTCTTTTTTCCCTCATGACAAATAACATGAATTTATTGTCATTGTTATCTGCTGGCCCAGATCAAGCACCCTGACTACAGAGAGCTTAACGGATGCTTATGGTAGAGATGTGAAGTAGAACAAATTTGGCTTCATTGTGAGGAGTGACCGAATTTATTGACTAATCAATAGGTACTAGAAAATAGATGGATGAATTCATACAGACTAGGGTTTGGATCTGGGTTATCCACTTATGAGCTGAGGGACTTTGGGCAAACTACTGAAACTGTAAGTCTGGTTCTTATAAAGTTGTTCTAAGGATTAAATAAGATAGTGAATATGGGCAGTGTTTGTCACAGAGCAGGTGCTTATTATGTTAGTTGATTATTATAATTTTTAACTTTCACAATTTCAATGTGCTTTTGAAAGCTCCTTTTTTTTTCTGCACTTTCAAAAATGTGTGGCTAGGCTGGCTCAGTGGTTCCTGCCTGTAGTCTCAGCTACTCAGGAGTCTAAGGTGGGAGGATCACTGGAGCCCAGAAGTTTGAGACCAGCCTGGACCACATAGTGAGACCCCATCTCAAAAAAAAAAGGGTGGTTAGGAGGTATTAAATGCATTTTTTACAGTGTTAATGCTTTCTTATTCATAGAATTCAAGAATTGAAGTGCACTGAGATAAGGGAAGTTTTTGGAGAGAATGTAGACAGCTATCAGATTTAGTTTGAATATAATTATTTCTTTGTAGAAAGAGATATAGATATGTTTTATTTTTAAAATTTTTCTGTTAGCCAGGAGGTATTCTCATCTGACATAGAAAGATATTTTAACTGCAACTTTGATTTCTTTAATAACTGTAAGATTATTCAGTTATTTCTTTTTGAATATATTTGGTAAGCTATATATATATATTTTTTTTCCAAATCTTTTTTTTCTTTTTATTACTCCACTGTGACATTCCCAACCTATATATTTTTAAGGAATTTATGTTTCATCTAAATTTTCAAATTTATTGATATACAGCTATTGCTAAGTCTCTCTTTTTTACGTCTCTGGTTTATTTGTTATATTCTCTTTTTCTTTCATAATATTATTATTTAATGTCACTTGAAGTTTTCCCAATTTTCTAGTCTTTTCAAAGAACCAACCTTTGCCTTTGATTCTTCCTATTACTTTTGTTTTGTATTTCCTTGATTTCTGTCCACATCTATATTATCTGTTTTCTTCTAGTTCCCCTGACTTTATTTTGTAGTCATTTTTCAATATTCATAACTTTGACCTTAAAACCATTACTTCTCAAATTATTTTTTTTCTTTTCTAACTTAAGAATATAAGGCAGCCGGGTGCAGTGGCTCATGCCTGTAATCCTAGCACTCTGGGAGGCTGAGGTGGGTGGATCACTTGAGGCCAGGAGTTTGAGACCAGCCTGGCCAACATGGTGAAACCCTGTCTCTACTAAAAATCAAAAATTAGCTGGGTGTGGTTGCATGCACCTGTAATCCCAGCTACTCAGGAGGCTGAGGCACGAGAATACCGGAGGCGGAGGTTGCAGTGAGCAGAGATTCTGCCACTGCACTCCAGTCTGGGCAATAGAGTGAGGATCTGTATCACAAAAACAAACAAACAAACAAAATATATATATATAGCTATAAATTTTCCTCAAAGCACTACTTTTATTGTATTCTACAGTTTTGATGTGTATACACACACACACACACACACACACATTTTTTTTTTTTTGTAGAGATGAGGGTCTTGCTATGTTGCCCAGGCTGGTCTCAAACTCTTGCCCTCAAGCAGTCCTCCTGCCTTTGCCTCCCAAAGTGCTGGGATTACAGGTGTGAGCCACTATTCCTGGCCTGATAATATTCTTATCATGCTAGATATTTTTAGATTTCTGGTATATTTTTTCACTCACAAATTATTTAGAAGAATGGTTTTTAATTCCCAAATATTTAGAAACTTTTATTTTGTATTTTTATTATATTTAAACTTAATTGTGTTGTAGTTCGAGTACATGGTTGTATAATACTAATTCTTGAAATTTTTAGCCAACGATTCATTATCTAAAACCTGAGCTGTTGTGTAAATGCTCTATGTGCACACAAAAGAATGTGTACTCTAATTCTGGATGCACAATTTTATATGTCTGTTAAGTCAAAGTTGTTTTTAAAATATTCTATGTCTAATTTTCCCTGTAATTCAATCAATTTTAACTTTGTTTTGAGGCCACTTTATTAGGTGTGTATGTGTTTAAAAATGATTTGTCTTCCTGGTGAATTAAACCTTCTATTATTGTATTATGACCATCTGTATTACAAATAATGATTTTTATTCTTAGTCTGTTTTCTTATATGAATATGGCAACATCAGCTTTCTCTTAATATTAGTTCATATAGCTTTTTTCTATCCCTTTTAACCTTTCTAGGTCCCTATCTTCAGACATGTCTTATAAACAAAGTATAGCTCATTTACTTTTCAGGCTTAACTTTTTTTTTTTTTTTTTTTTTTTTACAAATTTGCCAATTTATTGTGATTCTTGATGTATTTCTGCTTATTTGATTATTGATACACTTGTTCTCTATTTTCCTACTATTTTACTTTGTTTCTAGTCACTTTTTGTTTTGTAAGTAGTTCATTCACAGTTGTGCAATATTCTAACTAGTCCTTATCTGCAGTTTTGGGGATCTAAATTTCTTCTTGGTTGTTTCTTCTGAGTCCTATTCACATTTCTTTGCTGTCTTGTATTTTTCATATTTTTTGTGAGTTCATACAGGATTTATTATGATCAAGGATCCCTGCAGGACTTACGTGGGGGAAATCTTCCCTTAGAAAGGTTTTGCTCCTGCCTCTGCTGGGTACCACACTACTCTGCATCAAAGGACCGCAGTAGCCTTTGAGAGTTTTGTTTCAGAACAGGAGTCTGAGACTCTGCTCCTCATCCTGTTGTTGTTTCAAGGATCTATATCCCCTTAACTTTTTTTGCTATGGGACTCCATTCCCATAACGACCTTGCTCCTTCCTAATGGCTATGGATGCAGGCTAGCTTCCTGCCACTCTTACTTTGTGCTTCTCTGATTGTTCCTGTTCTGACCCAAGTTCATTATTTCTCTAGTCTCAAGTAACGTGAATTTCTCCACTAGTTCCAGGCTTCTAAAGCCAGGCTCTGACGGTCTCGTACCTTCTGCATGTAGTTAGAGGCCAGTAACTCTCATTTGTTTCTTTGCTTTTCGTGGTGGTTACGGGTGTCCCTGGAGATTTCTCATGCTGATTGAGACCAGCAGTGCCTCAAATAATGTTTGTGTGGAGCTGGGGAAGGTGGGCCAGGGTTGCTTAGATTCCTAGTGACTCAATACTGGAAGCTGAAGTCTTAGGGATTCTTTCTTAATGATTTAGGACAGCATTTCCTATAGTACATTCCATGGATGCTTACTTTTCAAGATGTTAATAAGTATTATATGAAAAAAGGGTTTAATGGTCAAATAAGTTTGGGACTTTCACTTAAAATAAAATTAAATAGTTGTCTTTGCTTCAGGTCCTCTCAGGGCCTTTAATATATAAGTTAAGTCTGCCTTATCCAAAATGTGGGACCAGAAGTGTTTTACGTTTCAGATTTTTTTGGATTTTGGAATATTTGCATATATATAATGAGATATCTTGGGGATGAGACCCAAGTCTAAATGTAGAATTCATATATACCTATAGACATAGCCTAAAGATAATTTTATACAATTATTTAATACTTTTGTGCACAAAATAAAATTTGTGTACACTGAACCATCAGAAAGCAAAGGTATCACTGTCTCAGTCACTCATGTAGGCAGTCTGTGGTTGTCTGGCGGAAAAGATATATTGAAGCTGAATGGGGCAAGGAGGGGCTTTTTTCCTTTAGAGACGCTGAATAAACTTTGTGTTGTACACCTGTGTTTTGACTGTGCCCTGTCACGTAAAGTCAGGTATGGAGTGTCCTAATTGTGGTGTCATGTCAGTGCTCAGAAAGTTTCAGATTTTGGAGCATTTTGGATTTCAAAATAAGGTTGATTGTTATGCTGCTGCTAAGAGTAGAAGCAGAAACATCTTAGGAGAAATACAGTCTCTTGTAATCCAGACTAGTCACAAGATTGCCGACTCTTCTACTCTCTGCAGAGACAAGGATAGTTGTCCAGTGCTAAACTAGCCTGTACTTTTCCACCTTTCATTGTTGGCTTGAGGATGCTGCTCGGGAGACTGGCTCCTGAAGGATACCTTGGTAGCATTTCTGGATTTTCCTAGATGAATTCTGTATAGTTTAGGTAAGGCTGCTGATCTAGCCACTTAGCCAATGAATTAACGTTTTAATTTTCTTTTTTCTTCCAGATGTTTTCCGTAAGGTGGAAATGCCCTCTCAGTACTGCTTGGCCTTGCTAGAACTAAATGGAATTGGCTTTAGTACTGCAGAATGTGAAAGTCAGAAACATATAATGCAAGCCAAGCTGGATGCAATTGAGACCCAGGCCTATCAACTAGCTGGCCACAGTTTTTCTTTCACCAGTTCAGATGACATCGCTGAGGTTGTATCATGGGGCTAGGGATATAGATACATAATTTTTAGAGTTAAAATGATTGTGTGTGTGTGTGTGTGTGTGTGTGTGTGTATTTACCTGAACACCAAAGGTCAGTAAAATGAAACAGCCAGTTAACCAGATTGCTTTGGGAATATTCTAGCATCTAATTTGTAAATTATATCTGTATTTAATTTACAAATAAAGGAAGGTAATAAAGAGGACTTCTAGAATGTAAGCTCCTTGAGAAGGAGATTTGCCTGGAACGGAGGAGGGACTCACTAAGTATTTGTTGAAGAAATGATTGGTACTGGTGGTTGCATGACAGCATAGCTATTTTTCCAGGAAGTTGGTCATTTCATGAGCCCTTACCCCTTCCTTGCTTGCCCTAACATCTTTCTATAGAATAGGAAACTGGATATTTTTCTGAATTAAATGAAAAAGGGATTTTTTGCTCATGAATTCTCATCATTTAGCTTCCACTTATAAATGAGAACATGCAGTATTTGATTTTCTGTTCCTTCGTTAACATATTTAAAAGAAAATGAGGAACTTGGTTTCTCTTATTCATGTGTTGAATTCAGTGGTGCCTTTTTTTTTTCTTTTTGGTATCTGCTTTTCAAATCCCCAAGCCAATACCTAGCTGACTGCACATAAAATTACATAGGGAACTTATAGAAAATATAGAATCTCTGTTTCAGCACAAGTAGGTTTGGGGCAAAGGCAAGAATTGCTGCCCTTGTGATTCAGATGGGCCTGAAAGCATGTAAGCTACAGGCCTTGAGCAAATCCTGGACTAAGAGTAAAGGGCCTTTGATAGTATTGGCTTCTTCGTCCTGCATGTCAAAATGGCAGTTACCTGGAAGGTAGTTTGTATGTGAAGTTTCACAGTTAATTCTGAAAGCTTCACCCCCCCAAAAAAATGCTTAAGCTAAAGAACTTCTAAATATATAACTTGAGATATTTGTGTTGTCTTTAATCATAATGGGTCTCTCTTCCTGGGTTTGCTGCTTTATTATTACTTTAATAGTGTTTTATTTTTCCTATCCAGTTGCTTGGTTTTTTTTCTCCTATACTGCCATTCATGTACCCTTTGATACCTATATTAGGGTTGCCTGATAAAATATGGCACATCCAGTTTGAAATTTGTATTTCATCCTGTCATTTTTGAAAACATGGAGGAACCTGAAAGACGTTATGCTAAGTGAAATAAGCCAGTTACAGAAAGATAAGTACCATATGTTTCAGATGATCTCACTATATGTGGAATCCAATGAAGTTGAACTCCTCGAAGTGGAAAGTGGAACAGCTGTTACCAGAGGCTGGGGGAGTAGGGAGCGGGGAAATGGGGAGTTGCTAGTCAAAGGGTATAAAGTTTTAGATAGGGGAATGGGGAGTTGTTTATCAAAGGGTACAAAGTTTCAGATAAACAGGAGGAATCGATTCTAATATTTATTGTACACAAGGGTGACTACAGTCAATAGTAACGTATTATATATTTCAAAGTAACTAAGAGTAAATTTCAAATGTCTTACCATAAAAAATGATAAGTCTAAGTGTGGTGATCAATATGTTAATCAGCTTAATTTAATCACACCACATTGTATACTTACATCAAAACATCATCTTGTACCCCATGAATGTATACAACTATAATTTGTCAATAAAATCAGGTAAACAATGGATAACAATTTAGTATAAGTATGCCCCATGCAACTCAAATTTAACTGGGCATTTTGTAATTTTATTTGGTATATGTGGCAACCCTAATCCCTATACATGCATATGTTCATATCTGTGTAACATAGTTCTTGGGCTAAATAGTTACTGACATCTGTAGTAAGCCTCAGTACCTTTCATTCCTAAAACCCCAGTTCAAACTGGAACCAGATCATTGTTTCTGTCATCATTACCATTCTAGAGAAGTACAGGGATTATCTTCCCTTCCACCCCTGGCTCAACTTGTGGGAAAAATTCTTGTACTTACACAAATAGTTTCAATTTTTAGAATTATTACTGGGAAAATAATCCAAGGTTCATTAAAACCCACTCAAAGTATATAAGTGAATGATTAGGTATAGTAGATAATGTTCTGAATTGCCCTAGTTTCATCCCCTCTCATCTGAGCTTGTGAGTGTTACATGGGGTCTTCCACCTCCCACACAGCACAGTTCTGGTGTCTTCAGTGGGTGCTACCGGCCCTCTCTAGCATTCATTATTGCCACATTGTATTGGCCACCTTCTCCTAACTTTTTGTGCCTAGGGACTATCAGGGCCCAGCATTGTGGTGGTGGGACTAGATGACTTTTCAAACCCCTTCCTACTTTAGTGTTTTCTGATTTTTGTAATGAGACAATAGCCATGTAAGCTTCCATGTTGATCTATGGGGCTTAACTGATTGAGCAGCCTCATTTAGGAGAGCTCACAATTCTTAGAGCAATAAGTCTCAATGTCAATAACTTGTTTGCCAGTTGCTCAGCACAGTGTATATACGTGCCTGTGTTCCTGACTGCTTAAAAGCTGGCTGTGTGTGGTGGCTCATGCCGATAATCCCACCACTTTGGGAGGCTGAAGCAGGTGGGTTGCTTGAGCTTAGGAGTTTGAGACCACCCTGGCCAACATGGCGAAATCCTGTCTCTACCAAAGATACAAAAATTAGGTGGGCATGGTGGTGCATGCCTGTGGCCCTAGCTACTCGGGAGGCTGAGGTGGGAGGATCACTTGAGCCCAGGAAGTCAAGGCTAGAGTGAGCTGTGATCACACCACTACACTCTGGCCTGGGTGACAGTGAGATCCTGTCTCAAAAAAAAAAAAAAAAAAAGGCCTTGTGTTAGTATTAATTAATCTGATAGTGTCTAATTAGAGTATGGATAGACTACCTGACATATAAATTTTGATTGCCATCATTTATTAAATATGGTAATTCCAAATTATCCACAGAAACATTATTTCAATCCATGTTGAACTGTAGAGATTGTTTTCTGAAATAACTTAAAATATTTTCTGAATGATAATCCTTGCAAGTTTCATTCTTGACTAAAGAGACATTAATTTCTTGCAGGTTTTATTTTTGGAATTGAAGTTGCCCCCAAATAGAGAGATGAAAAACCAAGGCAGCAAGAAAACTCTGGGTTCTACCAGAAGAGGGATTGACAATGGACGCAAGCTAAGGCTGGGAAGACAGTTCAGCACTAGTAAGGTGCTCTTTGGGGCAGTCACAGAGCAGGGCAGAACCTAAACTACTTTTAACATTTTGGTGTCTAGAAAGAATGCTGATGAAATCAACATCTTAGCCTACCATTTGAATTTACCCAGATATAAATTAACACATTGGTTTGTGGTTTGGTAGCCCACAAATTCTGTGGAGATATTCCAGCATGGAAAATCCGAATCATAAGTTAGCAGTTGTGTCCTTCCTTCCTATCATTAAAATGGTGTAAAGGTTTATAAAGGTGTACCACCATGCCTGGCTAATTTTTGTATTTTTAGTGGAGATGGGGTTTCACCATGTTGGCCAGGCTGGTCTTGAACTCCTGACCTCAAGGGATCCTCCCGCCTCAGCCTCCCAACGTGCTGGGATTACAGGCATGAGCCACTGCACCAGGCCCTGATTTAAGAATTTAATCTGCTAATTTCAAAGTACAATTGTTAATCATAATCCATGGAAACTGTACACATTAGTGGGAGGGAAGAGAGAAGGGGCTTAATTTTACATTTTTACAGATGTTTCAGGGGAAAAATAGGGTAGAAAATATAGCCACAGAGCTGTCCAAGTTGCCCTTGTGTAGAATTGTGGTCCTTATACCGTTATCTATGATTTGTCTGCTCCTAGGAAGTTTCCTTAGCTCCAGGCTATAGCACAATTTTTAATTTAATCTCACTGGCCCTTTTACTCACAAGTTTCTGTTCCTTAATAGTTCACTGAAAGTCTATAGTATGAAAAATTCAAAGTTTTAAAAATAAATGTCTCCTGATTACCTTGATATGGAAACCGTATAAGTATCCGGGCAAGCACAAAAACAACTGGGATACTTCCAGTCATGTGAGGAGCGAAGGAGGAAAATGCATAAAGAAAACAGATGGTGTAAAATAAACTTTTGGTCGGGTGTGGGGAGGCAGTTACTTTGTTAAACTGACAATTCATTTATTTTTTTGAAAAAGGTAGTTTTAAATTGATACTGCTCAGTATTACCACATTTCCATTTTGTAAACTGTAGTTATAGTTTTATCAATACGGTGGTTTAAAAAACTCCAAGTAATAGTTTTGAGTTGTCGATATTACTCTCAAATTTAATTTTGAGACTGTATTATTTACAGAAAAGAGATTCTAGCTTGCTGTGGAATTTGGACAAGAATTCAATCTTACCTTATATTTTTTTGGCAGGACGTTTTAAATAAATTAAAGGCATTACATCCTTTACCAGGCTTGATATTAGAATGGAGAAGAATCACTAATGCTATTACCAAAGTGGTCTTTCCCCTTCAGCGGGAAAAGTGTCTTAATCCTTTTCTTGGAATGGAAAGAATCTATCCTGTATCACAGTCGCACACTGCTACAGGTGATGAGAAATCTTAAGTATAAACAATATCCAATTTTGAAGGAAAAGCATTTTCATATGTAATATTTTTTATGATGGCCAAGAATTCAAGTGTTGATCAAGGGGTTCGGTGAAGTTTTACAACTATAAAATACATGCTTTATCCAAAGCATAGATAGATACTACCTGGGTACAGAGATGAGTATTGGTTCCTGCTTTTATTTTTATTTATTTATTTATTTATTTATTTTGAGACAGAGTTTCACTCTTGTTGGCCAGGCTGGAGTGCGGTGGCACGATCTCAGCTCCCTGCAACCTCCACCTCCCTGCAACCTCTGCCTCCCAGGTTCAAGTGATTCTCCTGCCTCAACCTCCCGAGTAGCTGGGATTACAGGCGCATACCACCACATCTGGCTAATTTTTGTATTTTTAGTAGAGATGGGGTTTCGTCACATTGATCAGGCTGGTCTCGAACTCCTGACCTCAGGTGATCCACCTGCCTCGGCCTCCCAAAGTGCTGGGATTACAGGCGTGAGCCACTGCGCCCAGCCTGGTTCCTGCTTTTAAGAACTTGTATAGAGTAACTGGGATGTCTGAGACAGTACTTTCAATGTGAGTATACACAGGAATTAAATATTTGAGTCAGTGGTCTTATCTAATTTCAGTCCCAGCCCTTTTTTGAGCCTCTTAAGATTTCTCCAAGTTGAATCTGAGTAGGCCTCTGGGGCATCCGTATAAGTAAGTGTCTTATTTTACCCAAGCAGAAAAGAAAGCTGTAGAGTCCTTTGGTTATCTCATGGTCCTCCTGAGATAAGTAAGAGTGTAATCTTATGAAGAAAAATGTATTCTTTCTCTAGGCAGTACAAAACTCTAAATATTTGCTAAATGTGATGTGTAGTGGAAGAAAAGGTAGCTTTAACTCATTCATAGAGGAGGCAGGCAGTTTAGATTGGTGGTATAGAATGTGGGCTTTGACATCAGAAATCAGGGTTTGAATCCTGGTTCTGTGAATCTTTAGACAAGATACTTAACCTCTCAATGCCTACATTTTTTTTCATGTATAAAACAAGGTAATAGGCTGGGCACAGTGGCTGCCGCCTGTAATCCCAGCACTTTGGGAGGCCAAGATGGGAGGGTCACTTGAGCCCAGGAGTTTGAGACTAGCCTGGGCAAGATAGTGAAACCATGTCTCTATAGAAAGTCAAAACCATGTCTCTATAGAAAGTCAAAAAATTAGCCATGTGTGGTATCTTGTGCCTGTAGTCCCAGCCACTTGGAAGGCTGAGGTAGAAGGATTGCTTGAGCCTCGGAGATCAAGGCTACAGTGAGCTGTGATTGAGCCACTGCACTTCAGCCTGGGCAACAGAGTGAGACCCTGTCTCAGTCAATAAATAAACCAATAAACGAATAAGGTAATAACAGTCTCACCCCACCTGGTAATTCTGAGGATTAAATAGGTTCATAGATGTAGGGTATTTAGAATAGTGCATGGCTCCTAGAAAGTGCTCACTATCAGTTGCTGCTGTTACCCAGCACGGAGGCTCCATGAGGTGCTGCTTTTCTCTGCTTGCTTTATCCCTTGTTCTAAACATTCTAAACTTGTCCCATCCTAGTGATATCTTGTCCTGTTGGTATTTAAATTTCACTTTGAAACATATGCTAATGATATAAACTTACGTAAAATAAAATCCTCCGTGATGAAAAGACAACATCAACCTAGAATTTTCTTTTATTTATTTATTTATTTATTTTTGAGACAGAGTCTCGCTCTGTCGCCAGACTGGAGTGCAGTGGCGTGATCTCGGCTCACTGCAACCTCCGCCTCCTAGGTTCAAGTGATTCTCCTGCCTCAGCTAATTTTTGTATTTTTAGTAGAGACAGTGTTTCACTATATTGGCCAGGATGGTCTCAATCTCTTGACCTCGTGATCCACCCACCTCAGCCTCCCAAAGTGCTGGGATTACAGGCATTAGCCACCACGCCCAGCAACCTAGAATTTTCAATGGTGTTGCACATTTATTTGTTCTTTACAAAACAGAAGATAAAATCAGTAATAAGCCTTCTGCTTTGTTATTTGTTCGTAAAGAACAAATAAATGTGCAACATTTCTTTTGATTTTATTACTGATTTTACTTATTAGTGATTTTAGAAATGTATTTTAATAATATTTTATAATGCTTATAATATTTAGAAATACAAACTTAAGCATAGCAAAGCCATTTCATGAATATACTTCATATCCATTAAGCTATATATTCATTCTTTGTAATTTATTTTTACCATTTTTTTTGGTCTGCCAGTGTTGCTTCATTAATTCAACTAATAGACCAGAGTAGTGTGCTGAATATTAAGTGTTATAGAAAAGAAGACAATGTGTTGATGTAAAAAGAGCCTTGGATGCCTTCCTCTGCTGTTTGTTAGCTTTGTAACACTGAACAGGCCATTTAATGTCAACAATTATGTTAAAGGTTATCATTAACTGAGCACTTATTTTGTGCTAAAAGCTAAATGACAAAGACATAATATTAGGGGATCATTCAAAAAAACAACGTCCAAGTCACTTAAAAGGTCTGATTTATCAGAAGATAATGGAGTTATACATAGCTAGTAGACAGCCTGTTACAATGAAGAGTGTGTCATAAAATAGAGTTTTAGTGTTGCTGATAGTGTTATAAAAAATCACAGTAACAAAATTTCTCAAACTTTTTTGGAGTGATACTTAACATGTTTTCATGTTTTAGAGAAATTCAACCAATAAGTAAACAAAAGATGTAAAATATATTTGGAAATAAAGGCTTTATAAGCATTTTTTTTTTTTTTTTTTTGAGACAGTCTCACTCTGTTGCCCAGGCTGGAGTACAGTGGCATGATCTCGGCTCAGTGCAACCTCCGCCTCCCAGGTTCAAGCAATTCTCCTGCCACAGCCTCCTAAGTAGCTGAGGATTGCAGGCACCCGCCATCATGCCCAGCTAATTTTTTGTGTTTTTAGTGGAGACGGGGTTTCACTATGTTGGCCAGGCTTATAAGCATTTTTTTAAAAAACAGCTTTCTGTTCACTGGAAAATTTACTATTAACCACCTGATTCAAGTCTCACCTGATTCAGTACTTCTAGTAAGTACTGTTGTAGATTCTCTTGATGAATGACAATGATGAAGAAAAACAGCCAGATGATGTCTGAAAGTGTTGTTTTTAGAAGCGTCAGTGGTTGTTTCTCCTAAGATCCATTTGATTAGCCTTTACTCATTAATATGACCGCTAACATGTTATAGTGCTGAAATCTGATACTCATTTTAGCATAAGACTAGTTCAGTTTATCAAATTACTTCTCATTGTGCGATGGTTTTCTGTGTAAAACATAGTAGTGTAGCCAATTCATACATTCATTTATTTGGGATGGTCTTGTACTTATTTTATCATTGTTAGACACATGAACATGATGAAAAATATTTAAATATAAATGTATTTCAGTTCAGCATTGATAGTCTGCATTTTTAAGATAATCCAGAAATGTGAATACTGTTAAGACAAATACTAGATTTTTTTTCCTGATTTTATGTCTTTATTCTGCTTGATTTTAGGACGAATAACCTTTACAGAACCAAATATTCAGAATGTGCCAAGAGATTTTGAAATCAAAATGCCAACACTAGTAGGAGAAAGCCCACCTTCTCAAGCTGTAGGCAAAGGCCTACTTCCCATGGGCAGGTAGGTGCTGTTTCTCTGTATCTGTATTAATAAACTTTTGTAAGTATGAATGGCTCAAAATAGCTTATTAGACAAATAAATGAAATTAATTTAATTTTATGTTTCAGACATACCCATTTCTGTCCTAGACCGTTTTGAATCCTGAGTCCCATCTATAAAGAAGCTAATTCATGTTTAATTCAATGTTTGCTAAAAAAAGTTCTAGTATCTTTGTTAAGCTTTAAAGTGAGTCTCAGATAAAGATTTGGTTTTCTTTGTTTGTTTGTTTTTTTGAGACGGAGTCTTGCTCTCTTGCCCAGGCTGGAGTGCAGTGGTGCGATCTCAGCTTACTGCAACCTCCACCTCCTGGGCTCGAGCAATCCTCCCACCTCAGCCTCCTGAGTAGCTGGGACCACAGGCGTGTGCCACCATGCCTAGCTAGTTTTTGTAGAGACAAGGGTCTCACTTTGTTGCCCTAACTAGACCCGAACTCCTGGGCTCAAGCAATCTACTCGCCTCGGCTTCCCAAAGTGCTGGTATTACAGGTGTGAGCTACCACACCCAGCCCTCAGTAAGGTTTTTATTAAGTTTCTTAGACGGAAATACTGATGTTACTGAAAATCAGACCTTTTTCATATATTTGAGACTGCTTCATGTCTAACTGATGATGTTGTTTGCACCACAGAGGAAAATATAAGAAGGGTTTCAGCGTGAATCCTAGATGCCAGGCACAGATGGAGGAGAGAGCTGCAGACAGAGGAATGCCATTTTCAATTAGCATGCGACATGCCTTTGTGCCTTTCCCAGGTAAGGTGGCTGATAGCTTTGAAGCTTCTCATTGCTGTGAGAATGTTTTTCAAAGCATGGATAAAGCCTGAAATATGAGTGAGACTTAGAGCATGCATTGGTCCCTCCATCTTTCTGTCTACGGTGGAGCCTGCCTTTCTCCTTTGTCATGCCAGGTTTATAGCAGTCATCATCTCCATGATCTGCTCTGTGGGAAACTTTTATGGTGTGTGCTCAGCAGCAGCAGTCTGCTGAAACCATGTTTTCTAACGTCATTGTAAACCTCTTTGCAAAGTCCAGTTGGTTTTGTCAGTCTTCATCCTCTTTAACTTGTTTACAGCATTTGTCACTGTTAATCAACTCCTTCTTCAATTTCTCTTCTCCCTTGACCTCTAAGGGCAGTTTTTCTCTCCTTCTAACTTGTTTGCTTTTATGTTTTTTCTCTCTTTTTCTGCACTGCTGCTTCCTATTGCATGGGGTGGCCCCTAAGGCTATTCTCATTCTGCCTGACCCCTCCTCAATACTCTAGTCATAAACCTTTTGTTGTCAAGACATTTGGAAGTTATGATGTAACTTGCAGATCATTCCAACTGTTAGTATACATATTTGTTCTTTAATCTTTCACCAGCTAGCAAGTCCTAGTGAGTACAATTAACCATCTGAATTTATTTAAATTCCATCAGAAACTTATATGCCAATGGTGAATTCAGACCTATGATGACATGTCCTGCTTGGCAATTTTTAGTTTTACTTATGTCTAAACTATCAGCATACACAATTCTATCAAAGTTATCCAAGGGAGTCCCCAGAAAGTCTATGTGGTGTATGGTAATTTTTTTTTTTTTTTTCGAGATGGAGTTTCCCTCTTGTTGCCCAGGCTGGAGTGCAATGGCGTGATCTCGGCTCAGCGCAACCTCTGCCTCCCAGGTTCAAGTGATTCTCCTGCCTCAGCTTCCCGAGTAGCTGGGATTACAAGCATGGGCCACCATGCCTGGCTAATTTTGTATTTTTAGTAGAGACAGGGTTTCTCCACGTTGGTCAGGCTGGTCTCGAACTCCCAACTTCAGGTGATCCGCCTGCCTCGGCTTCCCAAAGTGCTGGGATTACAGGCGTGAGCCACTGCGCCTGGCTAAGGTGTATGGTAATTTCTTTCTTTCTTTTTTTTTTTTTTTTTTTGAGACGGAGTCTCACTCTCGCCCAGGCTGAAGTGCAACAGAGTTTTCTTAAAACTCATGAATCAGTTTTTTTTTTTTTTTCCTTGCAGCTTCCTCACCCCTCTCAGCCTTCATAGAAATTCTGGAGTAGGAAAATGCAATTGACATACTGAATAGTACATCAGAGTCTCCTTGCTCTGGATTAGACTTTGGCTTAAGAGAATGTTGTGGCTGGTTTCATTTTTTTTATCCAGACCACTTAAATTTTCTCCATATTAGCAATAAGCCTGTTTTGCCTTCTTATCATTTGTGTGTTCAGCGTAGTAACACTTTTAATTTCCTTCAAGAACTTTTCCTTTGCATTCACAACTTGGCTAACTGTATGGCACAAGAGGCCTAGCTTTCAACCTATCTCAGCTTTTGACATGCCTTCCTCATAAGCTTAATCGTTTCTAGCTTTTTGGTTTAACGTGAGAGAGATGCGACTTTCCCTTTCACTTGAACACTTAGAGGCCATTGCCATTGTAGGGTGATTAATTGGCCTAATTTTAATATTGTATCTCAGGGAATAGGGAGTTCTGAGAGAGATGGGAGAAAGGTGGGGGAACAGCCAGTCAGTGGAGTAGTTAGAACACACACAAAATTGATCAATGAAGTTCACTCTTACATGAGTGTGGTTCATGGATTGTAATAATAGTAATATCAAAGATCACCATAACAGATAATAATGAGAGGGTTTGAAATAATGTGAGCATCACTATTAATAAAATGTGCCAGAGTGAGCACATGCTGTTGGAAAAATGGTGCTGAAACACTTGCTCCACTCAGAGTTGCCAAAAACCTTTAATTTCTTTAAGAAAAAAACCTGCAATATCTGTGAGGCATAATAAAGTCAAGTCCAATAAAGCAAGGTATGCTTGATTTTATAAAACTTATGTTTTGAAAAAGTAGATCACACGCCCAAGTTGTTTCAAACATACTCAAAAGTATTTCTCACAAGGCATGGTGGCTCACACCTGTAATCCCAGCACTTTGGGAGGCTGAAGCAGGAAGATCGCTTGAGTCCAGGACTTCATGACCAGCCTGGGCAACAAAGGGAGACCCCATCTTTACAGAAAGTCAAAAAATTAGCTAGGCATGGTGGTGCGCACCTGTAGTCCCAGCTACTCAGGACGCTGTGGTGGGAATATCATGTCACTTGAGCCCTGGAGGTTGGGGCTGCAGTGAGCCATGATCATGCCACTGCACTCCAGCCTAGGCGAAAAAGCAAGACCCTATGTCAAAAAAAAAAAAAAGAAAAAAGAAAAAAAACATTTCCAGTAACTGAATTGAGTACCAGAAACTCATTTTTTAAAAAATTGCATCTGATTGACAAAGCTGGTTCATCTTTTTTTAGAAGTATTAATTTGACTTTGAAGCAGAAACATCCATTACAAAACAATGTCTATACAAGTTAAGTAAATTTACTAATTCTTATGTTACTCATTATTACAAGTTAAGTATCCTTTATCTCAAATCCTTGGGACCAAAAGTATTTCAGATTTTGGAATATTTGTGTATACATAATGTGATGTCTTGGGGATGGGATCCAAGTCATAATGTGAAATTTATGTTTCATATACATCTTATAGACATAGCCTAAAGGTAATTTATACAATATTTTAAATTTTGTTCATGAAACAAAGTTATAACTTTGACCTGTTACAAGAGGTCGGTTGTGGAACTTTCCACTTGTGGCATTATGTCAGTGCTCAGAAAGTTTTAGATTTTAGAACAGTTTGGATTTTGAATTTTCAGATTAGGGATGCTGTACCTACAGTATGTCAAATTCAAAGGAGTATTACTTAAATAAAAAAGCGACTCTAAATTCATCAACATCAGAGCATTTTTAAAAATTTTTAATATTTTCAGTTTATATAACATGTTGATTGTAATTAAACTATACTGCATATTGATTTATGCTTTAAAAATGCATAAAATTATTATTATTATTGTTGTTGTTGTTGTTGTTTTTGGTAGAGATGGGGGTCCCACTATGTTACCCAGGCTGGTCTGGAACTCCTGGGCTCCTCCAGGAGTGATCCTCCAGCCTTGGCTTCCCAAATTATTGGGATTACAGGTGTGAGCCACTGCACCCAGCCCATTATTAATTTGTTTTATGAAAAGTTTTCATTTCCAAATACATTCTCTTACCTGTCTAGCTAGGTCAGAAGTACATTTTTCGCTTTCTTGGAGCCTCAAATATATGCTGTGTGATATCAGTCAAAAAACATAAACCACATTGTTCTTTTTGTCTTTGATTACTGAATACTTGGCAAATGTTCTTTTGTTTCAAGAAAATATTGAACTGGAGTACAGTTAATCTTTGTAGGACTCTCATGAATCAAACAAGGAGCTTTGACAGAGTATACAAGATTGTTAAATTCATTGTTGGAAATTTTCAACAGTTCTTAAGTTGGTGATGACTCAGCATTTGTACACATACATAAAATAATTTTAACTGTATTGTAACACTTTTGATGGTCTGATTTAGAAAACTAAACATAAATCTTTTTTATATATATAGTGGAATGAAGAAATAGGGAAACATCATTCTCCTGTTTAAAAATCTAAAAAAAAGAAGTTTTTAATGACAAAGCTAGAGCATTGTCTATATGATGAAAACTAATTTTTTCATATCTACTTAAAATTCTTCTTTGACAAATGTAAAAGATTCCAAAATATCTATGCCACTGGTTTGATTTTGTAAGCTAAGAATGGTGTTTTCTTTATAAATTTGGAAGTCCACTGAGACAAAGCCTATTCAGAATATTAATTAAGCAGTTTCTCTGTTATGGGACAATTTATCCAAAGCCAAAAAAGAAACACTTGCAATTTGATTGATCTATCATACTGTTAGGTTACCTATAGAATCTATAGGTAATTGTTTGGTGGTGTATTAGTCCGTTGTCATGCTGCTAATAAAGACCTACCTGAGACTGGGTGATTTATAAAGGAAGGAGGTTTGATGGACTCACAGTTCCACATTGCTGGGGAGGCCTCACAATCATGGTGGAAGATGAAGGAGAAGCAAAGGGACATCTTGACATCTTATATGGTGGCTGGCAAGAGCTTATGCAGGGGAACTCCCATTTATAAAACCATCAGATCTCGTGAGACGGACTCACTACCATGAGAACAGTATGGGGGAAACCACCCCCATGATTCATTTATCTTCACCTGACCTCTTGACATGTGAGTTTTGTTACAATTCAAGGTGAGGTTTGGATGGAGACATAGCCAAACCTTATCAGGTGTGTTATTTGAAGATCTTTTGCTTTTTGTAAAATGTGATTGATTCTTGTTATTCATGGTAGTTGCATTCTACAAAGCCACAATGAACACTAAATTAAACAAATATTGAAGCATTGCTGCTAGTATGCGGACGTTATGGTTGCCACCTTGTTGAATCTTTGGATTTTGTAGTCTTCACTAATAGAATATAAGGTTTTCTTTTGTCAGACAATTTACTTTCACATCAGCTTGGTCATTTTGAGGCTTTTAAAGCTTTGCTAACAAATGTTTAGAGTAGCCTGCACTCTAGGGCTAGGTTATTCCTGTTCATAAGGTGTGGCCTTTCTGGAGTCTACTTGGTGCTAAAGTTGTTTAACAAGATCTCTTCTCAGTCTTGTTTGTTACAGCTTGATCATTTCTCAGCATTCAAGAATATGTTGTTGAAGTAGTTGTTCAGCTGAAAGCTATGCAGTATTTGTTCTTCCTTTAGTAATATTTATTTCTTCAGTGTCTGTTCTTTGGCGCCCTGCACTTTCCCCCTGCACAACTTAATATTTGGTCAAAAATCCAAGGGAATTCCTGTGTGTATTTCTGGTGCTCCTTTTATGCACAACTCTTTTCTCTCCAAATTCCAGCTGCCTCAAAGCCCCAAACTCTAGACTGTGTTTCCTTAGTTCAGAGACAGATACAGCGCTGTGCTTCAGCTCCCTTTCCCTGCTACAGATTCTGGAAAATGCCTCCATTCAGATCCCTGAGACCTTTGTGTGGCTCACCTCATTTTCTTCCATTCTCAGTGATTATAGTTCTGCATGGCTTGTTGTCTAACATCTGAGAACCATTTTTTTTTTCCCATATAATTTGTCCAATTTTGTGGTTGTCTGTGGTAGGAAGTCCACCAAAGTTGTGGCCATTTACAGTTTGAGTATCCCTTGTGTGAAATGCTTGGGACTAGAAGTGTTTTAGATTTTGATTTTAGAATATTTACACTATTTAGAATATTTACCAATTGAACATTTCTAATCCAAAAATCCATTATCTGAAATGCCCCAGTGAGCGTGACGTTTGAGCATCTCGTTGGTGCTCAAAAGTTTTGGATTTTGGAGCATATTGGATTTTGGAATTTTGGATTAGGGATGCTCAACCTGTATTTTAAATTAGTATTTATCTCTGTTTTTGAATAGGTTATTCATTAACATAGTTCAGAAATCAACATGATATAAAAGATGTGTATTGGGAAGCTTTGCTTCCTTCCCTGTCATCTACACTATCCTTCCCAATTCTTATAGATTACTACATGTATGAGGCCTTTTATGTATTTTGACAGTATTTCTTTATGCAGATATAAGCAAATATGGGTATATAATCTTTTCCTATTTTTACACAAAATTAGCATTCTGTATACATTATTGTGTACCTTGCTTTTTTCATGTAATGTTTCTTTTTCTTTCTTTTTTTTTTTTTTTGAGACGGAGTCTCACTCTGTCACCAGGCTGGAGTACAGCGGTGGGATCTCAGCTCACTGCAACCTCCAACTCCCTGGTTCAAGCAATTCTCCAGCGTCAGCCTCCCGACTAGCTGGGATTACAGGCATGCTCCACCACTCCCAGCTAATTTTTGTATTTTTAGTAGAGACAGAGTTTCACCATGTTGGCCAGGATGGTCTCGATCTCCTGACCTCGTCATCTGCCTGCCTTGGCCTCCCAAAGTGCTAGGATTACAGGCATGAGACACTGTGCCTGGCTGTAATGTTTCTATACTAGAGATTTGTGCTTATCAATAAGGACATTTAAACAAAAACCAGTTTAAACTATGTTCAGGTAGTCTGTGCAGCAGTCTGTGGGCTTGTTTGCTGAGTCATAGAGTAAAAACCTGTTTAATTTCGATAGACACTGTTAAATTGCCAGCGAATGGGGAGGAGATTCCATTTTACTTCTCAGTAACAATGTACGAGTGTTTTTCTCCTCAGCCTTGTCACAGAGTGTTGTCCAACTTTTGTAATTTTTGCAATACAGGTGAAGAAAAATTGTTTCTTGCCATAGATTTTTTATTTCTCTTATGAAGCTGAGCATTCTTTAATATGTTTAAGGTTCTTTTGTTTTTATTATGTCTGAACTTCTTATTTATAGTTTGTCTTTTCCTCCACAAGTAACAACTCTTCTTATGAAAGGGCAATGAGTCTTTTGTGAGATCAGTTGCAAATATTTTTCTAATTTTTCTTTGACCCTGCTTTTATTTTTTTAACTTTGTTTTTGTTTTGTCATGCATATCTAATCCACCCATTTCTAATCTATAGGTAAATTATTTTAATCGTTTTAATAACTTGCTCACCTGTTGACCACTTGATTTTTTTCACTGAATGACTTTGTTATTGTCAAATCAGGGCACACATTTCTCTCCAGCCCACTTAACATTTGCACACATTGGACACCAGTTTTTTCATTAATTAATTCATTCAACAAGCATTTGTTAAGGGCCTATTATCTATCAGCAACTGTGCAAGCTTTTCTGTAGAATGAAAAGGAAAATTAAGCTTCCTATTCTTAAGTACTCAGAGCAAAATAAGAGAGGCATGAAAGCACCATTTTGGATTATGTGCCAGGTGCTGTAGGAACACTGAGGAACACACTCCACGGTGGGCAGATGTCAGGGTGGCTTTACCCATATTATATATACTTGAAAGCTACATGGAAAAAAATGACCTAAGATACAGAGCTGAATTCCATCATATTAAGAGGAAGGTTTTAACTTTTGACATGTGATTTCAAAGTTCTAAGTTAGAACAAAATTTTTGTCATCCTGCTCAATTATATGATATAGAACTTGGATTGTGTGATATAGAAACTTTGTACTAGCTTTTCTGAAATCACTTCTACTTCAGGTGGTTCAATACTGGCTGCTGACTACTCTCAGCTTGAACTGAGGATCTTGGCTCATTTATCCCATGATCGTCGTCTCATTCAAGTGTTAAACACTGGAGCTGATGTTTTCAGGAGCATTGCAGCAGAGTGGAAGATGATTGAGCCAGAGTCTGTTGGGGATGATCTGAGGCAGCAGGCAAAACAGGTGATTTTAGTGAACATGGTTAATATAAAGGAGAAGAATTTAGTGACTCAAAAAAAATTAAAAATGGTCTCAATTATTTGCAGCTGAGAAACAGTTTCTCCAACTTTGGATCTTTCAAAGCACAGTTCATCTGAGCTTATCTCATGGTATTCATTATATTTTCTTTTGTGGAGGCAGTAGGAAGAACCAAAAAGACTGAGATCTGAGGCTACTTCGTGTCAGGAAAACCATATGCATTTAAAGCCATTATATGGCTAGTCACAGTGCCTGGTACTCACTAGATGTCATGGTGGTAGTGGTGGTCAGAGTGCGTGTGTTCGTACACACCCGCATGTGTGCACATATGTATACTTAAAAAACATCTTTCCAGGCCGGGCGCGGTGGCTCACGCCTGTAATCCCAGCACTTTGGGAGGCTGAGGCGGGCGGATCATGAGGTCAGGAGATCAAGACTATCCTGGCTAACACAGTGAAACCCCGTCTCTACTAAAAATACAAAAACTTAGCTGGCCGTGGTGGTGGGTGCCTGTAGTCCCAGCTACTTGGGAGGCTGAGGCAGGAGAATGGCGTGAACCCAGGAGGCGGAGCTTGCAGTGAGCCGAGATAGCGCCACTGCACTCCAGCCTGGGTGAAAGAGCAAGACTCCATCTCGAAAAACAAAAAAAAAAAAAAAAAAAAAAATCTTTCTAGTCTGTAAGTGTTCTGAGGTAAAGTTCCATATTTTCATTTTTATATCTTTTATAGCATCAAGCCATAGTGCTTTGTACAGAAGGTGGTCTCTAAATGTTTGTTGAAAAAATATTGCTGACCTGTAGATTATAGTTAGTACCTGATAGCTTTTTAGCCGTTGAAGTTATTGGTTAGTAATCTACCTATGAAACTTCATGCTGCCTTTGTAACTTTGAAATGGATCCATGTTAGTTTCTACTCTGGATAACTATTAGGCAAAGAGTAAGTCAGAGGCCACATTTATACCATTCCTTGGCCTGGGTTAACACTGATACTTTCTTACCACATGACCCGTGGGAAATCTGATGCCATTTGCAAGACAGTAGGATTGCTAGCTGAGGTAAATGCACACCACCGTACTCTGAGATCCTGCTGTTTTTGTTTCGCATTTACATTTCTAGTTCCTCACAGTTGTAGTTTTTGTGTGTGTGTGTGGAGAGGTGAGGTCTCAATTTGTCGCCCAGGGTGGTCTTCAACTCCTGGCGTCAAGTGATACTTCCAACTTGGCCTCCCGAAGTGCTGGGATCGTAGGCATGAGCCACTGCACCCAGCCTCACAGCTGTACTTCTTGACTGGCTCATCAAGCATGGAACA
Organism: Homo sapiens; assembly: GCF_000001405.40. Classification (NCBI taxonomy): domain Eukaryota; kingdom Metazoa; phylum Chordata; class Mammalia; order Primates; family Hominidae; genus Homo; species Homo sapiens. The sequence goes on along the minus strand of NC_000003.12, from coordinate 121,458,727 downwards.
CTTTCTCTAACCACCTGTTTAGCACCAACACTTGTTTCTTCCACTATTTAAAAAGCCAGCTCTGTCCTCTCTGTCTGTTTAATCCCTGGAGAGGTTCTGCATTTAGCAAGAATCAAACCCTAGGTAAAATAGATAATATTCCCATATTTAATTCTCATAACCCATGAGATAGCTATTATTATTACTATCACCATTTTATAGAGGAGGAAACTGAAGCACAGAAAGTAATTTGCTTAAGGTCATGCAGCTATAAGTGGTAGACCAAGAATAAATTCAGAATGCCAGAACTTGGGCACCCGACTTCCTTTTATTTATTTATTTATTTATTTTTATTTTATTATTATTATACTTTAAGTTTTAGGGTACATGTGCACAATGTGCAGGTTAGTTACATATGTATACATGTGCCATGCTGGTGTGCTGCACCCATTAACTCGTCATTTAGCATTAGGTATATCTCCTAATGCTATCCCTCCCCCATTCCCCCACCACACAACAGTCCCCAGAGTGTGATGTTCCCCTTCCTGTGTCCATGTGTTCTCATTGTTCAATTCCCACCTATGAGTGAGAACATGCGGTGTTTGGTTTTTTGTTCTTGCGATAGTTTACTGAGAATGATGATTTCCAATTTCATCCATGTCCCTACAAAGGACATGAACTCATCATTTTTTATGGCTGCGTAGTATTCCATGGTGTATATGTGCCACATTTTCTTAATCTAGTCTATCATTGTTGGACATTTGGGTTGGTTCCAAGTCTTTGCTCTTGTGAATAGTGCCGCAATAAACATACGTGTGCATGTATCTTTATAGCAGCATGATTTATAGTCCTTTGGGTATATACCCAGTAATGGGATGGCTGGGTCAAATGGTATTTCTAGTACTAGATCCCTGAGGAATCGCCACACTGACTTCCACAATGGTTGAACTAGTTTACAGTCCCACCAACAGTGTAAAAGTGTTCCTATTTCTCCACATCCTCTCCAGCACCTGTTGTTTCCTGACGTTTTAATGATTGCCATTCTAACTGGTATGAGATGGTATCTCATTGTGGTTTTGATTTGCATTTCTCTGATGGCCAGTGATGATGAGCATTTTTTCATGTGTCTTTTGGCTACATAAATGTCTTCTTTTGAGAAGTGTCTGTTTATGTCCTTCGCCAACTTTTTGATGGGGTTGTTTGTTTTTTTCTTGTAAGTTTGTTTGAGTTCATTGTAGATTCTGGATATTAGCCCTTTGTCAGATGAGTAGGTTGCGAAAATTTTCTCCCATTCTGTAGGTTGCCTGTTCACTCTGATGGTAGCTTCTTTTGCTGTGCAGAAGCTCGTTAGTTTAATTAGATCCCATTTGTCAATTTTGGCTTTTGTTGCCATTGCTTTTGGTGTTTTAGACATGAAGTCCTTGCCCATGCCTATGTCCTGAATGGTATTGCCTAGGTTTTCTTCTAGGGTTTTTATGGTTTTAGGTTTAACAAGTAAGTCTTTAATCCATCTTGAATTAATTTTTGTATAAGGTGTAAGGAAGGGATCCAGTTTCAGGTTTCTACATATGGCTAGCCAGTTTTCCCAGCACCATTTATTAAATAGGGAATCCTTTCCCCATTGCTTGTTTTTCTCAGGTTTGTCAAAGATCAGATAGTTGTAGATATGCGGCGTTATTTCTGAGGGCTCTGTTCTGTTCCATTGATCTACATTTCTGTTTTGGTACCAGTACCATGCTGTTTTGGTTACTGTAGCCTTGTAGTATAGTTTGAAGTCAGGTAGCTTGATGCCTCCAGCTTTGTTCTTTTTGCTTAGGATTGACTTGGCGATGCAGGCTCTTTTTTGGTTCCATATGAACTTTAAAGTAGATTTTTCCAATTCTGTGAAGAAAGTCATTGGTAGTTTGATGGGGATGGCATTGAATCTACAAATTACCTTGGGCAGTATGGCCATTTTCACGATATTGATTCTTCCTACCTATGAGCATGGAATGTTCTTCCATTTCTTTGTATCCTCTTTTATTTCCTTGAGCAGTGGTTTGTAGTTCTCCTTGAAGAGGTCCTTCACATCCCTTGTAAGTTGGATTCCTAGGTATTTTATTCTCTTTGAAGCAATTGTGAATGGGAGTTCACTCATGATTTGGCTCTCTGTTTGTCTGTTATTGGTGTATAAGAATGCTTGTGATTTTTGTACATTGATTTTGTATCCTGAGACTTTGCTGAAGTTGCTCATGAGCTTAAGGAGATTTTGGGCTGAGACAATGGGGTTTTCTGGATATACAGTCATGTCATCTGCAAACAGGGACAATTTGACTTCCTCTTTTCCTAATTGAATACCCTTTATTTCCTTCTCCTGCCTGATTGCCCTGGCCAGATCTTCCAACACTATGTTGAATAGGAGTGGTGAGAGAGGGCATCCCTGTCTTGTGCCAGTTTTCACAGGGAATGCTTCCAGTTTTTGCCCGTTCAGTGTGATATTGGCTGTGGGTTTGTCATAGATAGCTCTTATTATTTTGAGATATGTCCCATCAGTACCTGATTTATTGAGAGTTTTTAGCATGAAGCGTTGTTGAATTTTGCCAAAGGCCTTTACTGCATCTATTGAGATAATCATGTGTTTTTTTTCTCTGTTTCTGTTTATATGCTGGATTACATTTATTGATTTGTGTATATTGAACCAGCCTTGCATCCCAGGGATGAAGCCCACTTGATCATGGTGGATAAGCTTTTTGATGTGCTGCTGGATTTGGTTTGCCAGTATTTTATTGAGGATTTTTGCATCAATGTTCATCAAGGACTTTGGACTAAAATTCTCTTTTTTGGTTGTCTCTGCCAGGCTTTGGTATCAGGATGATGCTGGCCTCATAAAATGAGTTAGGGAGGATTTCCTCTTTTTCTATTGATTGGAATAGCTTCAGAAGGAATGGTACCAGTTCCTCCTTGTAACTCTGGTAGAATTTGGCTGTGAATCCATCTGGTCCTGGACTCTTTTTGGTTGGTAAGCTATTGATTATTGCCACAATTTCAGAGCCTGTTATTGGTCTATTCAGAGATTCAACTTCTTCCTGGTTTAGTCTTGGGAGCGTGTGTGTGTCGTGGAATTTATCCATTTTTTCTAGATTTTCTAGTTTATTTGCGTAGAGGTGTTTGTAGTATTCTCTGATGGTAGTTTGTATTTCTGTGGGATCGGTGGTGATATCCCCTTTATCCTTTTTTTTTTGTGTCTATTTGATTCTTCTCTCTTTTCTTCTTTATTAGTCTTGCTAGCAGTCTATCAATTTTGTTGATCCTTTCAAAAAACCAGCTCCTGGATTCATTAATTTTTTGAAGGGTTTTTTGTGTCTCTATTTCCTTCAGTTCTGCTCTGATTTTAGTTATTTCTTGCCTTCTGCTAGCTTTTGAATGTGTTTGCTCTTGCTTTTCTAGTTCTTTTAATTGTGATGTTAGGGTGTCAATTTTGGATCTTTCCTGCTTTCTCTTGTGGGCATTTAGTGCTATAAATTTCCCTCTACACACTGCTTTGAATGTGTCCCAGAGATTCTGGTATGTTGTGTCTTTGTTCTCGTTGGTTTCAAAGAACATCTTTATTTCTGCCTTCATTTTGTTATGTACCCAGTAGTCATTCAGGAGCAGGTTGTTCAGTTTCCATGTAGTTGAGTGGTTTTGAGTGAGTTTCTTAATCCTGAGTTCTAGTTTGATTGCACTGTGGTCTGAGAGACAGTTTATTATAATTTCTGTTCTTTTACATTTGCTGAGGAGTGCTATACTTCCAACTATGTGGTCAATTTTGGAATAGGTGTGGTGTGCTGCTGAAAAAAATGTATATTCTATTGATTTGGGGTGGAGAGTTCTGTAGATGTCTATTAGATCTGCTTGGTGCAGAGCTGAGTTCAATTCCTGGGTATCCTTGTTAACTTTCTGTCTCGTTGATCTGTCTAATGTTGATAGTGGGGTGTTAAAGTCTCCCATTATTATTGTGTGGGAGTCTAAGTCTCTTGAAGGTCACTCAGGACTTGCTTTATGAATCTGGGTGCTCCTGTATTGGGTACATATATGTTTAGGATAGTTAGCTCTTCTTGTTGAATTGATCCCTTTACCATTATGTAATGGCCTTCTTTGTCTCTTTTGATCTTTGTTGGTTTAAAGTCTGTTTTATCAGAGACTAGGATTGCAACCCCTGCTTTTTTTTGTTTTCCATTTGCTTGGTAGATCTTCCTCCATCCTTTTATTTTGAGCCTATGTGTGTCTCTGCACGTGAGATGGGTCTCCTGAATACAGCACACTGATGGATCTTGACTCTTTATCCAATTTGCCAGTCTGTGTCTTTTAATTGGAGCATTTAGTCCATTTACATTTAAAGTTAATATTGTTATGTGTGAATTTGATCCTGTCATTATGATGTTAACTGGTTATTTTGCTCATTAGTTGATGTAGTTTCTTCCTAGCCTCAATGGTCTTTACAATTTGGCATGATTTTGCAGTGGCTGATACCGGTTGTTCCTTTCCATGTTTAGTGCTTCCTTCAGGAGCTCTTTTAGGGCTGGCCAGGTGGTGACAAAATCTCTCAGCATTTGCTTGTCTGTTAAGGATTGTATTTCTCCTTCACTTAATGAAGCTTAGTTTGGCTGGATATGAAATTCTGGGTTGAAAATTCATTTCTTTAAGAATGTTGAATATTGGCCCCCACTCTCTTCTGGCTTGTAGAGTTTCTGCCGAGAGATCCGCTGTTAGTCTGATGGGCTTCCCTTTGTGGGTAACCCGACCTTTGTCTCTGGCTGCCGTTAACATTTTTTCCTTCATTTCAACTTTGGTGAATCTGACAATTATGTGTCTTGGAGTTGCTCTTCTCGAGGAGTATCTTTGTGGCGTTCTCTGGATTTCCTGAATGTGAATGTTGGCCTGCCTTGCTAGATTGGGGAAGTTCTCCTGGATTATATCCTGCAGAGTGTTTTCCAACTTGGTTCCATTCTCCCTGTCACTTTCAGATACACCAGTGAGACATAGATTTGGTCTTTTCACATAATCTCATATTTCTTGGAGGCTTTGGTCGTTTCTTTTTACTCTTTTTTCTCTAAACTTCCCTTCTCGCTTCATTTCATCTTCCATCACTGATACCCTTTCTTCCAGTTGATCGCATCGGCTCCTGAGGCTTCTGCATTCTTCACGTAGTTCTCAAGCCTTGGCTTTCAGCTCCATCAGCTCCTTTAAGCTCTTCTCTGTATTGGTTATTCTAGTTATACATTTGTCTAAATTTTATTCTAAGTTTTTAACTTGTTTGCCTTTTGCTTGAATTTCCTCCTGTAGCTCGGAGTAGTTTGATCGTCTGAAGCCTTCTTCTCTCAACTCGTCAAAGTCATTCTCCATCCAGCTTTGTTCCGTTGCTGGTGAGGAACTGCGTTCCTTTGGAGGAGGAGAGGCGCTCTGCTTTTTAGAGTTTCCAGTTTTTCTGCTCTGTTTTTTCCCCATCTTTGTGGTTTTATCTACTTTTGGTCTTTGATGATGGTGATGTACAGATGGGTTTTTGGTGTGGATGTCCTTTCTGTTTGTTAGTTTTCCTTCTAACAGACAGGACCCTCAGCTGCAGGTCTGTTGGAGTTTGCTAGATGTCCACTCCAGACCTTGGTTGCCTGGATATCAACAGCGGTGACTGCAGAACAGCGGATTTTCGTAAACTGCGAATGCTGCTGTCTGATCGTTCCTCTGGAAGTTTTGTCTCAGAGGAGTACCCAGCCGTGTGAGGTGTCAGTCTGCCCCTACTGGGGGGTGCCTCCCAGTTAGGCTGCTCGGGGGTCAAGGGTCAGGGACCCACTTGAGGAGGCAGTCTGCCTGTTCTCAGATCTCCAGCTGCGTGCTAGGAGAACCACTGCTCTCTTCAAAGCTGTCAGACAGGGACATTTAAGTCTGCAGAGGTTACTGCTGTCTTTTTGTTTTTCTGTGCCCTGCCCCCAGAGGTGGAGCCTACAGAGACAGGCAGGCCTCCTTGAGCTGTGGTGGGCTCCACTCAGTTTGAGCTTCCTGGCTGCTTTGTTTACCTAAGCAAGCCTGGGCAATGGCGGGCATTGGGCACCCGACTTCCTATCCAACACACTTATCCGCCGGAGACAACTGCTTCTATTTAATAGACTCCTGCATGATTTAATAGTGTTTATGCTATACCAGTTTTTGTTTGTGTCACCATGCACTGAACCACCTAATCCCTGAGCCTTGCTGAGATCTCAGACAGCACTAAGCAACATGAGTTAAAAAAAAAAAAAACAGGAGTAACAACAAAAAAAAGGTGAAAAAGAAAAAAAGGAAAGGAAAAAGGCATTAAAAAACGTGGCGGTGGGGGGCAGTTCCAAGATGGCCGAATTGGAACAGCTCCAGTCTACAGCTCCCAGCGTAAGCTATGCAGAAGACAGGTGATTTCTGCATTTCCAACTGAGGTACCAGGTTCATCTCACTGGGGCTTGTTGGACAGTGGGTGCAGCCCACCGAGCGTGAGCCGAAGCAGGGCGAGGCATCACCTCACCTGGGAAGCACAAGGGGTCAGGGAATTCCCTTTCCTAGCCAAGGGAAGCTGTGACAGATGGCACCTGGAAAATCGGGTCACTCCCACCCTAATACTGCGCTTTTCCAAGGGTCTTAGCAAAGGGCACATCAACAGATTATATCCTGTGCATGACTCGGAGGCTACCATGTCCATGGAGCCTCGCTCATTGCTAGCACAGCAGTCTGAGATCGAACTGCAAGGCAGCAGCAAGGCTGGGGGAGGGGCGCCCGCCAGTGCTGAGGCTTGAGTAGGTAAACAAAGAGGCCAGGAAGCTCGAACTGGGTGGAGCCCACCACAGCTCAAGGACGCCTGCCTGCCTCTGTAGACTCCACCTCTGGGGGCAGGGCATAGCCAAACAAAAGGCAGCAGAAACCTCTGCAGACTTAAATGTCCCATCGGACAGCTTTGAAGAGAGTAGTGGTTCTCCCCGCACGGAGTTTGAGATCTGAGAACGGACAGATTGCCCCCTCAAGTGGGTCCCTGACCCCCAAGTAGCCTAACTAGGAGGCACCCCCCAGTAGGAGCAGGCTGACACCTCACACGGCCAGTTACCCCTCTGAGACAAAGCTTCCAGAGGAGCGATCAGGCAGCAACATTTGCTGGTCAGCAATATTCACTGTTCTGCAGCCTCCGCTGCTCATACCGAGGCAAACAGAGTCTGGAGCGGACCTCCAGCAAACTCCAACAGACCTGCACCTGAGGGTCCTGACTGTTAGAAGGAAAACTAACAAACAGAAAGGACATCCACACCAAAACCCCATCTGTACGTCACCATCATCAAAGACCAAAGGTAGATAAAACCACTAAGATGGGGAAAAAACAGAGCAGAAAAGCTGAAAAATCTAAAAATCAGAGTGCCTCTCCCACTCCAAAGGAACTCAGCTCCTCGCCAGCAATGGAACAAAGCTGGACGGAGAATAACTTTGACAAGTTGAGAGAAGGCGGCCTCAGACAATCAAACTTCTCCGAGCTAAAGGAGGAAGTTTGGACCCATTGCAAAGAAGCTAAAAACCTTGAAAAAAGATTAGACGAATGGCTAACTAGAATAACCAGTGTAGAGAAGTCCTTAAATGACCTGATGGAGCTGAAAACCGTGGCAAAAGAACTACGTGACAAATGCACAAGCTTCAGTAGCCAATTCGATCAACTGGAAGAAAGGGTATCAGTGATTGATGATCAAATAAATGAAATGAAGCAAGAAGAGAAGTTTAGAGAAAAAGAATAAAAAGAAACGAACAAAGCCTCCAAGAAATAGGGGACTATGTGAAAAGACCAAATCTACACCTGATTGGTGTACCTGAAAGTGACCGGGAGAATGGAACCAAGTTGGAAAACACTCTGCAGGATATTATCCAGGAGAACTTCCCCAATCTAGCAAGGCAGCCCAACATTCAAATTCAGGAAATCCAGAGAACACCACAAAGATACTCCTCGAGAAGAGCAACTCCAAGACACATAATTGTCAGATTCACCAAAGTTGAAATGAAGGAAAAAATGTTAAGGGCAGCCAGAGAGAAAGGTCGGGTTACCCACAAAGGGAAGCCCATCAGACTAACACCAGTTCTCTCTGCAGAAAGCCTACAAGCCAGAAAAAAGTTGGGGCCAATATTCAGCACTATTAAAGAAAAGAATAATGAGAACACTTGGACACAGGACAGGGAACATCACACACTGGGGCCCGTTGTGGGGTTGGGGGAGGGGGGAGGGATAGCATTAGGAGATACACCTAATATAAATGACGAGTTAATGAGTGCAGCACACCAACATGGCACATGTATACATATGTAACAAACCTGCACATTGTGCACATATACCCTAGAACTTAAAGTATAATAAAAAAAATAAATAAATAATAAAAAAGCGAAAAAATAAAATAGAAAACTTGGGGGTGGGGGTAGACTTTAGTTAGCTTATCATGTTGAAAGTTTTTTTGGAATTCTGATAATCATGCAAGTTATCTTTTTAGATTTTATTTAATGATATTTATACAGAGCTTGCTTTATGTCAGTTTCCTAAACAGTTATAAGTAATAACTCATTTAAACCTAACAATCCCATGATGCAGATATTACTGTCTTCATTTTGTAGATGAAGAAATTAAGATACAAATTGGTTAAGTGACTTGTGCAAGATGATACATTTTGTGAATGATAGATCTAGGCTTTGAACCCCGGCCGTCCTTGTGATTAAACCAGACTTTCTTTAATTGCCTATTTAGATCATTTCCCTTCACTACTCCCGAAATTTTCTTAGGAGTTTTTGTTTGTATTTAAGTGAATTAAATTCTGCAGTTGTGGACATTTAGGTGGCTATGAGGTGAGGAGGATTTTTTTTTCCAGTTAAGTCTTCGTCATAAAGTCACAAAGCCTACTCTTTCTACACTTCAAGTCTTTTTCAAGGACAAGAAGAGGGATGTTGGTAATGCTTCTCTTCCCTGACTCCTAGGCACTTGAAGTGGAAGTTAATGAAGTTCTGTGAGGAGTAAAAAGTTGCTATAAAGACTGCTGGATAAAGGACAAATAGTCAAAAATAAATTTTTCCTTAGATCACACATACCTATTCATTCATACTCCCTCCTGCCCTTCTGTCTCTCTCTCAAAAAGTAATGCTGAAAGGCAGAAAAGATGTTTGCTGGATATCAGTCTCTGTGGATGTAACCCACCAAAAGCAATCTAATCATTGTTTCACTCACTGTGAAATAAAAAGTTTGCCGAAATTCGCATCCTAATGAACCCTTTTATTTGCATTTTATGTACTTATAACCTTTATTTGTTGGATGACTCCCTTTCAGATTTGCTATGGGATCATTTATGGAATGGGAGCTAAATCTTTGGGAGAGCAGATGGGCATTAAAGAAAATGATGCTGCATGCTATATTGACTCCTTCAAATCCAGATACACAGGTAATTTATCTTCTAGATAGTATTCTTTTCAACCATCTTACCATATTATATTTTTAAAAATTTGTGTAATGGAATTTTCTTTTGAAATATCAATTAGTCAGAAGTTTTCATCAGGCATTGTTAAGGGTAAATAAGATTAACCTTATAATCACTTACTAAGATGTAATAATCTTATTTCATATTTTTCATTAAAGTTGGAACAGAATAGTAAAATGTAGTTGATGTGAATCTACTGTGTCACTGTGAACAACCCATAAAATCAGGAGTTGACTTGTGCTTTGGTTTAGATAGCTGTAGTTTGAAACAGTAAACTATTGAGTATATATACTAGGAACTCTGATAATTGCTAATTAAATATACGAGGAATTCTGAGAACAATTGCTGTTATAGAGCAGTTTGAGTATTGTCTTAAATGATCTTTTTTGCCTGTTTGTTGTGGTATAATTTACGTATAATAATTAGATTCACCCTGAAAAAGGTATATAGTTCTGTGAATTTTGACAAATGCATATGGTCATAAAATTTACACCACAACCAAGATATAGAACCATTACTCTATCATCCCAAAAAGTTCTTTTATGCTCTTTTTAAATCAACCCTGTCCCTTATCCCTTATCCCCCTTGTATTGGTACTGAAGCAAGCAATACAATACTAGGCATGGTGGCTCACGTCTGTAATCCCAGCACTTTGGGAGGCTGAGGTGGACAGATCACGAGGTCAAGAGATCGAGACCATCCTGGCCAACATGGTGAAACCCCATCTCTACTAAAAATACAAAAATTACCTGGGCGTGGTGGCATGCACCTGCAAGTCCCAGCTACTCGGAGGCTGAGGCAGGAGAATCACTTGAACCTGGGAGGCGGAGGTGCAGTGAGCCGAGATCACGCCATTGCACTCCAGCCTGGGGGTCAAGAATGAAACTCCATCCCAAAAAATAAAATAAAATAAAAAATGAAAAGAATCAAGCAGAAATTCTGAAGTAGGAAAATGCAATTGATATACTGAAGAGTATCAGAGTCTCTTAATATAGCAGAATTATTCAAGCAGAAGAATTACTGAGTTTGAAGACAGGCTATTTGGAAATTCACAGAGGAGATAAAAAAGTATTAAAAAGGATGAAGCACACCTGCAACATCAGAAAATAGCTTCAAAAGGGCAAATCTTCTAAGAGTTATTGGCCTTAAAGAGGAGTAGAGAAGGAGATAGGAGTAGACAGTGTATTCAAAGGGATAATAAAGAACTTTCCAAACCTAGGGAAAGATATCAATATTCAAGTAAAAGAAAGTTATAGAACAGATTTAACCCAAAGAAGACTGCCTTAAGACATGTAACAATCAAACTCCCAAAGGTCAAGGATAAAGAAAGGATCCTAAAAACAGCAAGATAAAATAATCAAATAATATACAATGGAGCTTCAATATGTCTGGCAGCAGACTTTTTAGTGGCATGAAGTGTCAAAGGAAAAACAGCTTTTACCCTGGAATAATATATCTGGCAAAAATACTAATATCCTTCAAACATGAAGGAGAAATAAAGACTTTCTCAGACAAATGAAAGCTGAGGGATTTCATCAACACCAGAGTTGTCCTACAAGAAATGCCAAAAAGAGTTCTACAATTAGAAAGAAAAGGATGTTAATGAGCAATAACAAATAACCTAAAGGTACAGAACTCACTGGTAATATTAAGTACGCAGAGAGACACAGACTATTATAACATTGCAATTGTGATATATAAACTATTATCTTAAATAGAAAGACAAAAATATTAATCAAAAATAACTGTAACAGCCTTTCAAGACACTGGCAGTACAATACGATATAAATATAAACAACAAAAAAGTTAAAAAGTGGGCCAGGCGCGGTGGGTCACACCTGTAATCCCAGCAATTTGGGAGGCAGAGACAGGCAGATCACCTGAGGTCAGGAGTTCAAGACCAACATGGTGAAACTCCATCTCTACAAAAAAATACAAAAATTAGCCGGGCATGATGATAGGTGACTGTAATCCTAGCTACTTGGGAGGCTGAGGTGAAAGAATCGCTTGAACCCAGGAGGCGGAGGTTGCAGTGAGCCAAGACTGTGCCATTGCACTCCAGCCTGGGAGACAGGGCGAGACTCTTTCTCAAAAAAAAAAAAAAAAAGGGTTATAAGACATTATTTGCAAGTCTCATGGTAACCTCAAATAAAAAAATATACAACAGATACACAAAAACTAAAAAGCAAGAAATTAAATCATACCACCAGAAAAAATCACCTTTATTAAAAGGAAGACAGGAATGAAGGAAAGAAAGAGAAAAAAAACCATGGAACAACCAGTAAACAACAAAATGATGTTGTCCTTAACTGTCAATAATAACATTGCATGTAAATGGACTAAACTTTCCAATAAAAAGACATAGAGTGGCTGGATAGATTTTTTAAAAAAAGAAAAACAAGACCCAATGATCTGTTCCCTACAGGAAACACATTTCACCTCTAAAGATATAGACTGAAAATAAAGGGATGGAAAAGAGATTCCATGCCAATGGAAACCAAAAAAGATCAAGAGTAGCTATACTATTTATCAGACAAAATAGATTCCAAGACAAAAACTATGAAAAGAGACAGAAGGTCATTATATAATGTCTTTTACATTATATAATACTCCTTTTGAGTCAATTAAGCAAGAGAATATAAGAATTGTAATATGCACCCAGTATTGGAGCACCTGGACATATAAAGCAAATATCATTAGAGCTAAAGAGAGAGAGAGAGAGATCCCAATAATAATAACTGGAGATTTCAACACCCCTCTTTGAGCAGCAGACAGATATTCCAGACAGAAAATCAACAAAGAAATTATGCTAAATCTGCACTGTAGACCAAATGGACCTAATAGATATTTACAGAACATTTCATTTAATGGCCACACAATACACATTCTTCTCCTCAGCACATGGATTATTCTCTAGGATAGACTATATGTTAGATAACAAAACAAGTTTTAAAATATTCAGAAAGTTAATATCAAGTATCTACTGTGACCATAATGGAATAAAACTAGAAATCACTAACAAGGAATTTTGGAAAGTATACAAACATGGAAATTAAACAATATGCTCTTGAGTGACCAGTGAGTCAATTAAAAAATTAAGAAAGAAAATTTAAAATTTCTTGAAACAAATGACAATGGAAATACAACACACCAACACCTATGGGATACAGCAAAAGCAGTGCTAAGAAGGAAGTTTATAGCTATAAGTGCCTACATTAAAAAAAAAGAAGAAGAAAAACTTCAAATAACCTGCAATCCATCTTAAAAAACTAGAAAAGTAAGAGCAAGGCAAATCCAAAATTAGTAGAGGAAAAGAAATAATACAGATCAGAGCAGAAATAAAGAATGAAATTGAAACAAAGTATACAAAAGAACAACAAAACAAAAAGTTGGTTATTGGTTGTTTTTTTTTTTTTGAGATGGAGTGTTGCTCTGTCACCCAGGCTGGTGGGCAGTGGCGTGATCTTGGCTCACTGCAACATCTGCCTCCTGGGTTCAAGCAATTTTCCTGTCTCAGCCTCCCAAGTAGCTGGGATTACAGGTATGTGCCACCGTGCCTGGCTAGTTTTTGTATTTTTAGTAGAGACAGAGTTTTGCCATGTTGGCCAGGTTGGTCATGAACTCCTGGCCTCAAGTGATCTGCCCATCTTGGCCTCCCAAAGTGCTGGGATTACAGGCTTGAGCCACTGCACCTGGCCTGAAAATAAGTTGGTTTTTTGAAAAGATAAAATTGACATACCTTTAGCCAGACTAAGAAAAAAGGAGAAGATCCAAATAAATAAAATCAGAAATGAAAAAGGAGACAGCACAATGAATACTCCAGAAATTCAAAGGATCATTAGTGGCTACTATGAGCAGCTATATGCCAGTAATTTGGAAAATCTAGAAGAAATGGGTAAATTTCTAGACACATACAACCTGCCAAGATTGAACCATGAAGAAATCTAAAACCTGAACAGTCTAAGAACAAAAAAACCTGAACAGTCTAAGAACAAATAATGAGATCGAAGCCATAATAAAAAGTCTTCCACAAAGAAAAGCCTGGGACTCAATGGCTTCCCTGCTGAATTCTACCAAAAATTTAAATAACTAATACCAATCCTACTGAAACTGTTCTGGAAAATAGAAGAGGAGAGAACACTTCCAGACTCATTCTGTGAGGCCAGTATTACCCTAATACCAAAACCAGACAAAGACATATCGAAACAAACAAACAAAACCTACCTACCGGCCAATATTTCTGATGAAAATTGATGCAAACATCCTCAACAAAATAGTAACAAATGGAATTCAACAATATATTAGAAAGATCATTCATCATGACCAAGTGGGATTTGTCCCTGGGATGCAAGGATGGTTCAACATATGCAAATCTATCAATGTGATACATCATATCAACAGAATGAAGGATAAAAACAATATCATTTCAATTGATGCTGAAAAGGCATTTGATAAAATTCAACATTCCATCATGAAAACCCTCAAAAAACTGGGTTTACAAGAAACATACCTCTACATAATAAAAGCTGTGGGTATGATAGACCCACAGCTAGTGTCACACTGAATGGGGAAAAAGTGAAAGCCTTTTTCTCTAATACCTGGAACACGACAAGGATGCCCACTTTTGCTTTCATCACTGTTATTCAACATAGTACTGGAAGTCCTAGCTCAAGCAATCAGATAAGAGAAAGAAATAAAGGACATCCACACTGGAAAGGAAGAGGTCAAATTCTCCTTGTTTGTAGAAGATATGATCTTATATATGGAAAAACCTAATGACTCCATCAAAAAACTATTAGAACTGATAAACAAATTCCTTAGTATAGTTGCAGGATACAAGATCAACATACAAACATCAGTAGCATTTCTATATGCCAGGAGCAAACAATCTGAAAAAGAAATCCGGAAAGTAATCTCATTTATAATAGCCACAAATAAAATTAAACACTTAGGAATTAGCCAAAGAAGTGAAAGATCTATATAAGGAAAACTTATAAAACACTGATACTAGAAATTGAAGAGGACACAAAAATATGAAAAAATATTCCATGTTCATAGATTGGAAGAATCAACATTGTTAAAATGTTCATACTCCCCAAGTCAATCAACAGATTTAATGCATTCCCTATCAAAATACCAATGACATTCTTTACTCTTCACAGAAATAGAAAAAAAAAAAGTACTACAATTTACATGGAACCACAAGAGACCTAGAATAGCCAAAGCTATCCTGTGCAAAAAGAACAAAACTGGAGAAATCACATTACCTGACTTCGAATTATGCTACAGACATATAGTAACCAAAATGACATAGTACTGGTATAAAACAGGCACAAAGATCAGTAGAACAGAATAGAGAACCCAGAAAGAAACCCACACATCTACAGTGAACTCATTTTCAATAAAGGTACCAAGAACATGCACTGGGGAAAAGACAGTCTCTTCAATAAATGGTGTTGGGACAACTGAATATGCAGAAGAATGAAACTGGACCCCTATCTCTCTATATATACAAAATAAAATCAAAATGGATTAAAAACTTTAAGACCTCAAATTGTGCAACTGCTACAAGAAAACATGGGGGAAACTCTCCAGTATATCAGTCTGGGCAAAGATTTCTTAAGCAATACTCACAAGCGCAGGCAACCACAGCAAAAATAGACAAATGAGATCACATCAGGTTTAAAAAAAACTGCACAGCAAAGGAAACAACCAACAAAGTGAAGAGACAGCCCACAGAATGGGAGAAAATATTTGCAGATACCCATTTGACAAGAGATTAATAAGCAGAATATATGAGGAGCTCAAATAACTCTGCAGAAAAAAAATCTGATTTTAAAATGGACAAAAGCTCTGAACAGACATTTCTCAAATAAAGACATACAAATGGCAAAGAGGTTTATGAAAAGGTGCTCAACATCATTGATCATCAGAGAAATACAAATTAGAACTAGAATGTGATATCATCTCACACCAGTTAAAATGGCTTTTATCCAAAAGACAGGTGATAACAAATGCAGGCGAAGATGTAGAGAAAAAGGAACCATCATTCACCTTTGGTGGGAATGTAAATTAGTACAACTACTGTGGAGAACAGTTTGGAGGTTTCTCAAACTAAAAATAGGCTGGGCATGGTGGCTCACGCCTGTAATCCCAACACTCTGGGAGGCTGAGGCGGGTGGATCACAAGGTCAGGAGTTTGAGACCAGCCTGGCCAATATGGTGAAACCCCATCTCTACTAAATATACAAAAATTAGCCGGGCATGGTAGTGGGCACCTGTATCCCAACCACTTGGGAGGCTAAGGCAGGAGAATTGCTTGAACCGGGAGGCAGAGGTTGCAATGAGCTGAGGTCACGCCACTGCACTCCAGCCTGGGCAACAGAGTGAGACTCCATCTCAAAAACAAAACAAAACAAAACAAAAAACTAAAAATAGAGCTATCATATGATCCAGCAATCACACTGCTAGGTACATACCCAAAAGAAAGGAAATCTGTGTACTGAAAAGATATCTGCATGCACTCCCATGTTTATTGCAGCACTATTCACAATAGCCAGGATTTGGAAGCATCCTCAGTGTCCATCAGCAGATGAATGGATAAAGAAAATGTACAGGTACACAATGGAGTACTATCCAGCCATAGAAAAGAATGAGATCTTGTCATTTGCAACAACAGGGATGGAACTGGAGGTCATTATGTTAAGTGAAATAAGCCAGGCACAGAAAGACAAACTTCACATGTTCTCAGTTATTTGTCACTCAGCTAAAAATTAAAGCAATTGAACTCGTGGAGATAGAGAGTAGAGTAATGGTTACCAGAAGCTGGGAAGGGTATTGGGGGTAGGGGGTATTGTTAATAGGTACAAAGAAATAGTTAGAATGACTAAGAACTAGTATTTGCTAGCACAACAGGGTGACTATAGTTAATAATAATTAATTGTACATTTAAAGATGACTAAAAGAGTATAATTGGAATGTTTGCAACACAAATGATAAATGCTTGAGGTGATGGGTACCCCATTTTCCCTCATGTGATTATTATGCATTGCATGCCTGTATCATAATATCTCATGTACCCCATAAATATGTACACCTACTATATACCCACAAAAATTAAAAATTTATGAAAAATGTAAAAGCAAGGTACAAACTGGGAAGAAATATTTGCAGTAGTTCCATCGAACAAAGGATGTATATCCAGAATATATGAAGAACTTTTACCATTCAATGCTCAGAAGCTAGACGATCCGATAAATTAAAAGTCAGAAAATTTGAAGAGACACTTTACCAAAGATATGAATGACCATATTAAACATTGTCATTATTTGTCATCAAGCAAAAGCAAACTGAGATGCCAAAAACAAAGAGATGCCATTACAAAAACACTAGAATGGCCAATATTAAAAACACAGTCTTTTACGTTGTTCATTTATTTGTAAAATGGTAAAACTACTTTGGAGAACAGTATGGCTTTTTTGTGTAAAGTTAAACATCCATTTAACTATATAACCGTGCAATTCTACTATCGTATTTGTGCAAGAAAAATGAAAGCATGTCCAAAGGAAGGCTCGTATGTGAATATTATAGCAGCTTTATTCACAACAGCCAGATTCTGAGAACAGGCCACATGTCTATCAACAGGAAAATGTATAAACAAATTTTGTTATACCTCCACAACAGAGTAGTATAGATCAAGGAATAGTAATTAAATATTGATATTCAGTACAATATTGATGATTCTTAAAAATGTTTTCCTTAGCAAAAGAAGGCAGACACAAATGAGCATATACAGTGTCATTCAATTTGTATGATATTCATGAACATGAAAAACTTAAGAGTATCATAAAGCAGATGAGTGAGTGTCTGAGGGTGATCATGGGGCCTGACTGTAAAGGGAGATGAACATGTTTTGTATCTTGTAGTAGTAGCTGCAGGGGTGTGTATATTTGTTAAAATGCCTCAAGCTGTTTAAAGCGAGTGTATTTTGTTGCATGTAAATTATACCTCAGCACTGATTTTTTTTTTAAAGTAGCTCTTTCAATTTGAGTATTTGGAGGTCTCCTATAGGAGTTTGGTAAGAGATTTTGTAGAAGTACAGCCTCTTAAATCTCACCCTTTTCTTTCCTCTTTACCCAAAAATATCACAGTAATTCTTAAACAGAAAAAGATGAGAGTCCAGTGGCTTTTGGAAATTCCCATGCTATTGATTACATATCACCAACAGCAAAGGATTCATCCTGGAGATGCTTAAGACATAATGACTGACCCAGATTGCAAAGGATGAATGTTGGTCTAGGAAATACAAATATGTTGGAATACTACACTACACATAGTTTTTTTTTTATTTTAAGAAGTGGGTCATGTTTATTCCTAGTGAAATATTTATCGTAACTCATGCATTAATTTCAGCAAGGTCCTACTTTGGATCATAGTGTAGATGGTAACAAGGAGCTATTGAAATGTTTTAAACCTAGGAATGATAAGATGAAAGAGTAAAAGGGGATTCACACAATCAACAGACACTTGTGAAAAGTGATGTGGAATAGTCTTAAGATCCTGGAATAAAGACACCTAGATATCTGCCCCGTTCTGGAATTTTTAGTTTTACGTTTTGTTTTTGTTGTTGTTACTCAAAAAACAAAGGCCATGTAGTAGCTCACACCTGTAATCCTAGCACTTTGGGAGGCGGAGGTGGGCAGATCGCTTGAGCTCAGATGTTTGAGACCAGCCTGGGCCACATTACGAAACCTCATCTCTACAAAAAATATAAAAATTATCCTGGCATCGTGACGCGGTGCCTGTAGTCCCACCTAGGCAGGAGGCTGAGGTGGGAGGATCTCCTGAGCCTGGGGAGATCCAGGCTGCAGTGAACCATGATAGCACCACTGCACTCCCACCTGGGTGACAGAGTGAGCGAGATCCTGTCTCAAAAACAAAAAAACCCAAAGAGTTAGAGTATTTCATTTCTAAAGTCTCTTTTATTTCTAACTTTTTGAGTCTAGAAAAAGTGAATGAAAGTTCGCATGCCTGATTTGACGATATGATATTAATGTTAAGAATCATCGTGGGGTTTTGGTGTATTTTGCCATATTTAAGCCAGTGAATGAAGTGAAGGATAGACTTTGGTTCTAATTAATTATTTCTGTATTTTCTTTGTAGGGATTAATCAATTCATGACAGAGACAGTGAAGAATTGTAAAAGAGACGGATTTGTTCAGACCATTTTGGGAAGGCGTAGATATTTGCCAGGAATCAAAGACAACAACCCTTATCGTAAAGCTCACGTATGTTGAAATTTTTTAGGAATTTTAACTTAACATTTCAATGACATGTACTTTTTCAGCAGAGTAAATACTACAAATATCCGTTTTAGGGATTACTGGCATATTAATTGGATTTTCTGTATAGACAACGTCAACCATTGGTTTCATTAAGGACTTCTGAAGTGATGGCACATGCCAGTATTTGCTGAACAGAGTCTGGGGGATTAATGTAAACATGTGTTTACTTAATAATACTTTAAACATGTTCTGTTGCAGTAAACCAATTATTTATTAGCTTAGGTACTAAGTTGTAAATAAACTTAATTTTTACATTTGCTAATTATTCTTTGTTTCCTATACCATATACTAATTTATCATATCATACCAAATTGCTAACATTCCTCAGAGATTAGCCAGTCACTAAATTTTGATTAATTTTTGGTTCATTCTACTTGTTTGCTTATTTTAAAAGCACTATCTGGCCAGGCACAGTGGCTCATGCCTGTAGTCCCAGCACTTTGGAAGGCTGAGGCAGGAGGATTGCTTGCGCCCAGGAGTTTGAGACCAGCTTGGGCAACATAGTGAGATCACCTATATCTATAAAAATAAATAAATTAGCTGAGTGAGGTAGTGCAATGCCTGTAGTCTTAGCTACTTGGGAGGCTGAGGTGGGAGGACTGCTTGAGCCCAGGAATTGGAGGCTGCAGTGAGCCATGATTGAACCACTGTATTCCAGCCTAGGTGGCAGAATGAGACCCTATGTTTAATTAAAAAAAAAAAAAAAGGCACTATCTCATCAGAGATTATTAAGATATCCCAAATAGTGAATAAGGCTATTTTTAACGGCACTTAAAAGATTTATTGATATTTGCTCAAATTATGTTTAAGTGTCTTTCTGAATTCATTGGGATTCATGAAAGTATTCTGTGTACCTAAGTATTTAAACTTCTAGTATAGTTCATATCTTCCTATTTTAACTAGATGTTTTTTGCCCTTCACCCATAACTTTGTGTTTTAGTGCTCATTAGACATTGTATATAATGAAAATACCCCGCTAAACTTCTGTCTGGAGCTCAAAGCCTTCAGAGCATTAATGCTTTTAGGGACTGTGGAAGAATAGTTGGCTTTTTGTTACTGCTTTACTCTCTAGCCTCCCATATATCCACATGCAAATATCAGATATTTATCAGGCTTTTACCATATCTCTAAGTGAACTAGTAACTTTAGTTGATGGACTAGGAAACTTAAGTTTTAAGTCTTGGAAGAAATAATGCAAACAAAAAAATATATATGAAAACATCATTGATATACTTAATTATTTAGGTTTCAGGGAGAAGGAAAGACTTAAACAGATTCTTGAAGGCTAAAGTTTAGGCTGTTGGGAATGAGAAAAAGACAATCACAAAAGGATAACTGAGTGAGGACTGGCTAGAAGCCAAACTGGTAGGAATGGAGAGTTTGAGTTGTCACATAGGGGTATATAATTTTCTCCTGGATAGATGGAGCCAGCTAGAACCTAGGAGACTAAAAGGCTTCTTCTAAATGACAGAAGGCTTTTAGTGGCAGGCTGAGAAACTTGGACTCGATCTAATAATACGAATTGATTATGTTTTCTGGAATTTACATGATAAAAAATGGAATATGTAGTTATTAATATAAATGAATCATATAAGTTTGTGAAAATTAATATTATTGTACCTGAAGATGCAAGAGAGTAATAAGACTTTTTCATGCCAAATACTTCAGTGTTAAAGTTCTGATTCATTATGTTGCTGCTGAGGAAAAATATTCCAGCCCTCTGAATTAGGAATAGAGTAAACACAGCCAGGTTGTTTTTTGGTTTTTGTTTTGGTTTTTGCTTTTGTTCAAACTTTTGTTGTACTGAAAAATACATTCTCACACATAAAGAATGTAGATTTCACTAAATTATCACAGAGCTACACCTGTGTAACTACCACTCAGGGCAAGAAATAGAATACTGTCAGTGCCCCAGAAGCGCCCCTCATGCATCCTCCTAATCACCACCCATCGCCTTCCCAGAAATAGCCACTGTTATAACTTCTAACACTATAGTTTTGTTTTGCATTTTTTTGAGCTCCATATACATCATATATGTATATTTTGTATCTAGCTTCTATCAAAATTACATGGGTAAGTCATTCTTGTTTCTTGTAGGAATAGCTGTATACTCTTATATAAATATACCATAATTTATCTATTTTTCTCTTGATGAGAACTTGGGTTTTCAGTTTGAAGCTAAGCTATTATGTTTTTGAACATGCTTGTACAAGGTTCTTGGTGCACATTTACATGCATTTATGTTTGGTAAAGACACAGTGGTGGGATTGCTGCATATTTTCAACTTCAGTAGATAAAGCCAAATTGTTTTCTGTGGAGATTATAGCAGTTTGTCCTCCCTTCAGAAGAGTATGTGAGTCCTCACTGCTCTGCATTCTTGTCGACACTTGCTATTAAGCTAATATAATTTTAGCTATTCTGGTGGGTATAAAGTAGTATCCTGTAATTTTAATTTGTGTTTCCTTGGCTACTAGTGAGGTAATCTTACAAATGAGCAACCTTACAAATGTGTATTAGCCATTTAGTTATTTTTTCATGGGTAAATACCTATTCTGGTTTTCTTTTTAATTTTTCTGTTGAGTTTTCTGCATTTTTTCTTATCAATTTGTAGGAACCTGTTACTGGTTACATGTGTAGAAAATATTCTCTCCTACATTGTGTCTGGCCTTTTCTCCCACTCATTAGTAATTTTAGGTGTGGAGAGAGGTTTTTGTTTTATTTTGTTTTTCTTAAAGACAGGGTCTCACTATGTTGCCCAGGCTGGTTTCAAACTCCTGGTCTTAACTGATCATCTTGCCTTAGCCTCCTGAGTAGCTGAGATTACAGGCATTTAATATACTAGAAGTTGGGTATAGCTCAGATGACAGAGGACTAGAGAATACCTCTCATGTTACATTGACCCCCTTCCCTGGAGTAGACCTTTTTCATTTTCTTAGATATTTTGGGGCACCGGGAATGATATTCATATATAGATTACACCTGGATATTAACCCAGACTCCCTTCTCTACTCTTCCAAGATGATTAATTTTAGTAGGCATGGTTCCCTGCCAAGAAGCACTTGGCAGCAGTCATTTCAAGGAAGTTGTAACTGAATACCCAGGGATCTAGGATGTGCGTTTTCACTAGCGGCTAAGGATTTGCCTCAGCAGCCCATGAAAAGCTCTGATTCACATCAGAGGGCTCCATACCTGCAGGGCTCACACTCTATATTAAAGACCAAGAGGCCATTGGTATAGAGGGTGTGCTTAGGACATTCCAACCCCCCTCCCAAAGAATGATATTCTACTTATTTAGGATTAAGATTATTTTGAGGAGCAGATCTCTTAGAATGATGTCTAGAACAGCTATAACACTGATGAGCTAAATACATCTAAGTGCAAAGTAGTTTTTGGATGCTAACTGAGTAGTCAAGATATCTAAGCTGAAGCAATCTGACCTTATTTTTGTCTGCCCTAATGTGGAAACCCCAGAATCTAGAGCCCTGGATCATGATAGGTGTTATTCTTAGGATGCAGCCTAATAGTTGGTGTTCTGGGTTGCATCTCAGTCCAGCTTTCCAGTCTGGCTGCAAATGTGAGCACTGAACTGTGGACACTAAAGGAAAGTATGAAACCATGTTGGCATATCTGGTGGAGCACCTGTTGATTGTTTTTTCTAGGCTGAGCGTCAAGCTATCAACACAATAGTCCAAGGATCAGCAGCTGATATTGTCAAAATAGCCACAGTTAACATTCAGAAGCAATTAGAGACCTTCCACTCAACCTTCAAATCCCATGGTCATCGAGAGGGTATGCTCCAAAGTGACCAAACAGGTTTGTTCATAGATGAGGCCTGTGCTGTAACATGATGAGAATAATTGTATCAGAAATGTAAATGGGAAGTATTTTTTATTTTATTTCTCAACAGTTCTCAAATGTTTTGGTCTCATGATGTCTTTATACTATTAGAAATTATTAAGGATTTCAAAGAGCTCTTGTTTTTGTGGGTTATGTCTATATATTTACCATATTATAAATTAAAACAGGGAATTTTAAAACATTAACATTTAAAGTAATTACAAACTCACCATATTTTGACATGTCACATATTTTTATGAAAATAACTACATCTCTTAAGAACTAAAGAAAATTCTTGATAGGTGGCTTTATTTTACATATGTGTAAATCTCTTTAATGTTTGGCTTAAGAGAACACAGCTGGCTGTTTGTATCTGCTTCTGTATTCAATCTGTTGTAATATCACATGTCCTGTAACCCTCTTTGGGAAACTCTGTACAGTCTGGGATGATGCATGTCTCAATTTGTGGGAGACGGATGAGTTTCCCAGGATGTGGAATTTCACTTCTATACCAGGACAGTTGGCCACTTTGCTGCACTCTTACAAGAAAATAAAACTGAAAAAGGCAAATAGCCTCATAGTGTTATTATGAAAGTAATTTTGACTGCAGATTTTGGGATCCTCTGTGGTCTTCAGACCATACTTTAAGGATATGTTGATATTCCTATTTATGACCTTCAGTGTTCTCTGATCTTAGAATATACTCTTGATCTCTTTATCACATATGTTCCTTTGCTGATATTGTTTTCTTGTTCTTACTTTCAGAATATTTTCCCTGAGTTTTCCCTTTATTGCTTGGATAAATTATTTCTTGTACTAACAAGTACAGTGAAATTTTCTTTTTTTCTTCTGTCACATTCCATATTTCTGCTTTAAATACCATTTCACTGTCACTGAGATTGTCAAACCATGACAGCAGACTTTTTTTGTTTTTGAGACAGAGTTTCACTCTGTCACCCAGGCTGGAGTGCAGTGGCACGATCTCAGCTCACTGCAACCTCTGCCTCCTGGGTTCAAGGGATTTTCCTGCCTCAGCTTCCTGAGTAGCTGGGATTACAGGAGTGTGCCACCATGCCTGGCTAATTTAAAAAAATTTTTTTTTTAGTAGAGAGGGGGTTTCACCATGTTGTCCAGGCTCTTCTGGAACTCCTGACCTCAAGTGATCTGTCTGCCAAGCTTGGCTTCCCAAAGTGTTGGGATTACCAGCGTGAGCCATCACACCCAGCCAGGAGGCATGTTTTAAATTTTCCTGGGAAGAAATTAAGGTTTGGTGCATACAGAGGAAGAAAAAGCTGCTAGAGATGGGGCAGAAAGGTCATGATTAGTTATTGAGGATGAGATTTGCTATTTCTAGAAGAGACATACATACAGGTTATAGAGAATAATACAGCCAGTTATAACGTGTTCACTTACGTACAAAAATACGTAGATAACAAAAGTTTATTTTCTCATTAAGTGAGGATTATTAATATTGTCATCAGTCCCCCTTGAAATACCTGAGGCCCCTCATTCATTTTCAGTGTGGGACTATGTGTGTATATACACACACATACACATTTATATTTAATTGAGAGAGAATATATAATTAAACTCATTTGGGGAGTAATACTGTGCTGTGTGCTTTGGGGATTTAGAAGTAAAAGTTATCAATCTATCTTTAAATTTAAGTTCTATTTAAGAAAGGAGAGGAAGATATGATACCTGACTGAAGTATTTGTATTAATTCCACACAGCAGAGTGATAAATGTCAAAATGAGGATACAGACAGTAATGACTTTAAGAGTCAGTGGAAGGCGATATGGCTCTGTCGCTGAGGA
The DNA here is from genome assembly GCF_000001405.40 of Homo sapiens. Classification (NCBI taxonomy): domain Eukaryota; kingdom Metazoa; phylum Chordata; class Mammalia; order Primates; family Hominidae; genus Homo; species Homo sapiens. The sequence continues at coordinate 121,434,280 of NC_000003.12, read as the reverse complement.
TGGCTTCATGATGTCATGCCAGCTTAAAGTAGCACTAGGTCAGTAGGATGAAAGGAAGGTGAGCATGAGGAAGCAGACCATATGGGGAACAAGAGCATCATGGCATTCTAGGTCAGAAGCCAGGTAGCCAAGGGAAATCAAGAGGGCAAAGGCATGGTCATCAGAAAGCAGAAAAGCTAGAGCATCCAGACAGTCAATGGTGTGAGCCAAGTGTGGCTTCATGGGGCAGATCCGATTTCAGCTGAACAGGTGAACAGAGGTACAGCCTTTGCAGTCCTAGTGTGGAAGCAGCTTGCTGCAGCCTCAGGTGATTTTGTTTGCTTACTGTGTGAGAGCCACCTCTGAGCAAACTGGCACTGCAGATAGTGACAGTTGAAGAACTCTCTCCCTGAGGGAAGCACCAGATACTGAGGGAGATGTTACTCATGCTGGACCTGAAAGATAAGTAGGGAATTTGGACAACAGAAAGGAAGATGACTACTGTGAGGTTTAAGCAAACAAGTAAAGGCAGTTCCAGTAAAGGTGTTCATGTTGAGCTTTATCTTTTTGGTCAGAAGGGCATAATCTGTACCACTAGATCCAGCTAATGAGGAAATAGTAACTAAGTCTAGTATATATTTTGGAGTTATGGCTACTGGAAGGTATGGATTATCTCCACAGAAAAACGTACAGACATAGACTCTTACATATAACTGCAAGGGGTTTATGTACTCTCTGAAGTCCACTTTGGGAGCCTAGGTTTTACAATTACTTGTTTGGAGTGTGTACGGTTCAATTGGGGAAGCACCAGTTCTATCACGATGACACTTCTGGCCATAAAAAGACATGAGGGAGTGTCCCCCTTAAGAAACAGTGCCTAACAATATTAGTTTGCTTTCCTGGGGCAGGAATCAGGCCCCATACCTCCCTGGTGCTATTACTCAGATGGTGGTTGGGGGACTCCATGGATAGAGAAAATGTTAGTTATTCATGAGAAATAAGTTGGACTAGAGCTTGGAGCAGAGTTCCTCACACCCCATTTACTGACTTCTTTGGGAGACTCCTTCTTTCTAGGAGGAAGTTTGTGAGTTTATACCGGATACTTAGGGTAGGTAGCGACCAGCAAGTAGTTATTTTCCTGATAGTTCTTATTCTTGTGTGTTTTAATCTTCTCATTAAAATTCCTCAGAGTTACTCAGAATCTCTAAAAACATTCTCCTATGACTTAGCGACATGCTGATCAGTTTTGCTCCTTTTTCATGAAGTAGGATTGTCACGAAAGAGAAAACTGCAAGGGATGTTCTGCCCAATCAGAGGAGGCTTCTTCATCCTTCAACTCCATGATGAACTCCTATATGAAGTGGCAGAAGAAGATGTTGTTCAGGTATTTTTGCAATGCTTGTGTCCATTCCATAGGAAGACAAGACACTGTATTGTCAGGCCGACAGCTTTGTTTCCTGTGCATGAGGATTTTGGAACTCTACCCTAGCCCTGGGATGGCTGTATAAATATTGAGTCCTTACAGGTAGAAAAGGAGCTAAGAGTGTTCCGTTTTGTACTAGTTCTTAATAAGTGAAGAATTGCCAATGCAAGATGTTTTTGTCTTGGAGGAATTAAACAAAAATTTGGAGTCTTTCCCTTAGGGTTTCTAAGCTCCAAGCATTCTAGCAAAAACTTTCAGAAATTCCTGCTCATCAGTGAAGAAGAGTATGAGATGTCTTTTTATTTATTCATTTATTTATTTTATTTTTTATTTTTTCTGATTTAGCATTTTAAGCACCATTGGGTGAAGAGCTCCAGTCTGGTTTATAACTTTCTCAGGGGATGGTTTGGGAAACATTCTTTGACTGGGCAGTTTGTTAACTACATTTTTTTTTTCCTTAGGTAGCTCAGATTGTCAAGAATGAAATGGAAAGTGCTGTAAAACTGTCTGTGAAATTGAAAGTGAAAGTGAAAATAGGCGCCAGCTGGGGAGAGCTAAAGGACTTTGATGTGTAACTGTGCTGTTGATGAAGTCCTCCCAGGGAAGCCTGTGCAGATGCAGTCACCTGGAAAGAACAGAGATTACCCTTTCACCTACCTCAGCAAAACAAACTTTCAAGTCTTGATAGACTTAGCCTAGTAATTTTATAGTGAGAGTTTCAAACTATATATCAGTGTCTATAGCATCAAAAACTTCTGGGGGCGTGGGGGAAGTAGAATACCAAGTATAATAGTTACATTCACTTTCAAAGAGCATCTATGAATTTGCCTTTTGTAACTTACTGTGGCTTTAAACATATTCAGAACAGATGCTTGAAATATGCACTTAGCACTTTGGTTCCACATCTGTCTGGGTAAACCATGAAGAAAATGAAGCTGCTGCCTCAATCGACCCAGACAGCAGCCATAGGCAGATAAAGATTTGGTTTCACCCTGGTGGTGGTAGGCATCGTGTGTGACTTTTTTTCCTCTAATATCAATTTTACAGTACGGAAATAGTATTTTAAAATAGTATTGGCTAATAAATTATGAATTCTATAAAGTAGTAAGACTTGGTATGGTTGGAGTGTAGGAATGAATATTCATGAAATGTTTCTTATTGCTTTTCCTTCCCTAATTCATACAATGAATGTATTTGGAATACTTACATATTATAAAATAAACTATACCTCTTCAAGAGGTATCCTGTTCTGTAAGATCAGATGTTTTTATTGCAGGTCAATATAATACTGCCAGAGACAGAAAATACCCCCTTATCAGTCCCTTAGTGCCTCTTTCTGTTTGTGGCATGGTGAGAAAACCCATGCTGAAAAGATTGTACTTTGTGATCCCAATCAGAGGGATGGAGCTAATCTTTTTGCTGTTGAAATAAAATGAATTTATGAGAAACTTTATATCAACAATTGTTTTGTTAAAAATTATAGTTGGTCTAAGAGTGTCCCTTATTTAGTTACTCCATAGCTTGTTCATAGGAAACACTGATTATATTCTTAATCAGTTACCAGAAGAGCTCTTTTATGTTTATTAATCAGAATAATGAAAAAAGATAGTTGCTTTATAAAATGTAATGCATTATCAGTAGTTGGGTATTAATGCATAAGAGACTTAGACATAGTTTTTTTGGGGTGGCAGGGTGAGAAAGGCAGAGATGGCAGCAGTAAGAGGGAAGAATATCATTATTTCTTTTTCCATATTTACCTGTACTATGTTTCTCAGAAGCTGAAGTGCTGTCAGTATTCTGGTAGGCTTGAAAGATCTGGCACAAGAGAAAGCTCAATCTGTTTACCTGTGAGTGTTCTTCAAACATGAGGGCAAGCAAAAGTCCCTTCTGCCTCATTCTCTGCAGCCATGGCCCAGCATGTGTAGTCACATGCATTTTCTCATTCTGTTTGACCTGTCAGCTGGACCTGAAACAGGCCATCCCCATTTTGCATGATTCAGATGTGCACAAATCCCAGTTACTATGGTTTACTTAATAACATGAGTCTCCCCTGCAACACAATTCAAATTTCAGTTACCAGTGGATATTAACTGTGAGTAACTGCATGAAATTCAAACTTCACTGATAGTTCTTCAAACCACAACCACTGTGTAAATAAGAAATGCACATTGTGTTATGCAGAATAATGCCCCCCACCCCAAAGTTCACATCCTAATTCCTAAAATCTGTGAACTATTATATTACATGGCAAAAGGGACCTTGTTGATGTGATTAAGTTAGAGATCTTGAGGTGGGGGATTATCCTGGATTATCTGAATGGTTCCATTGTAATCACCAGGGTCTTTATAAGAGGGAAGCAGATGGTCAGAGTCAGGGAAGATGTGACAACAGAAACAGAGAAAGATTTGAAGATGCTACACTGCTGGCTTTAAAGTTGGAAGAAGGGGCCATGAGCCAAGGAATGCAGGAACCCTCAAAAAATTGGAAAAGGTAAGGAAATGGATTCTCTCCTAGAACCTTTTGAAGGGATGTAGCCCCGCCAACACCTTGACTCTAGCCCAGTTAAGACCATTTTGGACCTCTGTCCTTTAGAACTGCAAGACAATTATTTGAATTGTTTTGAGCTAGTAAGTTTGTGGAATTGGTAGCAGTAACAGGATATTCATACATGCATCATGATGAGGACCAGTTACATCACTTCTTCCAAAGGCTGTCTGTGATTGGCTACTTCACATCTGTTATTCACTTTACTTGCAGATGGCAAAATGTAGTTGTGTTGATTGCTTGTCTCCCAGTGGTAAATCCACATTATACAAAAATGGATAATCAAAAGTAGAAGTTGGCTAATAAAGATCAAAGTGTACCAGAGAAGTAAAAAATAACACTGGAAGTGAAATTCAAATTGAACATAAATGGAATTACAGAAGAACTACCTGCCTGGGAATGCTGACACTACTGCTGTTTGAGATACAGTAGATAGGCAACCTGAGAAACAGTAAAGGCACAATTTACATAAATGAGGAAAATGGTTGTGACAAAAGGATAAAGATGTCCCAGAGGAAGCGATGCCAACAAAAAACTTCATTAATTTTTAATCTATAACTTTAATTCCATCAAAGTCTCATCAGGATTTTATATTTTTTAGATAGATAGTATCTTAAAACTCACCTGAAGAAAAACCAGTACCTGGCCGGGCGTGGTGGCTCACGCCTGTAATCCCAGCACGTTGGGAGGCCGAGGCAGGTGCATCACGAGGTCAAGAGATCGAGACTATCCTGGCCAACATGGCAAAACCCCCTCTCTACTAAAAATACAAAAAATTAGCCGGGTGTGGTGGCGGGTGCCTGTAATCTCAGCTACTTGGGAGGCTGAGGCAGGAGAATCACTTGAAACCAGGAGGTGGAGGTTGAAGTGAGCCGAGATTGCGCCATTGCACTCCAGCCTGGACAAAAAGAGCAAAACTCTGTCTCTCACACACACACACACACACACACAAAATACCAGTACCTATCAAACTTGAGAAATAACAAAGATTTGTATCAGATATTAGGATGTATTACAAAGACATAATAGTTTCAAATTATATATAGGGGATAGAAATAGGTAAGAGTATTAAAACAGACTAAAGAATTTAAGAAACAGACTTATATGAGAAATGATTAAAATGTCATTTCAAATTAGTGGTGAAAGATGGGCTGTTCATAAACGCGATGTAGTGATAAGAGTATCCATTGGTAAAAATATCAAGTTGGATCTCTATCTCAAATGCTCACAAAATACTCCAGATGGATTAAAAGCCTAAATATTTAAAAGAAGACTATGAAAGTAAATTAAAAAAATATGAGAATGTTTATGACTTTATAGAAATAAAAGCCTGCTTTAAAACAAAGTTCTAAAATCATAAAGGTAAAAGATAAAACTTGACTACATTATAAAGAAAAATTTTCAGTATAAAAGGGACATCAATAAAGTTAAATCATGAAAGACACTGAACTGTCTAACCCAGGGGCCATGGCACAACAGCAAATCCAAAGCAGATCCATAGCCTAAGTAAGGCTGAGTTAGCAAGCGAGTACCATATGGTGCTAACCCCAAGTGAGAGCAAACCACACATTCATCAGTTGTACTTCAGCACATATCAGTGGAAGGTGCTCAAGGGTCACAACAGACCAGCCACTGTTACAGAGTCCCAGAGGATCCAAGGAGGAAGACAAGGACCAGCACCCCTCCTTCCTTATCATGAGTTAATATAAGCCTTCCCCTAAACCCAGAAGCCAATCTTGTAAGGAGGAAGAGGGAGAGACTACAGAATTCCTAGGAAGACTCAAAGGCAAGGAAAACTCAGTCATAGAAAATAAGCTACATTTTAAAAATCAACAATAGACAAATGATCTGTAGTAGAGTCTGACTCCATCTTTTGATGTTTGCTGACAAGTTTTGAGCCTCTATTCTCCCACTTCCTCTTCTGTCCACATCTGAGTAAGCTGAGAAGAAATCCAATGCTCCCTTCTTTGGTGCCAGTGGGATTTTCAAACCCTGCAAGCCCCATGCTGCAACCCCTGGCCCACCTTCTGACCACAATAAAAACCCAGTCTCTTCCTTGTTCTCTCAAGTTGCCTTGCTCTCTGCAGAAAGCCTCACTGAGTAATAAACCTTTTCGTATCAGAAAAATTCCAATTAAAACAATAAGATGCCATTTTCATCTTTCACAGTGTGAAAAAATAAAAATATTTGAAAATAGGTGAAGATGAGACTAATTTTTATACACTGGTAGAAGAATAATTTAGTCAACATCTATTTAAATTGTTTAAATGAGCATGCCCTTTAATTCAGCAATTCCACTTGACATTAACATCTTCCTTAGAGAAAACACTTGCATGTATGCAAAATACATGTGCAGATGTTCACTGCAGTCTTGTTTGTAATATCAAGAGATTGGAAAATATCTAAATACTAGTTAAGAGTGGTAGCAAGTTATGGTTTATTGACACCATGGGATAATATAAGTGAGTTAAAAAGAATGAATTATAGGTACTGACAAAGAACGATCTGAGACATAGTAGAGACATGAATAAGCACGTTGCAGCATAGAAAAATTTTTTAGAAGGAAACACAGCAAACTATAACTCGTTAGTTTAGATGAGTAGGAGGTAACCAAGGGAAATACTCACTTGATCTTGTCTAAATTTATCATATGACTATTACAATATGCATTTATGTATTATTTGTGCAGTTAAAATACATTTTAAAAAATGTTTAAATAATGGTTGGATTCCCAAATCAGCTCACGAGACTATTGTTGAAGCTGCAAAGCCGCTGTCCATTTGCTATGAAAGGTAGAAGACAATGCCATTGAAGTGCAAGTAATACAACAAGATTGGAAATATTTTATTTTTATAACTTTATTTTGGAATAACTTAAAACCTAGGTAAAAGTTTGAAGAATACTACCAAGAATCCCAATCAAGTCGGAAATCACCATTCAAGTTTTGTTAATTTCTCCAGTTATGTCATTTATAGCAAAAGGGTCCAATCCAAGACTAAGAGTTGCACCTAGTTGTCATGACTGTCTAGTCTCCTTAAATCCAGAACATACATCCTTCCTTGACTTTTATGACACTGAAAATTTTTAATAGAGGGCAGATATTTTATAGAATGTCACTCAATTTGGTTTTGTTTATTGCCTCATGATTAGACCTTGATTCTGCCTTTTTGGCAGGAATATTGCAGAGGTGATACTGGGTTCTCACTCACTGCATCCTGTCAGGTGGCGCATGATGTTGATTTGTTCCCTTGCTGGTGGTGGTAACTGATCACTTGATTAAGATGGTGTCTGCCATGTTTCTCTAGTTACAGTTTTCTTTATGATTAGCAAATGTTTTTTTGTGAAGATACTTTGACTATGGAAATGTCCTCTTCCTCTGTCCCACTTTACCTCACTAGTTTTAGCATCCACTGGTATTTGTTGCCCAAGTCGTTATGATAATGGTTGCTAAATGGTAATTTCAAAATTCCATCTACATTTATTTATTTGTTGACATTCTATTGTAAGAAAGAGTTTTTGCTTTCTCCTTTTATTTATATTAATGTGGACTAGTGTGTACTTATTAAGTTACTGTTATGACTTTTGATGCTTTTTCCTTTTTCTTTTCATTATTATTATTATTTTTTTTTTTGGGTAGAGACAGGGTCTTGTTATGTTACCCAGGCTGGTCTCGAATTTTTGGTCTCAAGCAATCCTCCCACCTTGGCCTCCCAAAGGGCTGGGATTACAGGCATGAGCCACTGCACTTGGCCTTGATGCTCAAATTATACCTGATTTGTCCTAAGCTAGCTTGTCCTTAAGCTTGTCCTAAGCTAGCATGTCCTTAAGCTAGCTGCTGTTTCCTTTTGACATGTCCCTATTCTTTGAATACTTTATTTTCTGACACAAAAATGTTCCTTAAAATCAGACATTTCTTCATAGAGCTCCAGTTCCTTTTAGCAGAGAATAGTAATTGGAAATCAATATCCAGGCACTAGTTGTGCTCATTGCTCCAGGGTGTGAGGGGCTTGCTCCCTGTCCTCTTGGTGTGCAGAATTAGGAAATATATATGTACCACACAGGCACGTGTGCACACACACACCTTTATATCACATATGTATGTAAACTATGTAGCGATACCCATATATATTTGTATACATTATTTATACACACTTTATATATATGTAAAAATTTATACTTATACTTCCTATTCTAATCTAATACCACAGGGTTTATTCTAGCTTTCCCTTTTAATTTTTCCTTTCTTTGTTCTCCATCAGGGAGAAACCTGGCTCCCATAGTATCAATGTACTTGTTAATTGCTCAGTACCCTGTAGGTAGCCAACCTCCTGACCCCACCGGGCTGCCTTCTGCCCTGCTCCAGTGCCAACATCACACGCCATCACTGACCACTGAAGGGTTGACCCTGCCACTTCCCTCCAGTGCTGTCTCCTGTGGGCTGCCCTTCTCACCCTACTCCAATGCAGTCTTTGTATGGGGATGCCATCACCAACCTTTTTGAGTGTGGCTGACTTTTGGAATGAATGAATGAATGAAAGGAAAGAAAGGAGGAAGGAAGGGAGGAGAGGAAAGGGCAGCAGGGAACAGAGGGAGGGAGGGGGTGAGGAAGAAACAGAAAGGAAGGGAAGAAGGAAGAAAGGAAGTCGAATCAGTATTTCAAATATTGAATGCAAGTATCTGAAGCTTGAGTTATTGTAATTCAAAAATAAGAAGGTAAATGGATCCCTTTGAAGAAATTCTGCTAGAGAAAAATTCTGAAAAGGAATTTGTATTTTAAAGGGTCAGTATGCATATTTGTATTTTTAATCAACAAGTTTTTTAGCCTAGAGTTGGTTGGCTGTTTTTTCCAATTTTTATATGGAACTAAAATTAGGAGAAAAATTATGGCGGTGGGGAAATTTTCCTGAGATTAAATTAGACAGGATTTGGAAGAATAAAGTCAGTTGTTTATGGCCAGAGTATAGATAAATATGGGGAAAGTGCCTGGAGAGGAATTAACTATGCTTATGAAAGCCAGAGGCGCAGGAGAGCACACTCTCCAGAGAACTGTTGGAGGTCTTGAGTTAATGAATGTTTATCATAACTACTAGGAGCTGGAATAAGCCCATAGTAGCTTAATTTTTCTGCCTGGATGAGGACAAAGCCTGAGCTGAAAAGAAGTGAGGAAGTAAGGTCTGCATGTTGAGTTTGTAGGTACATCTTACCCACCTTGGTTTCGTTTGATGCATTATTAACAAATTATTTTTGCTTGTACTTCACTGAAGGTGGACTTCAATCAACATCGTCAAAAGTTGTCTTTAAAGTCTTCCAACAAAAAGTAACACATCTCCTCAAATTGATGGAGATTTTGAATGGCTATTGGGTTAATAAATTCTAGTACAATGTGTGAGTTTTGGGAAGTTGTATTTGATAGATTTGCTGTACATTGCTCTCCCACCCCCTCCCTGCTTTTTGAAAACAATTAACACTTTGCAAAACCATAGTTCATACTGTTATAAATGGGTCTTACCTCTGTCCATATGTAATCTTGGAAAAAATCATTAGTGCATGACATCATGACATAAGAGAGCATCTATGTACAAACATATACAATTTTATTGATATCTCTACAGACTACAAGAATTTTGTTAAGTATAGTCACAATTGCTGAGTGCAACAGAAAAATAGTAATTTGTCATTTTCTGAAAAGATGCAAAAATTCTGAAGATGAAAGAAAGATACATCAATGATGTCATCTGTTTCTTATTTCCTAGAATAAAACATCACATAATTAAGTACTAAAAATTATAGGTTATTAGAGATTCTGTTCCTGTGTACAATTGTCCAAAACCACCATCTAGTTTATTTTCTGGCTTTGCAGTCAAGAAGGGTGGGCCAACAGCAGAGGGAAAGCAGTATGAAAGGCAATAACTCTGAGTTTCTTCTCATTATGTGTTACTGCCTTTGATAGGCTGGACTCTCCTTTTTTGAAGGTGTAAGCACCCTTTCAGGGCACTGGATGTCATATAGGAAGTTACAGGTATTCTTTTCCTTTAAACACATGTCCAAAGACTAAGAAAATAAATCCAAGTGGCCCTGGGAGCTTTTGATTGAGATAACAATCAAAAAGGAAGATTTGTTCTTCCTTTTTGCTAAGACCAAGTCCAGTGAAATATACCTACAGCAGAACAGGTACCTGGTACCCATGTCTCCTCCAGAAGAAGAATGAATAATAAATTTGGACCTAATTTAGCAAATGATTGTTTTGAGAATTTCCACTGTCTAAATATGAAGAATTAGTTTTCCACTTAGCTTTATATGCTCTTGAATTTACTGTGCTACTTCTGGTATCTTGTGATGTCACATGTGTAAGACAATTGAAAAAAAACCTAGACCTTTGAATTGGAATAATTGATGGACAAGTCACATAGGAGAATATCACAAAGATGATTATTAAGAGTTGATGGAGCACTGCCTGGTCAGAAATTCTCAAATGCTTTTGTTCTGTGAGACATACAGAATAAATACCATTACTATATCTTACATCTTGCCTTCCCTGACCACTCAGAACTGGGGCTGGAGCACCAGCCAAGGCAGACAAACAAGGTTTCCTTAGTTGGCCATAAAGCAGTGATAATCAACTTTGGCTGGACATTAGAACCGCCTTGGAGGCTTTCGCAAATATTGGTGTCTGGTTCCCACTCCAAATGATTTTAATATAATTGGGAATTTAAAAATTTCCTGAGGTGATTCTTATGTACAGTCAAGGTTGAGAATCACTCCTCTAGATAAATGTGTAAATCAAAGCATCCATCTGTGCATCTGATTCCTTAAAGCCTCTTTCACTTCACTGTGGCTCCCATGTCCTTCCTCACCACGATCTTCTTGCACCAAATTGGTACTTCCTCCTCCTTTTCTAAGACAGACCTTACCTATTCTACATTTCATGCTTTCAGGGCTATGTTGTCTGCAAATACACACACTAAACTTGTTATGTTGACAACCATGTTCCCTGGAATGGTGCATACTAGAGGTACTGCTCAAACCAAGTACACCACAAGTATTTCTGGCACCCAGGACAGTGTGCATGTGAAATAGTACCTAGCCAAAAATGGAGTTGCATGACAGAGGACAGAGGTGAAGAAGCTGTGAAAGCCACCACGTTTCTCCTGACACAGATACCAAGACCTGATATGAATGTTTTGACTTCTTTTGCATTGCCCTGTGTGAGCCAACATGGTCAAGTTACAATTCTTTTTTCTCATAGCAGCAGGTTGTAATCACACAGATATACTCCCAGTTTGACCCAATGATCCTAAGCCAAGGAGAGGATTTTTAGCTTACTTTTCTAGATTGGCTTCATTTTTCCCTTCTGCTTGAATATAAGAATCTATTTTAATCTTCTTCAACCAATGTTAGGCCTAATCTGATTCTTTTTTCTCTCAAAGTCATGGTGATCCCTTCATGTAGATAAAGTATAGATGATGCCTTTAAAACTGGTACATGGGTCACATAAAAAGGGACTCCAACAGTAAACCTTTTCCTTCAGATCCCTAGAAACTTTGAGGGAAAGGAGTTGGATTTTGATTTATTTATTTGAGAATCACTTTCAAAAGATCTGAGAAAATTGTCTTTGTGACTGAATCACTGGAAAACATCTCATTCAGTTCTGTCACTGTCCTTTCAGAGTTCCAGTTAGACAATGATCTTGACAATGATTGGGGCCCTAAAGTCTGGGGCTCAGTGAAGTGTAAGAAGCAAAGTCAGTAGTACTGCTTTTGTAGGTGATTAAAACAAATGAGGAATCAATCATTCCTCCCTCCAAACTCCAAGACTAATGGATGATTTCAAGGTAGGGACTATTGCTCACGTTATTATCAGGGAAACAAATACCTCTAGCTTCTCACAGATGAATAAATGAAAAGGCCCATTTTCTACTGTAACACTAAAAAGGCCTTATCTTCCAAGGAAATCATAGGGAGACAAGGTCAACTTGTTGGGACTGTGGTTTGCAAGCCTTATCTTCTGATGTCGCTTTAGCAGATAGAATGTAATTTTGATGGTAACTAAGGCTCAGAGTCACTTTCTGTATCATTGTCCAAGTTATTAGGAGTATTTTTCTTATGTTCCGAAATAGAAGAAAGATAGTAAAGATGAGACTATGCAAAGGATTACATGGATCAACAGTACTTATTTTCCAAAGATGAGGATAAGATGATGATGGTAGTGGTGGCGATGGTGTGTGTGTGTGTGCGTGCGTGCTAAGGTCAGTGCAACAGAACAGAATTGTTCAAAGAGAAAAATCACATCCACATTAGATTCTTCTTATTGCTATCATCTCTTTGAATTATAAAAATAATTTTGATACAGTAAAACCTCATTAATTTGGATTCCACTAACCAGGAGTTTGTGAGATGAAGTTACCCTTACGTTAAGGAAGGGCTTATAAAAGCAATTTTGAAAGACACGTTTTAACTACTTCAAAGAGCCTTTTCTTTTCAAGCATTTGAGAAGCACCTGTTTACTTCCAATTGGTGTGCTAATTATAAACTTTTGATCTATTCACTGAGGCCAAGGTTTTAAGCACTTCTACAGTGAAATGCTATAATGTCCTTTTTGATATTTTCTCTGTGTGCCTTAAAATATTCTGTAGTTGTTATTTTTCACTGATTCCTATAAGCTTTCTTCAAAATTGTATCTTATTGCATATGAACCACACATGTAATTTTGGGTATAATAATTTATCTTGCTAAGACATTGTATACTTATTGTACAGTTTTATACAACAACATATATTACATATTCACACAATCTACCTCTTTGTATGATGTAGAATAGTGGCTGTGAACTGGGAGAAATTTTGGCAATGACTGGAGACATTTTGATTGTCATTACTAGGAGGTTCTTACTGGCATCTAGTAGACAGAGGCCAGGGATGTTGCTAACATCCTACAATACACAGGACAGTTCCCCACAACAAAGACTTTCAGCTAATAGTGCTGCTTTTGAGAAATCTCGATGTAGATCAAGTTAAAACAAGTTAAATCTTATTGAAGGCTTCAGAAATACTCATCAAATGTACTGCTACTTTGGACTGAATTTCATTATTTCTAAAATAAACTAATATTTTACTCTTTTAGTTTTTTTTAAAATACAGAAACGATAAAGTATTTGTTCTGAAAATCAGAAAACTAAGTCTTTGAAACAGATGGTACAAAGAATACATTGCAATTTGGCCACTAGTATTTTCTAGATCCTACTCTTAAGTTTCTTTAATATTTTTACCATATAATTTTATAATTCTATAAATTATACAGTCATGTAATGTCTGTGTTTCCAAGCCAGATTCTGTTACCGTAAGGCTGTTCACAGGAGTCTGGGAGATTCAGAGAGGCTTTCTTAACAAGAGGATTCAAGGACTCTGAGAAATGCTATCCTAGTGTACATTATCTAACTCTTTCACTCATCTTTGTTCTCCTCAAAATTACTGAGAACATTGTACCACTAGAAACATTTGCTAGAAAGTACAACTTCTAGCAAAAAATTAGACTAAAAAGGAAATAAAAATACGATTTTTTGGCTAATAAAATAACCTGAAATCCAGGAAAATTGTGAAGTCTTAAGAAACACAAATGTAAATCCAATGAGACCTTGATAAACAAAAATTCAATAAGCCAAAACCATAATTAAAACTTTTCTTGACGAAACAACATATTACAGGATGGGTCCTGGAATGTGTATATATACATTCCTATAACTTTTGACTTCCAGAATCATGTTAAATGGTAGTAGGTGTCTCTATTTGGTTTTGACTCTGGTGCTTTTCTGGTGAGTTATAGATACCTTGTATCATGTTAAGGATATTCTTTATTCCAGCTTTAAAAGAGTCTTTAATAAGGGACAAGTGTTTGGCATCTATTGACATAATCTAGTGGCTTATATTATTTGACCTAGGGACAAAAGCATTGATTTTGTATCATTAAACTCTTTATGTATTTCTATTGTCTATAATGATGACTGAGACCAAGATAGCAAACAGATCACTATATTTTATAAAGATTTCCAGTGGTAAGTATCGAACCAATTTCCAGTGGTAAGTATCAAACCGAAAGGTATTTTCTAAGGAAAGCCCTTGTAAATCAGAAATGTCATAAATCAGAATCCCTTTCCCAAAACATTAACTGAGATTTTACTGAATCACACTAAAGAGAATGACCAGTTTGGTTTGTGAATGTCAGGCTGCAAGAGCACCTTTCGATTGCAGACCCTACTGGGTTTGAACAGTAATATACTGTGTAACTGGCAGACAAGGATACAAATGAAGCTTTTAAAATATATCACTTTAGAAGCTGAAATTGGGGTGTGTGAAATTTCCCTTTTTGTGAAGTCAGTTCTCATAGCTAACTCTATTGTTCCTATAGATTCCCCACACCTACTACCAACTCCCCTATAGAGTACAAGCCAGGCTGAAGAAAATGCTTTGAGGTGACCCAACCCTGCATGGTTTGTGCTAAAAACAGCAACCCATTCTGAAGGTGATAGAAATGAAACTGATTGTGTTGGGAATAATTTACTATACTGGCAATATTTGATTTTGACACAACTGTGAATGATGTAAAACATGGAGAGAGAACATTAATCAGACTCTTGCCATAAGAATTCAATAAGGTTCTAGTACAATGAAAGTTACAGATGAGGAGAAAACTCTGGGTTCTTGTTTTGTTTTGTTTTCCGTTTCAGTTGGGTATGGCAAATATATTTGAAATGCACTGACATCTTCAAATGCAGATTTTTTAAATTGTTGAGTGTGGCCCAATTGATAGAAATAGTTTACCATGAATCTTTTTTTCTTCTATCACAACATGCTTTTTTTTCTTTTCCCCTTAAGATGTTAATTTATCATGCAAAGATTTTTTTTCATTAAGTGCATTAATGCTTTTGTTTGTACAGGAATTTTCAAATCAAGAGGACTCCCCGTAGTTACTAAATATAAATCCTTATCGAATGACATGCCAAGATGATAGCTCCATTCCACATGGGAAAAGGCAAATTCAGCCGTATTTTGGGATTTTAACCAGGGCTCCAGCCTTTGGGTTGCACAGTGTCTCTGATACATCTCTTTTATGAAAATTTCAGATTGACTGTAAATGGAACATTTTGTAGAAGAAACTGGCTTCTAGCAGTTGAGTAGTGATGCTGGGAATAAATTTGGTTTCCCTGAATATGGTTTCTCAAAGCAGTCACAGCTTCTTTAGAAGTCAGAATTGGTACCATTTCTTATCCTTGTATTTCAGCATTAACTGCAAAGAAAAAATAGCCACCATAAGACGCTAAAATACTTTAAAAGTGCTATTCAAAGCAAGGCCATTTTGAGCTAATCATGCAAATCTATCTCAAAACTTATAATCAAACTGAGTGGCTTCTTTTATTTTGTGAAATAAAGTGCATATGAGAAAGATTTTAAAAATAAACAAGCTGTAAAGACTCAGCTGATAGAAAATGATTTTTCATGACTGAGACAAAATGGAGGATGTGGATCCCAGATGTATCAGAACCAATGGATAATTTCTTTAATTATCCCCTAAGGTAAAGAAGTATCGATACATTAAAGTATTTTTTTAAAAAACCTTTTATCTCCCAAGCACTGGGAGAATTATAATACTTAGAAGAGATCTAGGTTACCATGATTCTCATACAGGATTACTTATGTGGATCTCTGTTTAAGCTTTCTTGTGCAGATCCTAAATGTTTAAAGTTACTCCTGTATGAAGATGTCTGTATTTACTTAGGCAGTTTACCTCATGTGCATGTTTGGAAAATGCTTCTGCACTGGTCATCATGCCTGCAGTTTTCTCTTCCAGCTCTCCTAGCCTCTGTCCTCTTTCATCAAGTGCAATCCGTGCACGGGTCAGCTCTCCCATCACCCCTCCAGCAGCGCCTTTCATCCCTTCTATACTACCTGGTCCAGGAATGTGTTGCGCAAGGCTGCGGGATGCTTTTCCTGCCGAAGCTTCCCCAACTGAGAATATATGCAATAGCAATTTAAAACATTTTGTCAGTAATTCAAACAGTCAAGCTTGTCACCAAGACAAAGTACTAGTATTACATTCTACTGTCATAATTCTCATTAAAAGAGAGTCTTATTTGGTCCAGTCATATATGTATTTGGAGATGTTAGCACTTAAGAAAAATGCTAAGAAAGAGACTGTGAGATATATTGTTATCATAGGCCTTTTGTATGTGTGTGTGTTCCATACAATATGGCATAATTGCATTTCTTGATGCTGAATTGGAATATTCAAATATGTGACTTCATATTTAACCCATATTAATGTTTGTTCCAAGCTTAGGCCTGATCATTTGCTTAAATTTCTGCCTGAGTTTTTATTTCAGCCTTCTTGGTTCACCTTCATGTATAAGCCTTTGTAGGCCACAGGTTCTCTTTCTCTCTCTTTCTGTCTCTCTCTCTCTCTGTAAATACTGAAAAATGGGGTATATGAATATATGAATGATGGTTATGTGTGTTAAAAAATTGATTTATAAAACAAACATAACATTTACCCATATAAGTTACATATGTTAAAAATTTGTGGCTGGGCACGGTGGCTCACGCCTGTAATCCCAACACTTTGGGAGGCTGAAGTGGGCAGATCACCTGAGGTCAGGAGTTCCAGACCAGCCTGGCCAACATGGTGAAACCCTGTCTCTACCAAAAGTACAAAATTAGCCGGGAGTGGTGACATGTGCCTGTAGTCCCAGCTACTCGGGAGGCTGAGGCACGAGAATCTCTTGAACCAGGGAGGTGAAGGTTGCAGTGGGCTATGATTGTGCCACTTTACTCTAAAGCCTGGGCAGCCAAGTGAGATTCTTTTTTTATTTTTATTTTTATTTTTAAGGAAAAAAAAACAGCTATTTTGGCAGAAATTTAGTTAGAATTCCCAAGGATGTAATATTGGAATGGATTCTAGATTTTTTTTAAAATAAGAGTGGATGGAATCTAATTTTTTTAAAATAATAGCCTTATTGAGATATAATTCACATAACATTTATCCATTTAAAGTGCAAAATTCACTTGTTTTTAGTGTATTCACAAAGTTGTACGACCATCACCACTATCTGATTGCAGAACATACACATAACTCCAAAAAGAAACTCCATGCTCATTGGCAGTCTCTCCCTGTTCCTTCTGTGCCTCAGCCCCTGGCAATCATTAATCTACTTTCAGTCTTTCTGAATTTGCCCATTCTAGACCTTTTATATAAATGGAATCATACAATATGTGGCCTTTTTTTTGTCTGGCTTCTTTCACTTAGCAAGATGTTTTCAAGGTTTATCCATGTTGTACCATGTATCAGTACGTCATTCCTTTTCATGGCCAAATAATATTCTATTGTATGAAGGAACCTAGATGTTTTTGCATAAAAGTTCCAGAGAAAGAGAATTTTGATCTATAGGACCAAATGATGGTAGGATATTCTGGAAAATATATTCATACCTTCTCTCTGAAAATTTTCCCTAGTATCTTCCTATTATTTAAAAATCTACCAGTGAGGCTGGGTGTGGTGGCTCATGCCTGTAATTCCAGCACTTTGGGAGGGTGAGGTGGGCAGATCACCTGAGGTCAGGAGTCCAAGACCAACCTAGCCAACATAGCAAAACCTCGTCTCTACTAAAAATGCAAAAATTAGCCAGGCATGGTGGGCGCCTATAATCCCAGCTACTTGGGAGGCTGAGGCAGGAGAATCGCTTGAACCCGGGAGGCAGAGGTTTCAGTGAGCCTAGATCAGGCCACTGCACTCCAGCCTGGGCAACAGAGCAAGACTCTGTCTCAAATAAATAAATAAATAATAAATAAATAAATAAATAAATAAATAAATAAATAAAAATCTACCAGTGAGACTTTGATAAACAATAATACTTTTTGATTTTGTTTATCAAAGTCTCACTGGTAGATTTTTAAAGTAATTTATTCTGTAGGATTTATAAATCTTACATTCTGAATAAGGAATCTGTTTTCCAGCAGTGATTAAAGTCAAGCAGATTCAAAAATCTTTTTTCCAGACTTTTTTGAATACCTTCACATTGCCATGCAGGTATGATCTACTTGCAAATGAGATATTTATTAGCTTGCTCATTATTTGTATGAATTATATGTATCACTTTTGTTAAACAATTTCCTAATATGAAGTGACCACTTTCCATGTTGGTAAATGGAAATGATTTTTATGGTACAGAAGGAAACAAATATTCAAACTTTAAGATAGATGCAAAAAATACGTAGTCTAGAATTTGAGATCACATATTACATTAAGTTACACACACAAATACACATACACAGAAACGTCTTCTATTTTGCAATACATTTCTATAATCAGGAATTTACTCACAGAGCTCTTCTCTGTCAAATGTTTGTCCGCTTCCACCAAACAGTCCCTTGAGAAAGCCTCTGTTTTGAGCTTCTGGTGTCTCTATGGGAGTAAACAAATCTCCTAGCATGTCCTGCATCAAATTCACAGAAAAAAGCATTAGAACAACTAAAAAATCAATTAATATACAAAAAGGTAACACTGTGATATAGTAGGACACATCATGAAAAAACAGTCTGCTTTTCATATATTTTCATGGTGATTTTTGCTGTGCTCACAGTTCTCCCTCTGGCATTTCTTTTGTTCCTCCCCTTCTATAGTAACAAACATTCTAAAATTTTCCTTTATCCTCTTCTCTTCTTCCTTCCATCAAAGCATGGGAAGCTAATATAGCTACCCTAGGATTAATTTCCATCTGTGCTCAATAATTACCACTAGACTTCTGATCCTTTTTCAGTCACTATAGCTTCTTTTTTATCCTGGTACCCTTCCCTGAACCAAGCATAGACTGCCCTATGAAATAGGACAGCTTTGGTGGTATGTGGAAGGTTGGATCTATTTTTGTAGGAGTACAAAACTATAAAATGATTAAAGATAATTTAAACGAGTCAAAATAGGCAGCTACTGTATAGGGTGAAGTACATTTGTTTTCAATATTTGGTGAGCTTTACAATGACTAGAGAAATGCTTGTTAGAAATGCAGATATCCAGGCTGCATTCCACATATATGAAATCAGACTCTACATAGATGTACTCTCGTTATCTACATTTTTACCAGACCTTGCTCCCCAGCTTTTTCTAAAGCAGACCAAAGTTGAAGAACCATCAGTGTGGAGAAAGGAACTTAGACTGAGTCAGGAGATCTGTGACCTAATATTGGTTTCCTATGAACTTCCAGTATGATTTTAATTGCATCATCTCCCTTTACCTCTACTGAGACCTGTGCTCTTCCTCCTGAAGCCCTTCTCTTTGGAAATGGCAACATCATCTATTTGGTTCCCCAAGCCAGAAACCGAGAAATGACTAATTCCTTCCTTTCCACTCCTATTATCTAATAACCCTAAATCCAGTTGATTACACTTTATGGCTATTGAATCTGCTAACTTTTCTCCATCCTTATGCTTCCTGAAAACCAACTGCCATACTATAACCAGAATATTTATTTTAATAAACAAATCTGCTAAAACTTTTTAATGACCACTGCCCTTGGGATAAATGCTATAATAGATTCCTTAGGTAGCTTACAAGGGGCTGCAAGATCTACTCGACTAATTCTCCAGCACAACACCTCCACTCCCAATTCTGCACTTTTTTGGCAGTTTCCTTAGCCGTGAGGCTTTTGCATGCCACTACTTCTGTCTAAAGTATCTTACCTTTTTCATGCCCAACCATTCAGTCAACTGGATAACTCCTGTTTACCATTTGGAAGTCAGTTGTGCCCATAATCCTTCTCTAACTTCTTTTGATTAAGGGACACACAAAATAAATATATATCCAGTGGGTTAGAATTGGGCATTTGTCTCTGATTGTAGCAGTAGGCATAGACTAGAAACAGGATAGCTGTAAAAGTTTAACCTTAAGTGAGGGTGGTCACAAAATTTTTAAAAAGCATGTTAGAGAGTCAACGGGTTAAACCACCTCCCTTCTGCTCCATCAACCCAGGTGTCCTTCTTATATGTCTCCCCAGTACTGGCACAGCCATATATAGCACTTTCCACAGAGTAGTGTGATTGTGTTTACTTCTGTCTCTCCACACTAGCAGGCAGGGACTTGTATCTTATTTATTAGCATGTTCCTAGAGTCTAGCCAAGTATTAGGCATATAGAAAAAAACTCAATAATTATCTGTAGAATGACAATGGTGATGATAGTAATATTTATTATTATTTATTTAAAAAAACATACTATATTCCAGGCACTGAGCTCAGTCTTTTATATGAATTCTTACTAAATTCTGACAACAATGCTCCAAAGTAGAGTGTACAGATAGGTTAAGTAAAATGCCCAAAGTCACAGAAATGGAGGAGCCAAAATACAACTCGAATAGTTCAGAGCTTATGCTCTTAACCCCTGTATTATAATAAATATGTTTTAGTTTTCTTATTTGTAAAATGAGGGGGGTTAAATAGTTAAATGTCCAAGATGCTTTTAAAAAATGTTGTGACCATTCTTACAGAAGGTTAGACATTTATATCTATCCTGTTTCTAGGCTATGCTTACTGCTACAATAAAAGACAAATGCTCAATTCTAACCCACAGGATATATGTTTATTTTGTGTGTCCCTTAATCACAAGGTTTCTTCAAGAGTTCTTGAACTCCTTGAATGGTATAGAAATTTTTGTGTTTACATACATATTTTCCACCCTGAGGGGAGAGTTTATAATCTTTTATAAGATTCTCCATAGGCAAAAACAATAAAATAAACAAAAAGATTAGCTATTAATATGAATGATCTTTCCATTGTCTCCCTCTTTCTTATTATTTCTGTGCAATACCTAGAACCATACTAGAAGTTGGTAGGCTCAAAATGAAGAATATATATTCAAAACATGTTATTGGAAGGGCATAATTATTGTCTGACCTAATAATATTTTTGTTTTTAGACATCTTTCTCATTCTCTCAACCATGTCCAATGTCTTTTTCATAAATGTAACTCCTGACCTACCTGTAGATTATCACACATTTCTTGGCTGTATGTTAACCGCTGAATTTCAGTAGGAGAGACGAGGTATAATGCCTGTCCTTCATTGGTAAAACAAAATGTTCGTGCTATCCTCATGTCTGTCAGTGGCAAATAATTAACATCCAACATTGGGCGAAGACTAGGTAGGCTGAATGGAAAAAAGTAAATCCATATATCATATGCAGGTTGTTAGAAGCAGATATTTACATAAAAACAGTAATTTTTATTCTATTATTTTATGGTTGTTTCTTTTTATTTTTTTATTTTTATATTTTTTTGAGACAGAGTCTTGCTCTGTCACCCAAGCTGGAGTGCAGTGGAGTTAGCTCACTGCAATCTTGCCTTCCAGGTTCAAGTGATTCTCACGCCTCAGCCTCCTGAGTAGCTGGAACTACAGGTGTGAGCCACCACACCTGGCTAATTTTTGTATTTTTAGTAGAGACAGGGTTTTGCCATGTTGGCCAGGCTTGAGCCACCATACTCGGCCTGGTTGTTTCTTCTTATCTTCAAGGCTCAGTGGTAATAAACTAGACTTTCTTTTTTTCTTTTTCTTTTGTTTTTTTTTTTTTTTTTTTTTTGGAGGGAGAAACAACTTTATTTTCATCAGAAATAGTAATGTTTACAAATTTGTTTATAGTAGTTTGTAAACTATTATCAGAAATACTAATGTCAATAAACCACTTAAACTTTAAGAGATAATTGGGAACTATGATGAGGGTGATAATAAAAGGAGAAATCTTACAAAAATTAACCTGGATGTTATGCTTGCTCTAAGACTAAGTCACTAGGGAAACAGATTCAGTATTATCCAATGGCTTAACCTTCCTTCCTTCCTTTTGTTCCCTTTTTGGTGGTGGCTGGGTTACAAAGAGTAGTGTCTTCTGCCCTGAAGGTAGCAGTAGTATGGTGGGTGCCTAGAGGTCAATTATTGGTTTAGAAGAGATTCAGGCTCTTAACTTCTACATGTGCTTCCCAGGAGGGGGAACACTTTCTTTCTCAGCCCTGTGTGAGGACCTTGTTAGCCCAGAAAGTGTTCTCAGACCACTGGGTGCCCATTCTCAGTGTTAGAAACAGGAAGACCCTGGTTTCCTGGCAGAAATGGATCCTACAGTTTTCTCTCCATCAAACTTTAAGTCACAGTAAGACAGGACTCTGGAGTCACAGGCACAGCCAGGAGAGGTCAGCATCCTTATGCTGACTCCTGTTCCTGGACATGGGTCTTAAGATCCAATAAACTAGACTTTCATATAAAATCATAAAAATCACAGGCACAGTTCTTTTAATTCACATAGATGCTTAGCAAATGTTCTTGATGGATTAAATGCAGTGGCCAGCAATTTCAGGGGCACTTTTTGTAGCACTTCACATGTTCCTACAATGACAGCCTTTGGCTATGTCAGAAACACCACAGCTAGAAAGTGTCTGACTGCATACTTGGTCTATTGTCTTTCTTTAAGGCAAAACTGACAGAGATGTGTTGTGGGTCCAGTTCACTGTGCCTGGAAATGAAGTGGTTTTGCTCCCCATTCCTTTACTCACTCTATACACAGGAAATGAAAATTACCCATAACTTAGGGCAACTGCACTGGAGGCATGACTAATAAGTAAATATGGCCAAGACTGTAAGGGAATGAGAATAAGTTATAAATAATAGATCAGAATTTGCACATCCAAATGAATACCATCTGAATTGTCTTACCCCATGGCTATATGCTTATCCTAATGTAGCAGATAATTTTGCTAAAATATTCATCAGAATGTCCTTTTGGATACTGTTTTTCGAGCCAGTTTTACAAACCACTGAAGAAAACCAGTCTCATTGCCTTTTAATCAGTCCTTTAATGCCAAAAGGGAAAAGGTAAACTTGTAATTAAATTTTGAAACCATTATACTGATTCTAAGTGTGCACAATGATTTTACATTGTCCTAGATCATAAAACCAGCACCTTGAAAAAAATACTGATTTCCTTTATCAAAGTGGTTTGTAACTATACTTTGAGACCTGGAAATTTACTATGTAAAATGGGACCTGAAATCTGTGCTATTGGACTAAGCACTGTGCTGTCCAATATGGTAGCCAGTAACCACATGTAGCTATTGAGCAGTTGATACGTGGCTCGTCTGAATTGAGATGTGCTGTAAACGTAAATTACACACTGGATTCAAAAGCTTCATTGATGAAAGAATTACCTAATATCTTAAAAAGATATTAAAAGATGATCTGTTATAGCACTTCTGGTAACTAAGCTCCTTAAGATATGAGTCCAAACCAATCCCAGTTAAACAGATTTCCATGACAGATTCAGTCAAATTAAAGGGTGGAGTTGAGGAAGAGGTTCCAACTGACTTTTCTGATGTGCTACATTGTCTATATTGTATAATAACAAGTAAGCCAAGAAAAGAAAATTAAAGAGGTGTAGTCACTTCAGGTAGGAAAAGAGAAAGAGCAAGTCAGTTGCTAACTGCTAGGAAACAATTGCTCTTATAACAGAAGAAAAAAAGACTTTCTTCTATGCAGGACACTTTAATAAAGAAATAGTGTCGGGTAACTAAAGGTGGATCTCACAAAAAGTGTCTCTTACAGCCAAGTTTGAGAATTCATACAAAGATAAGCCTCTTCTATTTCTCCTCTCTACTCTCAAACTTGCTTTTCTGAGTCTGGGTACTTAGGATCTAAGTAACCACTGGCTAGCTACCTGATATCTATCAGAAACCCAGGACTTGAGAAGACTGGGCTCAGGAGAGTTACCTTCTGATAGGGTCTGGAAAGATCCTGGGAATATACTCAGTATGGGAAAATGAATGAGGCCAGGTGCATGCTAATTTGTAGGATTCATTTCTTTAAACCATAGAGCAGAGTACATACCATTGTTTCCTAGCTACACTTTATGTATATGTATTATTAAAATCATATCAAAATTATTTCCTTTTCAGTTATTTTTGAGGATCCTCAGGAACACATGAAGAATTTCTACTATGACACAATATCAAAGTAACCATTATCATGTCAAGCAGCTTTTATAAAGGACAGAGGAAGACAGATACCATTTATCAATGACTCAATGTATGTGTGTGAGAGATACACACATTTACACACATACACAAATAGACCTTTTTTCCCCCCCAAATCTGAGGCATGTATGGGAGTTAAATCATTTTCAAACAAGATTGAAATGACCTTATCAGAAATTTCTAAAAACAGTTTGAGAAAGGGGGAACTAGATAGAAAAGAATCAGAAATACATGAGAGAATGAACAGACCATAAAATGATTATTTTTATTCAAAATTTTCTCCTTTACTACTTTCCCTTGACCTACAAATCTGCTCATATTTTCCCTATCTAAAAAAAAAAACACTCTCAAAACCTAGTTTCACTCTTAAGCGACTTTCCTGTCTCATCTCTCTTTTAACCACAAAATTTCCTGAAAGAATAATCAATACCAGGGGAAAAGGGCCCATAAATATTTATGATAGTAAATATTTTAGGCTCTCTAGGCTATATAGTCTCTGTTGCAACTATTCAACTCTGCCCTGTAGTGCAAAAGCAGCCATAGTCAATATACAGAAACATGGGTGTGGCTGTGTTCCAAAACCTTTATTTATGGGCATTGACATTTAAAATTAGTATAATTTTCACATATCATGAAATATTCTTCTCTTTGAGTTTTTTCAACCATTAAATATGTAAAAACCATTCTTAATGCTTGCAGGCTGTACAAAATCAGATAGGGGAATGGAGGTCGATTTTGTTTTGGATATTAATTTGCTAAACCCTGATCTATACCACTGCCTCTATTCTTGTCTCCTTGAAAATTAGCTTTTGTTTCCACCATGCTGCTAAGATTTGCTTTCTCAAAGATCATTAATATCCCACCAGTTGTGAGATCTACTGTTTTTTTCTTGTACCCAAATTCTTTGACCTCTCTGCTATATTTTACTACCTCTTGACAACCTCTTTTGTTTTAATATTCTTCTCTTTTTATTTAATGAAGTTATACAATTCTGGTCCTTTCCTATCTTTCTAATAACTTCTCAATCTCCTTTGCTGCATCTTATTCTTTCTTTCACTACATAAACGTAGAATACCCCCAAGTTTCTATCCTCAGCTCAGTCAATTTCTTGTTTCTTTTTATGCTATCTTTTTTATTATCTCATTTCCTGACATAACTTTTACTGATGCATTTACATAGATGACTTCCAAAGCTGGACCTTCCACATATATTTTTCTAAGAGTGCAAATCTTAAATTTATTGCTAAACCTCTGCTGGATGGCTTATAACACCTAAAATTTCAAATATTTATTCTCAATTTATTATTAAATTTCTCTTTATTGGCTTTTTCAAATCCTTCTGACTTTCCTATATGCTAATAACATAACCGTTATCTAAGTTCAAAAAAATTTTTAACCTTTAAACTCTCTTCTAACCTCGAGATTTAACAACTTCCATTACTGTTCATAACCAATCAGCTTTGCATTCAATAAGTTTCCCTTACACCTGTTTCCTCGTTGCCTTCAATACAGACACCACTTCAGTTCAAAAGCCTATCTCAACTTCTCCCTCCCTGTGTATGTCCTAACACATGGCTAGAGAAGGTTAATTACCTGCTTAAAACCCCATTTCCTATTAATTGATAAATGTCAAACTCAGCCTGACATTCAAGGTCGTCAACAATTTGCTTCAAACTACCTCTCCATGTTACTGTCCTCCCAACAACTCTTCATTTATAATACATGTTCAACTATGCTGTGACTTTGAACTCTGGGAACTTAGTTTGTGGCTAGAAAATTCAATCCCATATTTCCTCTGTTGGAATTTATATTTTCTTTTTGTTATAATGTCTGTGTATCTATCTTATCTCCCAAGTTAGACAGTGAGTTTCTTAAGGGTTAGGACCATGTTCTACTAATTTTTATATCCTTCACAGGCCTAGCACAGTGCTCATCTCAATGATTTTTGGAAATAAGTGAGATATTAAAAAAATGACAGTGACTTCTATATAGTATACGTTTATGAGCTATTTGCTGAATTCATAAAATCATTAGGTAATTATTTTTGTGTCTCGTAAATTTTATTTCATTTCACTAACAGTAGAATGAAATCTCTTGACCAATATTTTATTTTAAAAGTATCTGATAACTTTTAATTATCAGACTGGCCTCACTTTTCCTAGACTTGCAACCTCAGGCAAACTGTGTAACTTTATTAACACATGTAAAATGGAGGATGCAAATAATAGTTTATTTTCCTATGTCCTAGAGAAGTTCTAAGGATCAAATGAAACTCTGTATGTAAATTTCTTGGGTGAAGTATCAAACACAGGAAAAGTAAAAGTTAACTTCTTTTCTATTTAGCTTATTCATCTTTTATTTCCAGTGCTTAGTGTAGCATCTGGGAGATATGCTCAATAAATATTTGTTGAATGATTGAAAAATCATTCTTTTCTTAGATTCCTTCAAAACAATTAAAAATATATTTCACTCACAATGCCAAGCATTTTTAGCAGAAAAGAAAAACCAAAACAAAACACAAAACCCCCAAACTCTCATCAAATCGTTGAACAATAAAACATCCAGAAACATAATGAAACAATAATCTCAGTTTGCTTCTTGATAACATCTGCACATAACACATATATTTTTTAGGATTGTACCTTGCTGGTATTGTTGTGATTACCAGATAATTTATAAGAAGGCAAGTACCTCATTATCATGATATGTCCGTTAGCACAAAAGCATGCCAAGCAGGCACTGCTACACATGACCACCACATTTGCTTGCAGTATAAAAGATGTCTCCGTGATGTTATGAACATAAAGGCAAGTCTGAGAAGGCAGTGAGAAGACTTTGGCTTGTTTTTCTGAGCAGATTATTGTATACTGATGATCTCCTATTTCTTGGGATGCAGAAGATGAGTTCATTACCACTTTCCTTCTCCAAGATTTTTCATTTTCATCTATGTTGTTTGGATCCCTCCAAACTTCATATGGCGGTTGCATTAATCCACCCATTCGGTCCATACAGGAGAATGTTAGCACAGCTCCTTTCAATGAGAGGAATGTACCTATAAAAACAATTGGACATCACTGACATGTCAAATTCATTCTAAAGCATCTATAGGGAATTAAAGTTTTACATTGTGATAATTTATACCTATAGAGTCATAATATTGCCCTAATGTATATGAATTTGTAGATTTGTGAGCTCATCTGTTATAATAAGTTGGAATCATAGAATGTTAGGTCTAAAAGGAACTTAAGACGTCAACTGGTCAAACCCTCTCATTATATTAAAAAAGAAGAAAAAACAGACCCAGAAAGATTATGAAAGTTGGGCCAGGTCACACAGCAAGTTAGGTCACAGCCTAGATTAGAACTCAGATTTTTCTGATTCCTACCCCACGATTCTTTCATTATACTATATAGTCCCCCTTAAAGTCCTTTTATAAAAAAGAAAATTTTAAAAATGTACATATTTTATTTATTGAAATAACTTCAACTGAAAAATAATCACACAATCTTATTTGATTTTCTTATTTCATAGACTAATTTGCTAGAAAATGCTTGATTTTTCTTCAAAATCAAACAAGAAGAAATTTCAATATCTGGAATTCACGGTGGCAATTTTAATTGTATGAAAAAGACAAAACAATTACCTTCAGCTCTTAGGTAGGCTTTTGCATCTTTACACAGAAAGGGGTTTTACTCACCTGGATTCTCCAAGGTTGACAATGTATGCCAGATTATTGCCTATAGGTGATTTTCACCAGTCTTGGAGGACAATATACTATAAAGCTTAGGAGGTAGTTTGGGCTCTATTGATCTTTGGATATTTCCAGAATCTTCCCTAAGCAGTACCCTATTAGCCCTTTCTTTCCTTTGTCCTTTTACATCATGCAGAGAAAGTATGTTAGCTTAGACTGATAATGTCTCAAGGGTGTACATGTGACAGAGACTTGAAAAGGGAAGGGTGACAGATAAAAGTATATTCATTTAGAAAGTACTTACAAAGTCCTTAAAATTTATCAAATTGAAAAGAGTATATTGGGATGATCTAATATCTTAGTTGTGTTTTTAAATCCACTTCAAAACTAAGAAATCTATAAATGTATATAAGGGTAACGGCAGAGGCTAGGGGAGTAGAGGTTTAGGTGCTGCAGTTTAAGGGTTAAGGGATAAAAGAACATCTCTCCCAATCTCCCATGAAGGAAAAATGCCAACAGCTCTGAAGAATGATTTAATTAAAATTAACCTAGGATTGATCCTGCTGTTCAGTAAAACCACATTTTCCTAACTACCTGCCATAGAAAGACTTTTCTAAGTATATCTTTTCATCCTTGATTTAGAGATGGCTGACAGTAGGTTAAAAAGACAAGAAATCCACATTTTGAAAGCCATTTTACTTATACTCATTGCATACAATCTTCAGCATCAAAATGAATTTCTCAATAAGCTGCCCTTGCCAAAACAGCTGCTTTGTTTCTTAATTTTTAGTCATAAATGCTTTGATTATATTCTGTTCATTAGGTTTATACAGGGTTTAAGTTTTCCAAACAATGTATTATTAATCGTTTAGAATTCTTTCTTTAATCTTTTCCAACTGGAAAAAACTCAAGTAAATCTAAATCATAAGCAGCTACTACTTCAGAAATACACTTACAAAGTATGCTTAAACTTATGGGCTTCAATAATAAGATCTTAATTAATTAGGACTTTCCTCTTAAAGAAGAACTCACTGGCTAGGAGTGTACTTTACTCCAGCTTTCCCAAATCACCAGCCTTGCCGACTACAACCTTCATTCAATCAATACATACAGTATCAAGTACATTCTATGTGCTCTAGGCTCTATTTTAGTCATAGTCAATATAGTGGTGAATAAAACAGACAAAAGTCCCTGCCTTCATAAAACTTACTTTCTAGGGTAGAGATAGATAATATGTCTGATAAATAAGTAATCATATGGGATATTAGATAGTAATGAGTACTAAGGAAAAAAAGCAGAAAAGAAGATAGGAATTCTTGAAAAAAGGTAGATAAATTTTAAATAGTGTTATAGACTGAATGTTTGCATCCCCTGCCAACCTCTTGTAAAAAAAATCATATGTTAAAGCCCCAACCCCCACTATGGATCTATTTGAAGAGGGAGCCTTTAAGGAAATAATTAAGATTAAATGAGATCATAAGGGTATGGCTCTAATCTGATAGAATTAGTGTCCTTTTAAAAAGAGATACCAGAGTACATGCTCTCTCTCTCTCTCCCCCTCCCTATGTGTACACAAAGGAAAGGCCATGTGAGCACACAGCAAGAAGGCAGCCATCTGCAACCCAAAGGAAGAGACCTCACTAGACATCTGCCCTGCTGGCACCTTGAACTTAGAGTTTCAGTCTCCAGAACTGTGAGAAAATAAATTTCTGCTGTTTAAGCCACTGAGTCTGTGGTATTTCATTATGGCAGCCTGAGCAAACTAATAAAGAAGGGAAGGCTTCTTTTCATCATCCTGTGGGAATTAGGGTTCAGGAAACCAGCACAAAATACTGATATTCTATGACTGTTGTGAATAATAAATTATCCTTTGTCCCTGAGCCAGGAGTTTCATGTCTTCTATCAGCATCGAAACTGGCAACCTAACTTTATTAGCTTACAAGTAGAATAAAATCTCAGATTCTTTATAGGTCTTGACTTTCTAGAATGCCAAGAAGATTCATAGGAGGTAAGATCAGAGAGATAAAGTAGAGCCACATCATGTTGGTTCTTTCAGGACATGGTAAAGACCTAGACTTTTACTTGGCGTGAGATGGAAGGATTTTGAGAATGGAAGTGATGTAATCTAACTTTCATGTAACAGAATCACCCTACCTCCTGGGTGTATCCTAAAGGGAACCAAGGCTGGAAGCAGGGAGAGCAGTGAAGAGGTTAGTGTATTAGTGTGCGTGAAAAATGGATAGAGGCTTGGTTGAACTGTGTGGTAATAGTACAGATGGTGAGCAATGTCAGAATCTGAGTGTATTGTAAAGGTTGTGCCAGCAGGATTTGTTAACAAATTGGATTTAGGGTATGAAAGAAATATGGGGGTCAAGGGTGATTCCAGTGTTTTTGACCTGAGAAACTGGAAGAATGGAATTGTCATTAATAGATGTAGAAAAGTGTGAGAGGAATGAGAGGAATACCAGGAGCTCAGGTTTGAACATGTTAAGTTTGGGATACTTACTAAACATCCAAATGGATATCAAATAGCTGGATATATGTTAGGAATTTGTGGAGAGGTCCAGACTATAAATATAAATGTATGATCCATCAGACATTTAAAGGCATGAAGCTGGCTGAATTCATCTAGTGCTTCAATATAAAGAGAAAAGTTTCAAAGAATCAGTCTTGGGGCATTCTGGTTTAAGTCCACTGAAATGGAGGAGGAACAAGCTAAAGAGATTGAGAAGGAATAGCTAGAAGGTAGGAAGAAAATCAGGTGAAAATAGCACTCTAGAATTTGAAGTGTTTTAAGGTAGGAATGGTAGCCTGTGTAATACGTTGCTGATATGTCAAATAAGATGTTTCCTGAGAAATGACCAAGAATTCCTATCTCCTTTTCTGCTCTAATTTTTTCCTTAGTACTTATTAGTGTCTAATATCCCATATAATTACTTATTTATCACACATATTATCTATCTCTACCATAGAAAGTAAGTTTTATGAAGGCAAAGACTTTTGTCTGTTTTATTCACTACTATATTGCCCATGACTAATACAGCCTAGAACCCATTGTTTCTCTTTTTTAATGGAAGATATAACAATATATTTATATAATGATTCAGTAGAAAGAAAAACATTTATTATAAAGGAAACAAAGGAAAAATTGCTGGATTGACTTTCTTAAGTAGGTGAAAGCAGGTAAAGTCTAGTATATAAGTGGAGTCTAGTGTACAAACAGAGTCTAGAGTATAAGTGGAATATAGTGAATAACTACCACACAGTTCACACAAGCCTCTATCCATTTTTCATCCAGACTATTGTATTAACCTCTTCACTGCTCTCCCTGCTTCCAACCTTGATTCCCTTTAGGATAGGCCAGGAGATAGAATGATTCTGTTAAATGAATCACCTAGTTAGAAGCTTAGTTTAGTAACTGTAACAGGAGAGAATATGCAGGCCATGAAGATACAAGCAGATAGGTTGGTAGATGTGATGATAGCTGTTGAAGTTTTTATCTGATTGTTTCAATTTTCTCAATAAAAGAGGACACATGGTGATTGCTGAGATTGAAGACAGAAAAGCAAGTTTTGGAGATTTAAAGAGACTAGAGAAAATACGTAATTGTTAGCCAGGCATGATGGCATGCCTGTAGTCCCAGCTACTCAGGTGGCTGAGATGGGAGGATCGTTTGAGTCTAGTAGTTCAGGGCGACAGTGAGCTATGATTGCACCATTGCACTACAGCCTGGGTGACAGAGTGAGACCTCATCTATACCAAAACAAAACAAAACACACACACATACACACACAACCAAAAGGATAAACAAGAAAATATGCAATTGTTGTCCAGGAGTGCAGGGGCAAGGACTAGGAAAATATAGTATGATTACCTAGCAGCATAAGAGCCCACTTGAAGTTAGTGATGATTTATGGTAAAATGAGACACTTTAGTGTGGTTATGTATTTTTCTCTAGCCATATTCAGCTACATGGGTCTAGAAATAGGATAGGTAGAGTTGAATTTAATCAGGTTTGAGATTAAGCTGAATAAGTATGACAAAGCAAACAAAGCAAAAAGGAGGCAAGAGAGTTGACAATGCATGAAAGAAAAGCATTATAGAGCTTGACTGTGAAATTAAAGTTAGAAAGGG
This sequence comes from Homo sapiens, assembly GCF_000001405.40. Taxonomy (NCBI): domain Eukaryota; kingdom Metazoa; phylum Chordata; class Mammalia; order Primates; family Hominidae; genus Homo; species Homo sapiens. The sequence goes on along the minus strand of NC_000003.12, from coordinate 121,402,469 downwards.
GGAACATGAAGGGGGTGAATGACAATGAAAATGGTAGGATCAATAGATTAAGGTTCCAGTGAGGCTGAAGAATTATATTAAAGTTGGAGTCTTAAGGAGCCTGAGATATTTGCTTTCCTTTTCCCTTACATACATTGTTTAAACTTTAATTGTCTCTCAACTTCCACGGAACTTCTCAATTCCTATCTAGAATGTAAGCTCTTTGAGGACAGAAACTTCGTATGACTTCGTCATTACTTTATCTTCAGTGCTTATTATAATATCTGGACATGTCATGTGCTCAATAAACATTTATTAACTTCCTGACTACTCCAGTTCAGTCTTAATTATGGATTTTTAAACTTCTATTTTATCTTATATACTCAAGATCAGCTACACAATTTGTGGGCCTAGCACAAAATGAAAATGCACTAGGCCTACAAATTATGGGGGACTTTTTGTTCAAAAATTGGGAGAACTAGCACTTTTCTGACCACTTTTTGTCTTCAAGGTTTTATTTGAAATCTCTTATGTGCTCATTGTCCTCCACCATTCTCTTTGTCACTGTAAATCTAATTCCTTTTTTTTTTTTTTTTATTATACTCTAAGTTTTAGGGTACATGTGCACATTGTGCAGGTTAGTTACATATGTATACATGTGCCATGCTGGTGCGCTGCACCCACTAACGTGTCATCTAGCATTAGGTATATCTCCCAATGCTATCCCTCCCCCCTCCCCCGACCCCACCACAGTCCCCAGAGTGTGATATTCCCCTTCCTGTGTCCATGTGATCTCATTGTTCAATTCCCACCTATGAGTGAGAATATGCGGTGTTTGGTTTTTTGTTCTTGCGATAGTTTACTGAGAATGATGGTTTCCAATTTCATCCATGTCCCTACAAAGGACATGAACTCATCATTTTTTATGGCTGTATAGTATTCCATGGTGTATATGTGCCACATTTTCTTAATCCAGACTATCATTGTTGGACATTTGGGTTGGTTCCAAGTCTTTGCTATTGTGAATAGTGCCGCAATAAACATACGTGTGCATGTGTCTTTATAGCAGCATGATTTATAGTCCTTTGGGTATATACCCAGTAATGGGATGGCTGGGTCAAATGGTATTTCTAGTACTAGATCCCTGAGGAATCGCCACACTGACTTCCACAAGTGCTAGTTGCAATAGTAGGTAGGGGATGCTCCTAGAGGTTAGGAAAGCAATCGTGGTGCCCTACAGAATTCAGAAGAAACAGTGGAGATTTGAAGGGAGACACACAGCTAAAAACTGATTTGTTATTTGAAAAATGAACAGAGCAATGCATATACTGCCTGTGAACCCGCATACTGAACACATGCAGCCAGGCAGCCTCTCAGGGGGCAACCATTGCTCTCATTTATTCTGTCATATGTTAATACTGCCTGCTCTTGGATTTCATATAAATGAGCAAAACATATAAAAAAAAAATTGGGAGAAGAGGTACCATTGAAGGTTGCAAATTATAAAGCTTTTTTCTTTCTTCTGTGGTCTATCTCTTTAGTGTTTTTATATTTGCTATTTATGTTCTATGTAAAGGAAAGTTAACTTTTTTTATTATTCATAATATTCTATATAAGAACATTTAACCTCTATTTTGAACTGTAGCAAAAACACAATAGCTAGTCTCCAGAGCTATGAAATGATTATTCACAGGGAGTTGGCCAGAAGAGACAAACCAGTCAGTCTCAGGAAGGTTGGAAGGTGGAAGACAGGGTCATTCAAGTCCAGACCAGACCTGAGGGAGCACATTCTTAGGTATGGGGATATCTCTTGCAGCTTGAGAATGCTTGCAAGATGACTGCAGACTTTCACAGGCATCTGAGGGTCTCACCACATGACTTCAGTTACTTAAGTACATTTGAGTCTGATGGCTGCTAAGTTTCTCCTCTTTACAGCAATAAGACCCCATCCTGCCACCTCAAACCATAGAAGAGGGGTGACTCCCAGAAAGTCTTTAAAACTGTTTGCTAGGAAGTGCTAGCTACCTGGAACAGGACTGGTTAAGACTCTCAATCTGAGACATGGCCTCTGGTTGGCCGATCACATGCTAGAGTCACCAAGTACTACCAACTCAGGATAAGGATGGCTGCTTCCATGCCCCAAAATGTCACCAGGCATGTGCCTGACCCCGACCACCTCTATGTATACTCCAGGCCCCAAAAGCAGTGGAAAGTGAAAGTGGAATGCCTCTCTCCCAACAAACTAAGTCATCGCCTGGGTGAGAGGTAGGTGGGAGGCAGACTGCTCATGAGCAGAGGCTTCAAGCCCCTGGTGCATGCTCCATTGTCTCATTGGTCTTTACTTACAAAGCATACATCAAAAGATAAAATTATTAAGAATTTTAAGACTTTAAGAGCAGAGGGCCTTCTGGGAGCAGAACCCTGTGCATCAGTAGACAAAAGGGACAAGTAAGGTTTCATTTTTGTAGACTCAGCACATCTGGGAACTTGCTAAAAATGCAAATTCTCAGACCCTCCCTCAGACCTACTGAATCAGAAACTTTGGGGGCAGGGCCCAGTAATCTGTGTTGTAATGAATGCTTCAAGTGATTTTGATGCAGACAAAAGTGATAGGTGTTGGAAACAGGCCCCCCAAAATCTGGCCATAAACTGGCCCCAAAACTAGCCATAAACAAAATCTCTGCAGCACTGTGACATGTTCATGATGGCCGTAACGCCCACGCTGGAAGGTTGTGGGTTTACCAGAATGAGGGCAAGGAACACCTGGCCCTCCCAGGGCCGAAAACTGCTTAAAGGTATTCTTAAGCCACAAACAATAGCATGAGCAATCTGTGCCTTAAGGACATGCTCCTGCTGCTGTTAACTAGCCCAACTTATTCCTTTAATTCAGCCCATCCCTTCATTTCCCATAAGGGATACTTTTAGTTAATTTAATATAGAAACAATGCTAATGACTGGCTTGCTGTTGATAAATACGTGGGTAAATCTCTGTTCAGGGCTCTCAGCTCTGAAGGCTATGAGATCCCTGATTTCCTTCTTCACACCTCTATATTTCTGTGTGTGTGTCTTTAATTCCTCTAGTGCCACTGAGTTAGGGTCTCCCCAACCGAGCTGGTCTCAGCAAGTGGCATCCATCATGGGGGCTTGAATCCAGGTTGAAGGGTCACTGGAGCAATGGTTGGAGAACATGGAACTAGCTGGAGGACACCCGAGTACTCTTAAAGCAATCCCCATGGTGAGTAAGAAGGGGAGCTCAGAAGCATCAGGGTAACAATGGGACAAGTGTGGGGTCTGGTTCATTCCACCTTGGAACTTTTTCACACTGATGAGGAGGAGGAAGGAGAGTATAATGAAGTACAGAAGAGGTTACAGACCAGGCTTATTTGCCAGCTAAAACTAAAGTGGAAAAGGAGGGAGAGGTTCATCCCTACCCTTCTGCACCCCCTCATTATTATTTTGAAGAAAAAGAGTGGCCTGACCCTCCAGATCTTTCTTTTCCGGAGGACACTGGGTGAAAAGTAGTTGCCCCAGTGTCTGTTCGAGCAGTGCCTCGAGCGACCACTCTTAGTTCTATTCAGGTAGGAATTCAGCAAGCTAGAAGAGAGGGTGATTTAGAGGCTTGGCAGTTCCCTGTTAGAATACAGCCCCCAGATCAGCAGGGAAATATTATAGCTACATTTGAGCCTTTTCCTTTTAAATTCAGGAAAGCACATTTAGTTGATTATATCAAGGCCTGTGATGGTATTGGAGGTAATCTGCATAAAGCTACTTTGTTGGCACAGGCAATGGCAGGACTGAGAGTGGATAAAGGAAATACTCATTTCCTGGGGCTTGTTTTAACTGTGGGAAGCATGGTCATACTAAAAAAGAATGTAGAAAAAATCAGCAAGTCAGGCCGCCAGATAAGGGAAAAAAGAAAACTGCTGAGCCTGAAATATGTCTAAAATGTAAAAAAGGAAAACATTGGGCTAAGCAGTGTCACTCTAGGTTTGATAAAGATGGGAACCCGATTTTGGGAAAAGCCATGAGGGGCCCATCCTGGGCGCTGTTCTAAACTGGGGCATTTCCAGCTCAGGCCATTCCCTCACCCCTGTACAATATCTGTCCCCCACCACAGCCGGTAGTGCCGCAGTAGATTTATGCTGCACAAAAGCTGTGAGCCTTCTGCCTGGGGAACCCCCACAAAAGGTCCCAACAGGAGTCTGTGGATCCTTGCCAGCGGGGACAATAGGATTACTTTTAGAAAGGTCTAGTTTAAGTTTAAAACGGGTACAAATACATACAGGAGTCACTGACTCAGATTACAATGGGGAAATTCAAATTGTTATATCTACTTCTGTTCCCTGGAAGGCAGAGCCAGGAGAGCACATGGCACAGCTCCTGATTGTGCCGTATGTGGGAATCGGAAAAAGTAAAATTAAACGAACAGGAGGATTTGGAAGCACAAATAAACAAGGCAAAGCTGCTTATTGGGTAAATCAAATTACTGATAAACGTCCTACCTGTGAAATAACTATTCAGGGAAAGAAATTTAAAGGTTTGGTAGATACAGGAGTGGACATTTCAATCATTTCTCTACAGCACTGGCTGTCTGCGTGGCCAATTCAACCTGCTCAATTTAACATAGTTGGAGTTGGTAAAGCCCCTGATGTATATCAAAGTAGTTATATTTTGCATTGTGAAGGGCCCGATGGACAACCTGGGACTATTCAACCAATTATAATTTCTGTACCTATAAATTTATGGGGAAGAGATTTATTACAGCAATGGGGAGCACAAGTTCTAATTCCAGAACAATTATATAGCCCTTAAAGTCAACATATAATGCATGAAATGGGGTATGTCCCTGGTATGGGACTAGAAAAAAATTTGCAAGCTTTGAAAGTACCGCTTCAAGTGGAAAGACGATGTTCCCACCAAATATTAGGATATCATTCTTGATGGCGGCCATTGTTAAGCGTCCAGAACCTATACCTTTAAAATGATTAACAGATAAGCCAATTTGGATAGAACAATGGCCGCTAAGTAAAGAGAAACTGGAGGCGTTAGAGGAATTAGTTACTGAACAATTAGAAAATGGGCACATAGCTCCAACATTTTCGCCTTGGAATTCTGCAGTTTTCGTAATTAAGAAAAAATCAGGTAAATGGAGAATGTTAACTGATTTAACAGTCATCAGTTCAGTTATACAACCTATGGGAGCATTACAGCCAGGATTGCCTTCTCCTGCTATAATTCCTAAAAATTGGCCTTTAATAGTCATAGATTTAAAAGACCGTTTCTTTACTATCCCCTTAGCTGAGCAAGAATGTGAACGGTTTGCATTTACAATTCCTGCAGTAAACAACCTGCAGCCTGCTAAGTATTTTCATTGTTTCACAGATGGGTCTAGTAATGGTAAAGCTTCTTATTCTGGATCGAAAAGTAAAGTTTTCCAGACACCCTATACTTCAGCTCAAAAAGCGGAGCTTGTAGCTGTAATTGAGGTATTGACTGCTTTTGCTATGCCTATTAATGTGATTTCTGATTCTTCATATGTGGTTCATTCCACACAGTTAATTGAAAATGCTCAGTTACAATTTCATACAGATGAACAACCGATGACTTTATTTACCCAATTGCAAACAGCAGTTAGAAGTAGAATGCACCCTTTTTACATCACTCACATTAGGGCTCATATACCTCTTCCAGGACCTTTGACTGAAGGGAATCAAATGGCTGATCACCTAGTTGCTAATGCAATATCTAATGCTAGACACTTTCACAATTTAACCCATGTTAATGCCTCTGGTCTCAAATGCAGATACAGCATTACCTGGAAAGAAGCTAAAAATATTATCCAGTGATGCCCAACTTACCAAATGGTACATTCTTCATCTTTTACAGGAGGAGTTAATCCTCGAGGATTGGAACCTAACTCTCTTTGGCAAACGGATGTCACACATATTCTCTCATTTGGGAGACTAGCATATGCACATGTATGTGTGGACACCTTTTTTCACTTTGGGCTACATGCCAATCAGAAGAGTCTCTGCCTGTGTTAAACATCACCTTTTGCAGTGTTTTGTGGTGATGGGCATTCCAGCCTCTACTAAAACAGATAATGCCCCAGGCTATACTAGCCAAGCTCTAGCTACATTTTTCTCCATGTGGAATATTAAACACATTGCTGGTATCCCATACAATTCTCAAGGACAAGCCATAGTGGAAAGAATGAATCTTTCCTTAAAAGAGCAGTTGCAAAAGCAGAAAGGGGGAAATAGAGAATATGGAACACTGCAGATACAACTGAATCTGGCATTATTAACTAAATTTTTTGAGCCTGCCCAAAGGCCAGATGTTATCAGCAGCTGAACAGCATCTACAGAAACCAGCTGCAAAGAGAAGCAGAACAACTGATTTGGTGGGGAGATCTGATAACAAAAAGTTGGGAAATAGGTAAAATAATAACTTGGAGTAGACGTTATGCTTGTGTTTCTCCAGGCCAAAATCAACAGCCAATTTGGATACCATCAAGACACCTGAAACTTTTTCATAAGCCAGATGCCGAGGAAGAGATTCTGGGAGGATCCCGAGGACCCCTCGGTTGCAGCCATGTCGAGACTGACGCTGAGGAGGACCCCAACTGTCACAAGCAACACCTGTCGAACACAGCCACCCACCTGGGGACAGATCAAGAAGCTGTCACAGCTGGTGGAAGAAAACCTGAGGAAAGCGGGACAACCACTCACAATGAGTAATTTAATGGTAGCTATGATAGCGGTATCACCATTGCTGTGAGTATTCCTTCAACAAGGGCTGACACAGAGAACAATTATACTTATTGGGCATATTTATCAAACTTGGCTGGCAATAATGCCTAGATGTAATCACTCTATGATGCAGTTGCACATGCTTTCTGATCTCAGTATTTATCATAATAAATCTGCTCCTATAATTGAGGCATACCACCCTCAAAAACCTATTTGTAAACAAAATGGAACCTGACCAGAAAAAAATGCAAGAATATTTTATTAATGACTAAAGGTTTAGCAGAAACAATTTAACATATGTATCATACTCATCTGTAAGACTATGCTTTTGGAAAACTCAGCCTTAATTAAAAGTCATAATTTTTAATTTCTTATTTGTTTGAAAAAATTTTCATCATTTTGAATTTATATTTCCACAGTCCAAGATTATTTCTTCTGTTTCAGACTTTTCTTATGTGAAATAGAAGAGTTTTGTTTTGTTTTCCGTTTGGTTTAGCCTGAAAAAAGATGTAAAATTGCAAATACCTCAAAACTACATGCCCAAGTAAGGATGTGTATAATTGACAGTCTTTCAATGTTTGCCAGTCACACATCTAAAGGGTTACTTACTATTTCTGCTCTATTAAGAAAAGAACTATATATCTAGTTCATTGAATTTTCACAAAGAATGATAATAGATTTTTTTTCATCTGTCTATATAAGAAGGGGCCCTATTCTGGCAAAAGTCTGAATTCATGCCACTAAAAAATGACAAAAGGGTAAATGAAGTTTTATTTTTGATAATAATACCTGAAGGGAATTTCATTTTTCTTCAGTGAATTTTAAAAATCTAAAAATCCTTTAAAACCCTCAACAGCCTGTAATCCCAGCACTTTGGGAGGCTGAGACGGGTGGATCATGAGGTCAGGAGATCAAGACCATCCTGGCTAACATGTGAAACCCTGTCTCTACTAAAAAATGCAAAAAATTAGCCAGGCGTGGTGGCGGGCGCCTGTAGTCCCAGCTACTCAGGAGGCTGAGGCAGGAGAATGGCCTGAACCCAGGAGGTGGAGCTTGCAGTGAGCTGAGATCGTGCCACTGCACTCCAGCCTGGGCGACAGAGTGAGACACTGTCTCAAAAAAAAAAAAAAAAAAAACCCTCAACAAACTAGACATACAAAGAATATGCTTCAAAATAATAAAAGTCATATATGACAAACTCATAGCCAACATCATACTGAACAGGGAAATGTTGAAAGCATTCCCTCTAAAAACTGGAACAAGATAAGGATGTATACTTTCACCACTCCTATGCAAGTCCTAACCAGAGCAATCAGGCAAGAGAAAAAAAAAAAGGCATTCAAATTGGAAGAAAGGAAGTCAAATTATTGCTGTTCACTGATTATATGACCTTATAACTAGAAAACCCTAAAGACTCCTTCAAAAGACTCCTAGATTTGATAAATGACCTCAGCAAAGTTTCAGTATATAAAAATCAATGTATAAAAATCAGTACCACTTTTATACACTAATAATGATCAAGCTGAGAACCAAAAGAAGAAATCAATCCCATTTATAACAGCTATTAAAAATACCTAGGAATACATTAATCAAGGAGGTGAAAGATTGCTACACGGAAAATTTAAAAAACACTAGTGAAAGAAATTGAGATGACACAAACAAATGAAAAAACATCCCATACTCATAGATTGGAAGAATCAATATCATTAAAATGACCATACTGCCCAAAACAATCTACAGATTCAACACAATTCCTATCAATTTGCCAACAGCATTCTTCACAGAAGTAGAAAAAATAATTCTAAAATTCATATGGAACCAAAACAGTCTGAATAGCCAAAGAAATCCTAAGCAAAAAGAATGAAGCTGCAGGTATCACATTGCCTGACTTCAAATTATACTACAAGGCTATAATAACCAAAACAGCAGAGTACTCGTATAAACATAGATAGATAAATGGAAGAGAATAGAAGACCCAGAAATAAAACTATATACCTACAACTAACTGATCTTTGAGAAAGTCAACAAAAGCATCCACTGAGAAAAGAACATCTTACTTAATAAATGGTTCTGCAAAAATTGTATAACCATATGCAGGAGAATAAAACTGGACCCATATCTCTCAACATATACAAAAAGTAACTCAAGGTGAATTACAGATTTAAATGTAAGACCTGAAACTATAAAAATGCTAGAAGGAAACCTAGCAAAAACTCTTGTGTGGACATTGGCTTAGGTGAAGAATTCGTGACTAAGACCTCAAAAGCAAATGCGGCAAAACTAAAAATAGACAAATAGGACTTAATTAAACTGAAAAGCTTATGCACAGAAAAAGAAATAAACAACAGAGTGAATAAACAACTTGAGGAATGGGAAAAATATTTGCCAACAATGCATCTGACAAAGGGCTAATACCCAGAATCTGCAAGGAACTCAAGCAATTCAAAAAGGAAAACACAAATAACCCCATTAAAAAGTGAGCAAAATACATGAACAGGCACTTTTCAAAACAACACATACAAATGGCCAAGAAACGAAAAAAAAAAATGTTCAACATCATTAGTCATGAGAGAAATGAAAATTAAAACCATAATAAGATACCATCTTATACCAGTCAGAATGGCTATTAATAAAAAATAAAAAAATAGACTTTGGCAAAGATGCAGAGAAAAGGGAACGCTTATACAGTATTGGTGGGAATTAGTTTAGTACAACTTCTATGGAAAGCAATATGGAGATGTCTCAAATAACTAAAAATAAAACTATCTTTTGATCAAGTGATCCCACTACCTGCTATTTATACAAAAGAAAAGAAATAATCATATCAAAAAGACACAAGCACGTGTATGTTTATTGCAGCACTACTTACAATAGCAAAGTCATGGGATAAACCTAAGTGTCTATCAATGGGCAATTGGATTAAAAATGTGATATATATATATATATATATATATATATATATATATATGCCATGAAATACTACTCAGTCATAATAAAATGAAATCATTGCTTTATACTTGACTACACACTGGGCTTATTAAGTGAATGACAAGGAGTTTGGTTTGTCTAGGGCCCAGGATATGTAGTGAAAGGTCAAAGACTATAAGGCTGGAAAAGAATGGTGGAGCTGGGGAATGGAAGGTCTAAATGCCAAGGATTCCTTTCAATTGCTATATAAAAGAATGTAAAGACTGCGGGCGTGTTCCAAGATGGCCGAATAGGAACAGCTCTGGTCTGCAGCTCCCAGTGTAATCGATGCAGAAGATGGGTGATTTCTGCATTCCAACTGAGGTAACTGGTTCATCTCATTGGGACTGGTTGGATAGTGGGTGCAGCCCACGGAGAGTGAGCTGAAGCAGGGTGGGGCATTGTCACCTTACCTGGGAAGCGCAAGGGGTGGGGGGATTTCCCTTTCCTAGCCAAGGGAAGCTATGACTGACTACCTGGAAAAACAGGGCACTCCTGCCCAAATACTGCACTTTTCCCAAGGTCATAGCAACTGGCAAACAATGTGATTCTCTCCCATGCCTGGCTTGGCAGGTCCCATGCCCATGGAGCCTTGCTTACTGCTAGCACAGCAGTCTGAGATTGATCTGCAAGGTGGCAGCCTGGCTGGGGAGGGGTGTCTGCCATTGTTGAGGCTTGAGTAGGTAAACAAAGTGGCCAGGAAACAAACTGGATGGAGCCCACCACAGCTCAACAAGGCCTACTATCTCTAGACTCCACCTCTGTGGGCAGGGCATAGCTGAAAAAAAGGCAGCAGACAACTTCTGCAGACTTAAACGTCCCTGTCTGATAGCTCTGAAGAGAGCAGTGGTTCTCCCAGCATGGTGTTTGAGCTCTGAGAACAGACAGACTGCCTCCTCAAGTGGGTCCCTGAACCCCATGTAGACTAACTGGAAGACACCTCCCAGTAGGGGCAGCCAGGCACCTCATATAGGTGGCTGCCCCTCTGGGACGAAGCTTCCAGAGGAAGGATCAGGCAGCAATATTTGCTGTTCTGCAATATTTGCTGTTCTGCAGCTTCTGCTGGTGATACCAAGGCAAACAGGGTCTGGAGTGGGCCTCCAGCAAACTCCAACAGACCTGCAGCTGAGGGACCTGATTGTTAGAAGGAAAACTAACAGACAGGAATAGCATCAACATCAACAAAAAGGTCATCTACACCAAAACTCCATCTCTAGGTCACCAACATCAAAAACCAAAGGTAGATAAAACCACAAAGATGGGGAGAAACCAGAGCAGAAAAGCTGAAAATTCTAAAATCAGAGCCCCTCTTCTCTTCCAAAGGATCACAGCTCCTTGCCAGCAACAGAGCAAAGCTGGACAGAGAATGACTTTGACAAGTTGACAGAAGTAGGCTTCAGAAGGTCAGTAATAAGAAACTTCTCCAAGCTAAAGGAGGATGCTCAAACCCATTGCAAGGAAGGTAAAAAGCTTGAAAAAAGATTAGACAAATGGCTAACTAGAATAAACAGTGTAGAGAAGACCTTAAATGACCTGATGGAGCTAAAACCATGGCACAAGAACTTCATGACACATGCACAAGCTTCAATAGTAGATTCAATCAAGGGGAAGAAAGGGTATCTATCAGTGATGCAAGATCAAATTAATGAAATAAAGTGAGAAAACAAGGTAGAGAAAGAAAAGTAAAAAGAAATGAATAAAGCCTCCAAGAAATATGGGACTATGTGAAAATACCAAATTTACGTCTGATTGGTGTACCTGAAAGTGATGGGGAGAATGGAACCAAGTTGGAAAACACTCTTCAGGGTATTATCCAGGAGAACTTCCCCAACTTAGCAAGGCAGGCCAACATTCAAATTCAGGAAATACGAGAAGACCAAAAAGATACTCCTCGAGAAGAGCAACCCCGAGACACATAATTGTCAGATTCACCAAGGTTGAAATGAAGGAAAAAATGTTAAGGGCAGCCAGAGAGAAAGGTTGAGTTACCCACAAATGGAAGCCCATCAGACTAACAGCAGATCTCTTGGCAGAAACTCTACAAGCCAGAAGAGAGTGGGGGCCAATATTCAACATTCTTAAAGAAAAAAATTTTCAACCCAGAATTTCATATCCAAACTAAGCTTCATTAGTGAAGGAGAAATAAAATCCTTTACAGATAAGCAAATACTGAGAGATTTTGTCACCACCAGGCTTGCCATACAAGAGCTTCTGAAGGAATCACTAAACATGGAAAGAAACAACCGGTACCAGCCATTGCAAAAACATGCCAAATTGTAAAGACCATTGATGCTATGAAGAAACTGAATCAATGAATGGGCAAAATAACCAGCTAACATCATAATGACAGGATCAAATTCACACATAACAATATTAACCTTAAATGTAAATGAGCTAAATGCCCCAATTAAAAGACACAGACTGGCAAATTGGATGAAGAGTCAAGACCCATCAGTGTACTGTATTCAGGAGACCCATCTCACATGCAAAGACGCACATAGGCTCAAAGTAAAGGGATGGAGGAAGATCTACCAAGCAAATAGAAAGCAAAAAAAGAGCAGGGATTGCAATCCTAGTCTCTGATAAAACAGACTTTATACTAACAAAGGTCAAAAGAGACAAAGAAGGCCATTACATAATGGTAAAGGGATCAACTCAACAAGAAGAGCTAACTTTCCTAAATATATATGAACCCAATATGGGAGCACCCAGATTCATAAAGCAAGTCCTTAGAGACATACAAAGAGACTTAGACTCCCACACAATAATAATGGGAGACTTTAACACCCCACTGTCAACATTAGACAGATCCACGAGACAGAAGGTTAACAAGGATATCCAGGACTTGAACTCAGCTCTGCAACAAGCAGACGTAATAGACATCTACAGAACATTCCATCCCAAATCAACAGAATATACATTCTTCTCAGCACCACATCAAACTTGTTCCAAAATTGACCACATAATTGGAAGTAAAGCACTCCTCAGTAAATGTAAAAGAACAGAAATCACAACAAACTGTCTCTCAGACCACAGTGCAATTCAAATTTGAACTCAGGATTAAGAAACTCACTCAAAACCACACAACTACATGGAAACTGAACAACTTGCTCCTGAATGACTACTGGGTAAATAACAAAATGAAGGCAGAAATAAAGACGTTCTTTGAAACCAATGAGAACAAAGACACAATGTACCAGGATCTCTGGGACATGTTTAAAGCAGTGTGTAGAGGGAAATGTATAGCACTAAATGCCCACAAGAGAAAGCAGGAAAGATCTAAAATCGACACCCTAACATCACAATTAAAAGAACTAGAGATGCAAGAGCAAACAAATTCAAAAGCTAACAGAAGGCAAGAAATAACTAAGATCAGAGCAGAACTGAAAGAGACAGAGACACAAAAAACCTTTCAAAAAATCAATGAATCCAGAAGCTGGTTTTTTGAAAAGATCAACAAAATTGATAGACAACTAGCAAGAGTAATAAAGAAGAGAGAAGAATCAAGTAGACGCAATAAAAATGATAAAAGGGATATCACCACTCATCCCACAGAAATACAAACTACCAGCAGAGAATACTATAAACACCTCTACGCAAATAAACTAGAAAATCTAGAAGAAATGGATAAATTCCTGGACACATACACCCTCCCAAGACTAAACCAAGAAGAAGTTGAATCTCTGAATAGACCAATAACAGGCTCTGAGATTGAGGCAATAATTAATAGCCTACCAACCAAAAAAAGTCCAGGATCAGATGGATTCATAGCTGTATTCTACCAGAGGCACAAAGAGAAGCTGGTGCCATTCCTTCTCAAAGTATTCCAATCAATAGAAAAAGAGGGAATCCTCCCAAATTCATTTTATGAGGCCCACATCATCCTTATACCAAAGCCTGGCAGAGACACAACAAAAAAGAGAATTTTAGAGCAATATCTGTGATGAACATCGATGTGAAAATCCTCAATAAAATACTGACAAACGAATCCAGCAGCACATCGAAAAGCTTATCCACCACGATCAAGTTGGCTTCTTCCCTGGGATGCAAGGCTGGTTCAACATACAGAAATCAATAAACGTACCCATCACATAAACAGAACCAATGACAAAAAACACATGGTTATCTCAATAGATGCAGAAAAGGCCTTCAACAAAATTCAACAGCTCTTCAGGCTAATAACTCTCAATAAACTAGGTATTGATGGAACATATCTCAAAATAATACGACCTATTTATGACAAACCCACAGCCAATATCATGCTGACTGGGCAAAAACTGGAAGCATTCCCTTTCTGGCACAAGACAAGGATGCCCTCTCTCACCACTCCTATTCAATATAGTGTTGGAAGTTCTGGCCAGGGCAATCCGGCAAGAGAAAGAAATAGGGGGTATTCAATTAGGAAAAAAGGAAGTTAAATTGTCTCTGTTTTCAAATGACATGATTGTATATTTAGAAAACCCCATCGTCTCAGCCCAAAATCTCCTTAAGCTGATAAGCAACTTCAGCAAAGTCTCAGGACACAAAATCAACGTGCAAAAATCACAGACATTCCTATACAGCAATAACAGACAAACAGAGAGCCAAATCATGAGTGAACTCCCATTCACAATTGCTACAAAGAGAATACCTAGGAATCCAACTTACAAGGGATGTGAAGGACCTCTTCAAGGAGAACTACAAATCACTGCTCAAGGAAATAAAAGAGGACACAAACAAATAGAAGAATATTCCATGCTCATGGATAGGAAGAATCAATATTGTGAAAATGGCCATACTGCCCAAGGTAATTTATAGATTCAATGCCATCCCCATCAAGCTACCAATGACTTTCTTCACAGAATTGGAAAAAACTACTTTAAAGTTCATATGGAACCAAAAAAGAGCCTGCATCGCCAAGACAATCCTAAGCAAAAAGAACAAAGCTGGAGGCATCAAGCTACCTGACTTCAAACTATATTAAGGCTACAGTAACGAAAACAGCATGGTACTGGTACCAAAACAGAGATATAGACCAATGGAACAGAACAGAGGCTTCAGAAATAACATCACACATCTACACCATCTGATCTTTGACAAACCTGACAAAAACAAGAAATGGGGAAAGGATTCCATATTTAATAAATGGTTCTGGGAAAACTGGCTAGCCATATGTAGAAAGCTGAAACTGAATCCTTTCCTTACACCTTAAACAAAAATTAATTCAAGATGGATTAAAGACTTAAATGTTAAACCTAAAACCATAAAAACCCTAGAAGAAAACCTAGGCAATACCATTCAGGACATAGGCATGGGCAAGGACTTCATGACTAAAACACCAAAAGCAATGGCAACAAAAGCCAAAATAGACAAATGGGATCTAATTAAACTAAAGACCTTCTGTCCGGCAAAGCAACTGCCATCAGAGTGAACAGGCAACCTACAGAATGGGAGAAAATTTTTGCAATCTACCCATCTGACAAAGGGCTAATATCCAGAATCTACAAAGAACTCAAACAAATTTACACTAAAAAACCAAGCAACCCCATCAAAAAGTGGGCAAAGGATTTGAACAGACACTTCTCAAAAGAAGACATCTATGCAGGCAACAGACACATGAAAAAATGCTCATCATCACTGGTCATGAGAGAAATTCAAATCAAAACCACAATGAGATACCATCTCACACCCGTTAGAATGGCAATCATTAAAAAGTCAGGAAACAACAGATGCTGGAGAGGATGCGGAAAAATAGGAATGCTTTTACACTGTTGGTGGGAGTGTAAATTAGTTCAACCATTATGGAAGACAGTGTGGCAATTCCTCAAGGATCTGGAACTAGAATTACCATTTGACCCAGCAATCCCATTACTGGGTATATACACAAAGGATTATAAATCATGCTACTATAAAGATGCATGCACACGTATGTTTATTGCAGCACTATTCACAATAGCAAAGACTTGGAACCAACCCAAATGTCCATCGGTGACAGACTGGATTAAGAAAATTTGGCACAAATATACCATGTAATACTACGCAGCCATAAAAAAGGATGAGTTCATGTCCTTTGCAGGGACATTGATGAAGCTGGAAACCATCATTCTCAGCAAACTATCACACAAGGACAGAAAACCAAACACTGCATGTTCTCACTCATAGGTGGGAATTGAACAATGAGATCACTTGGACACAGCGCAGGGAACATCACACACTGGGACCTGTCGGGGGGTGGGGACCTGGGGGAGGGATAGCATTAGAAGAAATACCTAATGTAAATGATGAGTTGATGGGTGCAACAAACCAACATGGCACATGTATACCTATGTATCAAACCTGCACATGGTGCACATGTACCCTAGAACTTAAAGTATAATAAAATAAATAAATAAATAATGAAATTATTGCCCTTTGCAGCAATGTGAATGCAGCTGGAGGCTGTTATCCTAAATAAAATGACTGAGAAAGTCAAAAACTACATGTTCTCACTTATAAGGTGGAGCTAAACAATGGGTACACTTGAACATATGAAATAGAATAAGAGATACTGGTAACTCCAAAAGGTGCTAAATATTGAAACCTATAAATGGGGAGTATATATGTTGACTATTGTGTATGAGGCCTTTATTATTCTTGTTCAGTCAAATATAATGATTATGTTTGATTTTACAATGTTATTATTGTATTAGTTCTTATTGCAGTTTAGAAGAGATAAAATGTGTGAATTTCATAAGTATATTTGAAATATACCCATCTTATATCAAAAGACCTTAACTAAATAATACTTTAATAAAGTTTTTCATCAAGGTTTAGACTTAGCATTAAAAATAATATCATTCTAATTTCAATTAAATAATTTCCAGACAAAGCCTATTAACCAGTTTTATATTATATCCATAAGAAAGCACATTAACCTATTTTCATATTTATATAAATTAATTTACTAGTTCTTCAATGGAGAAATGGACTTTAATGGAATTGAATGCTGGAAAATAAGTTTGACTTAGGGAGTAAGGCTGGGACAACTCTAGAGTAGACAGGGTAGGTCCAAAAGTGAAAATTCAATGATGAAAATAATACTGGTATATGACCAGTATGAAGGCAGTGAGTAAAAGGGATCAGAAGAAAAAAATTGAAGTTATGGAGGCTATTTAGGTAGTATGATGGCTATTAATTACATTTCTGTTAATATTCTACTACTAACAGAAATGAAAGAGTGTTAAAAATAACTAGTTTGGAAGTTGATATGGTTTGGATGTTTGTTCCCTCCAAATCTCATGTTGAAATGTAATCTCCAATGTTGGAGGTAGGGCCTAATGGGACGTATTAGATCATGAGGATGGATCCCTAATGAATGGCTTAGCGCCATCTCCTTGGTGATTAGTGAGTTCTCTCTGTGCTAGTTCACATAAGATCTGGTTATTTAAAATTATGTGGTACCTCCCTCCTCTCTCTCTTGCTTTTCCTCTTGCCATGTAATGTGCCTGTTCCCTCTTTGCCTTCCACCATGACTGGAAGCTTCCTGAGGCCTCACCAGAAGCTAAGCAAATGTCAGCACCATGATTCCTGTACAGCCTGAAGAGCTATTAGCCAATTAAACCTCTTCTCTTTATAAGTTGCCCAATCTCAGGTATTCATTTATAGCAATGAAAAAGCATCTACCACTGGGGTAAGGAGAATGAATTTATTCTGGAGAATCTTGACTTTAATCATGAATTTAAATCTTGAGTTTGATTATGAGAGATATATATTTTATATATACACATATATATTATATATGTTACAAAGCATGCTAGGTACTTTGTATGGCAGAACTGATCATTATAGAATAATTTATAGTTGGCAGCATAAAGAGTTAAGTAGAAATAAATAAAACTTAAAATGAGTTTTAACAAATTTCTCACCAAGTTGCTAGTGGAGAGTAAAATTCCTAGGGGAGGAAATGAGGATGGGGACGGGGACAGAGAAGGGACAAAGTTTGCTAGTGGCAGAATTTTCATTTTTTTCCTTTATATTTTGATTTTTACAATTATAAAATTTAAAATTTAATAACTAGATCTTGAAAAAAAACCCAATGTTTTGCATCACAAGTTTTGTACTGAAAAAATAATCTACTAGGTAGTCTTTTCCTTCTTCACGATTTATAAGGCACTGTATAATCATTCCCTGCCTATTTTTCCATCCTCATTTAGTATCATTCTATCTACAGTCTCCAGCTATGCCATGTCCTCTCTTACTTCTAGATTTTTACTCACACTGTACTGACTTTAGTCTTTCAAAAAAATTTTTTTTCTAGAGACAGGGTCTCCCAGTGTTGCCCAGGCTGGTCTTGAACTCCTGGGCTCTAGCATTCCTCTCACTTTGGTCTTCGAAAATGCTGAGATTACAATTGTGAGCCACTGCGCCCAGCCTCTGAATTACTCTTAAACGCCAGTACTGTACACTTCCTCCCAAACTTGTCCAACTTCCACTTCAGATGTCATCTTTGTTAGGGAGCTCTTCCCCAAATCCCCCTGCCATGCTGCCATGGTATTCTTTATTTCTCTTAGTGTAATTTCCATTATTATACTTTCTTTATTGTAATTTTGTGTTTAATTTTGTTTTTCCCTACAAGTCTCCGAAAACAGGGACCACTGTATCCCCAGTGCTTATTTCGGTGGTATGGGCTTGGTAAATGTTTGTTGAATGAGTGGATAAATTTCAAAGTAGACTGTTTTCAAGTCTAAGGAAACTATTTGACTCATGAATTTTCCTAGGCCGACTAACAAAAGTTTATTTAACAACGTTCTCACAGGAAAAAAGATGCATTCAAGGTCAGAGAGCATGTCACTCACTTCAGCACTGACAATGGACAAGTGCTAAATGCCCCTAAATCCAAACCTTCTTTAATGGTTCCCATAAGCTATGGCAGCAACCATAATAACATAAACAGTACCCATAATAGTTCCCATAAGCTTGGGCAGAGACTCATGGGTATAGGAAAGAAAATAAATATGGCAAGGAGAGTGAAGACCGGGACAGTTAGTCAATAAGTAGGCTCTGAAAGAGGAAGCACAAAATTTTCTACTTTAAATTTAAACAAGATTTCTGTCACCCTTATCTTTTCCCTCCTTTCTTTTTACTGCCATAAATTATGGCTCCCAAGTAGACTTTCTTTCTTGTAATGGTTAATTACAGAACAAACATGGGAACCCAGACTCATGGCTTTCTCCTTTATATACATCTTTATTCAACAAATTAATAGAGTGTATTTTTAACAGCAGTTTCAGATTTAAAGAAAATTTAACAGATAGTATAAAGAGTTCCCACATACCCCTTCTGTCATTTCCTTTATTATTAACATCTTGTATAAGTGTGGCACATTTGATTTAATTAATTTTTTTATTATTTTTCATTGAGATGGAGTCTCACTCTGTCACCCAGGCTGGAGTGCAGTGGTGAGATTATGGCTTACTGCATGCTCATCCTTCTGGCTCAGGCACACACACACCATGCCTGGCTAATTTTTAAAAATTATTTGTAGAGATGGGGTCTCATTATGCTGCCCAGACTGGTCTTGAACTCCTGGGCTCAAGCAATACTCCTACCTTGGCCTCCCAAAGTGCTGGGATTATAGGTGTGAGCCACTGCACCCAGCAATTTTTAAAAATATATATATTTAAAAAAATTTTTTGGTAGTGATGGGGTCTCACTATGTTGCCCAGGCTGGCCTTGGATTCCTGGCCTCAAGTAGTCTTCCTCCCTCAGCCTTCCAAAGTGCAGGAATTATAGGCATGAGCCACTGTGCCTAGCCAATGAACTGATGTTGACACATATTATTAACTAGAGTCTTGAAAGAATAGTGACATAGAGACTTGGAGAAGATAGCTTCCCATTAAATCTTATTAAATAGATAAAGAAAAAGTTTTCAAATATTTACAAAATAGTGTCAAAAGTTAAATCTATACTTATTTTGTATTTTGTCATCATTTTTTGGTCTAAGTATATGTGCTAAGAATGACAAAGAATTTCCCTATAATATTGAGAGATCTGCTTTATTAGTCCAGGGATTGCTTATTTCTATGCTTGTGATACAGAAAACCACAATTGTTAGAATATTTCTAATTACGAAATTGTCTTTCACTTACAGCTTTAAACTTGTGTGACAGTGGAAGCTGACTGTACCTTTAAACTTGTGAGGAATGCCCGGTACATATTAGATGTCCAATATATATAATCTTTTATTGAGTTAAATAATGAATTGAATTAATAATTAATAATTCATTATGGTATCACTGATTTGACTCCAACTAACTCACCAGTCAAAAGAATTGTGTATATTTCTTTATAATTAGGAATATAGTAAAATATATTTTTCATTGTGAACTATATGTTAAAATAAAATTGTCATCACGATTAACTTTTAAAACACAAATCTGAATTTGCCACATTAGTAGAGAACTGACTATTCTACCTACAATCTTGTCATATGAACTTAGCACACTAGTTAAAGAAAACACAAGTGTAACCTTCTATATAATATATATCCTTTTAAAATAAAACCCTTATCCTGCAGAGTAATGAAATTTTTTGACTTAAAAACTATCTGAAAATTTCTTATATAGGAAACAGGGAAACAATAAAATTAGTGATAAGAACAAATTAGGAATAACAGGAGGAATCATACTTATCTCTTCTTCAAAAAAAAAAGATAATTCAAGGAGGAAGAGAATACAACATATGCTTGGCAACAATACTTACAACATTGGTCAAATTCTCTAGGCACTAGCATGAAAAGGAAAGAAATTGTGTGGCATGCTTTTGAAACAAGATGGGAAGGTTATAAAAGTCTTTAGAAATCCACCTTAGGTCAGATAGCTTCTAGCTTAATTATTCTGAGTTCTTCAAGGATGATGTAAAAACACTCATGCTCTGATCTGGCATGGAACTTTGGGTAATGCTTCAATTTGTTAAAAATAAATTTAAGTTTTGCATTAAGGTTTTCCTCAGTGCTTTTCAGGAACTTATTTCCCATGTCATTGTTCAGGTTGGCACTTACACAGTTTACTACCGAAGAAATGGTTGTACTCTTTTACCCCAAAGGAAAGTTACAACATGACAGATGTTGGGATGGTATATGATGTATAAAATTCTTAATAGTTCCCATTGTGCAGAATACTTATAACCTTTGCTCCAAATCAATACAAATTTATGTTTATAATACCTTATATCTAAATTTGAAAAAGTAACAGTGAAGGAATGAATGAATACAAACTCTTACCACTTGGCAATACCATGACTGGCTCTGTAAACCTTTGTTCATCTGCTAATGGTAGGTTTAAGGAGATGATTAACACCATTCCCAGACTGGTTCCAACGAACAGACAAGGAGAGATGGTAGAGTCATTTTTCCGTGCAAAGGAGTCCATGAAGTATAGTGCTGTAATTGCTTCTTTAGAATCTTTGTCAATACTGGAGATACTAGAGCTTCTAGAACGATTATAGGAATTTTCTCGGTTTTCTATGGAAATAAATAAAAAAAAACCACACAAATTGTTAGTATATTTCCACAATAACATCAGATTTAATATATATAAATCAAAATTATGAGGAGGAAGTAAAATTTCATTGTTTGTTAATTGACCTGAGAGGGAGCTTATCCAGTTCACCAGCTTATTTTGAAGATGGAGAAACTGAAGTCTAGAAGTATAATTCATAAGCTTAGGCAGACCTAGGACTAGAATTGGAGGCTCCTGAGCTCCAGCTCACCATTTTTCTTTCTCTACGTTAACTCACAAGTTTGTTGAAATTCTTTTACCTAGAGAAAAGATTTAGTCTAAATAGTAATGGTTACAAGAATTTCTGACATCACTTAAATTGTGCTTCCCTCCTACCTCTGAATTGTTGGAAGAATCCCTAACAGTTTCTTGTCAGTTCCAATGACAATACTGTGGCGATTGGCATGAAAGGGCTTATCAGGATCACAAATCTTCTGCGGCAAACATATTCTATATCTGGGGTAATTACAATTCTAAAAATTAACATTTCTACCAAGGCCAAAATGCAAATTTTATCTCCCTGAACTGGTTTCAGGCTGTTACCTTTAATTCAAATGCAGTCCTAACTTTGCCTAGGGCTAAACAAAGAGTACAGACTATATGCCATCCTGTTGATAGTGGTAATCTTTCTGAGAGTGCTTCAGCTCACTTAAAAAAAAAAACAGGATGGTTTCAGGTTCTCCTCTCATCAACACTTGTACATGTGCACGCTCCAATAAGCATAAACTCATACAGCTCAGTGAAATGTTATCAAGGTTGTCCTGCTCTTATAATCTCTCCAGAGTACAAGTTCTTCAGATTTTTCTTTCTACAGCCTTCACTCTCTTTTCCCTCTTGATAGGTACACATGTAACTCATAATTGTTTTTATAGAAAGAGGATAAATACAGGCTCCTCAGACTTTTTTCTAGGAAACAAAATATAGTATTCCTAATTTCTCCTTTTTATCTCTTAGCAAATTTATAAAAATAATTGTTTGTCATAAAATTTAGAGATGAGAGGGAGCTTGGAGGTTATATGTTTTACAGATTTGGAGACAAACTTAGAGTTTAGTAATTTTCCCAGAATCCAGGACAAATTAGAGGTAGAAGTATCTAAAATTCAAAATTCCCACCTCTCATTACAGTGATTGAGAGTGCTACTTCTGGCTGGTTGTGGTGGCTAATGCCTGTCTGTAACCCCAGTGCTTGAGGCCAGGAGTTCAAGACTACCCTGGGCAACTTAGTGAGACACTGTCTCTACAAAAACTGAAAAATAAGCTGGATGTGGTGGTGTGCACCTGTACCTCCAGCTGCTTGGGAGGCTGAGGCAGGAGCATCACTTAAGTTCAGGAGTTAGAGGCTGCAGTGCACTATGATTATGCCACTGTAATCCAACCTCAGCAACAGAATGAGATCCTAACTCTTTAAAAAATAAAAATTAAAAGGGGGCTACTTCTTTTATAATCATTACATATTGCTTCTTTTATAACATGCTAGATATTATATGGCTCCAAATCTTTTCCATTCATGGTTCATCACCATACAAAGTTGATACTCACAGACACCTGTTAGAGAAATAACATCATTATCTGCATATCTAAGGGATCAGATTTAGTATAGCATAATATTTAAAAAACCAAAAACTTAAATATAATTTTTTTAAATTTGAAGACCAATATAGATCACTGTCAAAAGTTTTCAGGAGTAGTAAATAGAGACTTACTTCACAGCATAGAATTACTATAGCAAATCTTCCTAAAATTATTTTTTTCCTATCTCTTTCTCTAAAGTTCCTTATCAATAAGACAGTTGCAGCAAAGTTACAAAATTCCCTTTTTTTGCCTCTGTAAAAATTTCTGGTCTCTGGCTCTTGTAATTTACTCCCCTACCCCACCGCCCCACACTCATTCCATAAATAAGCAAATAGACCTTCCTTTTAAAAATATATGAAGATGAAAATTGCAAACTTTAGAATTTAATATCTTGCCTTTGTTCTTGGTCACATTCATTTGACAATTGAGGAAATTAAGGTTGCAATACATTAAATATCTACAGATAGAGACACCAAAAAGCTTACCATTGGGATTGAAATAAACTCTTAATTATTATGGGAAGGGTAGGGAACAGATTTAGGCATAGGTCTCCCTTTGTACAGAGGAGGGGGTAGTTACCTATAAGCAGAGGCATTCTGGTTTTAGAGGTGAGGAAGGAGGTGGAGTGAGGAATGGAGTTGGAGTTATGGCCACAGCCCCATCAGGCTCTCAGGTATTCACTGATTAGTAGTTTTTTAACATCTTTCATATGTGATCTCCATCCCATATCTCTGTTCCCATTACCATTGTAAACCAAATTTTAACTGTAACAAAAAAATTTAATATGTTTAACATACCTTCTGTTGTAACTGGTAAAGAAATCTCCATGCAGGCTGCTGACTGGGCCTTTCGAAATGGTGGTCTTCCAGGACCCCAGCGATTTACTTTTGAAACATCGGCACTAGAAAGACGTTTTCCAGAACTGCAACTCTGAGAAGTTGGACTTGTGCAGTGTCCATTTACATGGTCTGTGCCAAGAGGAGGAAGGCAGCATACATATAATGATTAACTCTTAATACAAAGGAATACAAGCGTGTAGATTAACAAATGAAGATGAGCAACAATTCCTTTATTTTCTAAACCACATGAATATAGTTAAGTCCTTGTTCTTTTAAGACTTAGTCATAATTTTAGTAGTTAGCCAAAAATTTCAAAAGATATTTATTAAGTATAAGATTCATTTTTTTATATTTTGGCTGTGTAACATAGATTAAAATTGGTTCTATATCTCTACCATGTATTCTGTCATTATAGTATTAAACTTTTTGTTGCATAACTTAAATATACAATGAAAGTACTTTAAGTGCTTGGAGTTTAAAAAGATAGAATAGAAGCATTTTAAAAAAAATTTTACTTTAAGTTCTGGGATACATGTGCAGAATGTGCAGGTTTGTTACATAGGTATACATGCACCATGGTGGTTTGCTGTACCTATAAACCTGTCTTCTAGGTTTTAACCCCCACATGCATTAGGTATTTGTCCTAATACTCTCCCTCCCCTTTCCCCCCACCCCCCGACAGGCCTCGGTGTGTGATGTTCCCCTCCCTGTGACCATGTGTTTTCATTGTTTAACTCCCACTTATGAATGAGAACATGTGGTGTTTGGTTTTCTGTTCCTGTGTTAGTTTGCTGAGAATGATGGTTTCCAGCTTCATCCATTTCCCTGCAAAGGACATGAACTCATTCTTTTTTATGTCTGCATAGTATTCCATGCTGTATATGTGCCACATTTCTTTATCCAGTCTATCATTGATGGGTATTTGGGTTGGTTCCAAGTCTTTGCTATTGTAAATAGTGCTTCAATAAACATATGTGTGCATGTGTCTTTATAGTAGAAAGATTTATAATCCTTTGGGTATATACCCCATAATGGGATTGCTGGGTCAAATGGTATTTCTGGTTCTAGATCCTTGAGGAATCGCCACACTGTTTCCACAATGGTTGAACTAATTTACACTCCCACCAACAGTGTAAAAGTTTTCTATTTCTCCACATTCTCTCCAGCATCTGTTGTTTCCTGACTTTTTAATGATTGCCATTCTAACTGGCCTGAGATGGTATCTCATTGTGGTTTTGATTTGCATTTCTCTAATGACCAGTGATGATGAGCTTTTTTCATATGTTTTTTGGCCACTTCTTTTGAGAAGTGTCTGTTCACAGCTTTGCCCACTTTTTGATGGGGCTGTTTTATTCTTGTAAATTTGTCTAAGTTCCTTGTAGATTCTAGATATTAGCCCTTTGTCAGGTGGATAGATTGCAAAAATTTTCTCCTACTCTGTATGTTGCCTGTTCACTCTGACAATAGTTTCTTTTGCTGTGCAGAAGCTCTTTAGTTTAATTAGATCACATTTGTCAATGTTGGCTTTTGTTGCAATTGCTTTTGGTGTTGTAGTCACGAAATCTTTGTCCATGCCTATGTCCTGAATGGAAGTTCTGGCCAGGGCAATCAGGAAAGAGAAAGAAATAAAGGGTATTCAAATAGGAAAAGAGAAAGCCAAATTGTCTCTGCTTGCAGATGACATGATTGTATATTTAGAAAACCCTATGGTCTCAGCCCAAAATCTCCTTCAGCTGATAAGCAACTTCGGCAAAGTCTCAGGATACAAAATCAATGTGCAAAAATCACAAGCAATCCTATACACCAATAATAGACAAACAGACAGCCAAATCATGAGTGAACTCCCATTCACAATTGCTTCAAAGAGAATAAAATACCTAGGAATCCAACTTACAAGGGACGTGAAGGACCACTTCAATGAGAACTACAAACTACTGCTCAAAGAAATAAAAGAGGACACAAACAAATGGAAAAACATTCCATGCTCATGGATAGGAAGAATCAATATCGTGAAAATGGCCATACTGCCCAAAGCTATTTATAGATTCAATGCTATTCCCATCAAGCTACTTTCTTCACAGAATTAGAAAAAAAGCTACTTTAAGTTTCATATGGAACCAAAAAAGAGCCCATATAGCCAAGACAATCCTAAGCCAAAAGAACAAAGCTGGAGGCATCAAGCTGCCTGACTTCAAACTATACCACAAGGCTATAGTAACCAAAACAGCATGATACTGGCACCAAAACAGATATATAGACCAGTGGAACACAACAGAGGCCTCAGAAATAATACCACACATCTACAACCATCTGATCTTTGACAAAGCTGACAAAAACAAGCAATGGGGAAAGAATTCCCTATTTAATCAATGGTGCTGGGAAAACCGGCTAGCCGTATACAGAAAACTGAAACTGGACCCCTTCCTTACACCTTATACAAAAATTAACTCCAGATGGATTAAAGACTCAAACCTAAAGCCTAAAACCATAAAAACCCTAGAAGAACAGAAGCATCTTACTGTGCAGTTAAGAAGGGTACATAAGAACATTGGTTCTGGGGCCAGGCTAGACTGCCTGGAATCAAATCTCAGTTCTGCCACTTACTAGCTGTATAGATTACTGAAATCTTCATGCATTAGTTGCCTCTTCTGTAAATTTGGAATATTATTACCTACCTAATGGAGTTTTTGTGATAATACATGTCAAATGCTAGAATATGTGCTGGCATACAGTAAACTCAGAACAAAAGTTAATTACGATTGTCGGTCTTGTTCCAGAGTATAAAACTACTCACGTCCAAGATAAGAGTACTGTTTATTTAGACCTTGTGAGTTTGGCTCTGTTTTGATAGAACTTAAAAACTTGGCAATGCATTAAAGTATGTCTTATTTTTCTTAATGCTAACAAATTATATTTGAAACATCATCTCGTAGTTCAGCAATACATAGAATACATTTTAAAATGTGTTTCTTTGGTCATACAAATGAAGATAGAGTGCCACAGAGAAAAATCATGTTTATTGGCCATGTTGAACATGAAGAACTAGTACTTGGTATCCACTACAATATAGCCTTACTGTATTATAGAGTTTGAAAAGGTATAATTGTACATTTCCTGGATTCCCTTGCAGATAGTGCAAAGATGAAAATTAGTTTTCACCATTTAAATGGGCTGGCATGTTAAAAAATGGGAGTTAACATTTATCAAACACTTAAATGCTGGGCACTTTGTACACATTACCTCATTTAACCTTCACAACAATCCTGCAATGTAGGTGTTTTTTTCTCTTATCCTGATTTTGAAGATGAAGAAACTAAAGCTCAGAAAAAATCAGTAAGAAAATTTTCTCATATCACATACGTAATAATCAGAATTCTAATCCAGAGTTGCTCACTTACTGTCTGTATGCTTAAACATTTGACTACAGGGTCAGGTAAAATATTTCAGAAGGAGTGGAAATTTTGAAGACATATTTAGTAGGGTTTAAGAGGCACATGTAATGCACACTGAGATCCAGGCTTTTTGGATTCTGACTATAATGTGCCTTGGAGAGGACATTTTAAAATTAAATCTATTTGGGGATTATTGAACTTTCCATATCTGTATGTTTATATCTGTTCCAAGACTTAGGAACTTTTCAGTTATTGTTTCATTAAGTTTTCTTTTTTTGGTATAAATTTAAAGGGTACAAGTGCAATTTTGTTGTTACATGAATATATTGCATAGTGATGAAGTCTGGGCTTTTAGTGGAATCACATCTGAATAAGTACTCTGTACCTGGTAAGTAATTTCTCCTCTTTCACTCCCCCTCCCACCCTCCCACCCTCCCACCCTTCTGAGTCTTCAATGTCTATTATTCTGCACTCTATGTCCATGTGTACAAATTATTTAGCTCCCACTTATAAGTTAGAATATGCAGTATTTTTCTATGCCTTTTTCCTTCTTTTCTCTTTCTGCAACTTCTAAAATTTGATTATTTGTTTGCTTGTTTTCCACAACTCCTAGGCTTTCCTAATTCCTTCTCATTCTTTCTTCTTTCTCCCTCCCTCTTTTCCTCCCTCCACAACACCCCCATACCACCTTTGTCTGATTGGGTTATTTCAAAAGACCTGGCTTCAAGTTCAGAAATTCTTTCTTCTGCTTGGCCTAGTCTACTGTTAAAGTACTCAATTGTATTTTTTTATTCCATTCACTGAATTCCTCAGCTCTAGGATTTGTTTGGTTCTTTTTTATGATATCTATCTCTTTGTTGAATTTCTCATTCAGCTCAGGAATTGTTTTTCTTATTTCTTTGTATTTATCTGTATACTCTTGTATCTTGCTAGATTTCCTTAAGATCGTTATTTTAAATTCCTTTTCAGGCATTTCATAGATCTTTTTTTTCCTTTGGGGTCTGTTATTGGAGAATTATTGTGTTCCTTTGGAGGTATCATGTTTTCTTGATTTTTTGTGTTCACATGTCCTTACATTGATATTTCCACAGCTGGTATAACTGTCACTTTTCCCAATTTTATAAAGTAGCTTCCATAGAGAAATATTTTTTCCTGTTGATGTATCTATAATGTAAGTTGGGTACATGGCTTTGGCTTTGGTTCTGGATGGGCACCATAGCGTAGTCTCCATGTGATTACTTTGGCTGTAATCAGTATTGGAGATGTCTGCAAGTTCCTTAGTGGCATAGGCTGCAGTTGTTTTTGGAGGCTGTGGTAAGGATTTGCTGGGGATGGAGGTGCCAAGTGGGATGGTCCTCAGGCCTCTTGGTGGGGTATGTGAGCATCAGCAGTGATGGCAGTAGGCCAGTTCTTGGTTCCCTGGGGGGCACATGCAGGTGTCAGTGGTGGTAGTATGGGCCCTGAGTAGGCTGGTCTTTGGGCCCTTGGGTGGAGCACACAGGTGCTGGCAGGTGAGGTGGCCTGCTCCTTGAGTCCCTGGGTAGGATGCATGCATTGGCACTGGCAGTGTCAATAGCAGGTGGGTCCTCTGGTGCCTGAGTGGAGTGCACAGAGACTGGTGGTGTCATCAGGCCAGTAGGACCAGTCTGCAGGCCACTGGGTGGCATGCATGGGTGCCAGTAGTGAGCCAAATGGCCCAATCCCTAGGCCTCTGGGTGTGATATACAGGCACTAGTGGTGTCCATAGTAGGGCAGGCAGGCTGATCCCTGCTCCCCTGGGTGGGGCATGTGAGTATACAGCCTCTCTGATGTGCTAGATCACCTGCTCCCTGGGATGTAGGGTGCTGCATGGCTCAGGTGCCAGAAATGCAGTTATACCACTGGGTCAGCTGGCATAGCAACACTACAGCCTTCTGGGTGGATGTGGAGGGATGTTGGAGATGCAGGAGTCATTGGGCACCAGGGCGGGATGTAGTTTGGTGTTTACTCTGCTCTCAAAATGGCATCATATTGTAGCAGCTTGGGTCCCAGAGGTCCCAGCACGAATTCCCTCCCTGAAACAATGCAGTCTTGTGGACTCCAGGAAGCTCCTTATACTAGGCTCAGGGCCCAAGAGGGCCAAAGGGCTTTCTTATAGCTAGGACTGCAGGCATTTGTGGTTGGAATGTGGACTGCTAGGAATCTCTCACTTACCGTTTCTCCTGCATTGGAGCATCCCTCCTAGGTGTGAGCCAATCCAACTGAGTGCCTTGCTTCCTTTTCTATGCTCCCATCTCAAACTTCCATGCCTCAAAGGGTCCCTGTTGTTTTCTTACTGGATTCATTAATTCTTCCCTAGATTTTCTACCTGATACATTGTTACCTACTTGCTGTAGGTTCCTAATATACTGAGATAAAATTATTTGGTTAAGAAGGTTAAGAACAAGTTTTACTCTTGGATATATTAAGCAACGTCATGTTCTAGCAGTGATCTCTGGGTATTGTAGTTTCTACCTCCAATTTACTTATTCTTTTAAAAATAGCTTTAATTTTTAAAATTTTAACTTCCTTAGAGTCTCACTTCCATTTAGACAAAAAATTAATATTTTCTTTCAGTATCCTTCTGCAATTAGTCTAATTAATTTTTTTCCAACAGAAATAGAAGCATAGATTGAATTCCTGCTCTAAGATGGCTGACTAGATGCAGCCAGGGGAACATCTCCCACCAAGAGACCAGGATACTGGGGAGACTGGCACACTCCTATCAGATCTTCAGAGGGAAGGCATTGAGAGCAGATGGAGGGAAGACACAGGGGCTGGGCTAAAGGAGAAGAAAGCTGGGAAACCTGCATTGGGCTACCACACACCACGACTTGTTCCCTGACCCCAATGACTCCTGCAAAAGGGGTGAGTTGAGCAGTCAAGAAGGAACCTGCTATCGCCATGGGCCTCTGGAATCCCAGCAGGAGGAGACCCCTTAGCCACAATGGACATCTGAATTGGCAGGGAAAGCTGCTTAGAGAAGAGAGAAGCATTAAGGAAAGAACTCCAGCTAGCGCCCAGAGGGTTTGGTGTGGGAGCACCTGTAATGGAGCAGACCAGTGATGCCCGTCACCCTAGGCTCAACTTGCTCCCATAAGAGCTTTAACCCTAGGGAAACTGTGAGGCCTGAACTCTATAGGGTGGTCTTGCCCATGAGACAGAGCCAGTCTGACCTAAGCACCCCTCAGTCTTCTGGCCTCTCCCAGGCCCCCAGCCTGGCTAAGCCTGTCTGTAGTGCAGCCCCTAGGTACCTCCTGGGGGTCCTTATCATAGCTCCTGTGCTGGTGGACTGTGCCTGACTGGCAGAGTGCTCCAGCAGAGTGCCCCTGCCTGCACCACACTGAGTCCTCCCCCAACAGCAGCCTCCATGCTGCTTTGCCCACAGGCACTCACCCGTAGCCACCTCCACATTGCTTTGCCAGCACATGTGTGTGCAGGTAGACATAGCCTTCCCTTCCCTGCCAGCGTAAATATGCATGAGCACCCTGTCATGACACTACTGCCAGTGGAGTGCACCTTGTCCCACTTCTCCCAGCGGTACCACCATTGTTGTTGAAGCATTGGCAGTCAAGGAGCCCACTGGCCCTGCCCTGCCTGTGCCCCACCTGTGCAGCAACACTGCCACTGGTGCAAAATTAGGCACAGAAAATAGTGGCCCTGGCCTTGGCACTGGGCGGCCACCACTACCAGCATGAATATGCACAGAGGGCACACACAGCACCCACCGGTGCTCCCATGATAACACCACCACTAGCATGAATGCATGCACAGTTGCCTACAGGGGCCCCTGGTCCACACTGCCCCCCACGCCCCAGACATACTGCCACTACTACTGCTGTGAATGCCTGCTCAAAGGCTGGCACTCTGGTACCTACCAGCACCCTGCTGCAGCCAATGAGAGTCTACACTGCTGCACTGCTGCTGCTGCTAGCATGTGCAAATAAGAACAGAATCTGCTGCCACCACCCTACGAAGTGCTTTGTCTCCATGGTTGGCATTACCCATTGGAATGCTGTGACCAGTGGCCAGGACACTCTGGCCCCTCTAGTGCAGTAGATTCCTAAACTCAAGGAGCTGGAGATCAAAGGCAAGGCCTGAAAGGAGTCCTCAAGAGTTAAAGCTTGCAGTCCAGGTGTCCTAAGCTGAGCCTTGGTCCCCAAAAATCTTGCCATAATGAAGAAAGTAGTTAGCTGGGCCCATATTATACCACAATCAAACCCCCAAGGTCATCAAATAGAATAAAAGAAAAAAATACTCATCCAAAGGACAACAACTTCAAAGACTGCAAGAACATCAGCCCATAAAGATGAGAAAGAACTACTGCAAGAACTCCGACCACTCAAAAAGCCAGTGTCTTCTTTCCTCCAAATTACCACATTAGTTCTCCAGCAAGAGTTCTTAACTGGGCTGAGATGGCTGAAATGACAGAAATAGAATTCAGAATATGGATAGGAATGAAGATCATCAAGATTCAGAAGAATGTTGAAACCCAACCTAAAAAAGCTAAGAATCACAATAAAATAATACAGGAGCGGACAGACAAAACAGCCAGTGCAGGAAAGAATGTAACTGAGCTGATAGAGCTAAAAAACACTCTACAAGAATTTCATAATGCAATCACAAGTATTAACAACAGAATAGACTAAGCTGAGGAAAGAATTTCAGAGCTTGAAGTCTGGCTTTCTGAAATAATAGAGTCAGAAAATAATAAAGAAAAAAGCATGAAAATGAATGAACAAAACCTCTGAGAAATATGAAATTATGCAAAGAGACTGAATCTATGACTCATTGGCATTTCTGAAACTGATGGAGAGAATGGAAGCAACATAGAAAACACATTTATGATATCATCTGTATTAGTCCATTCTCACACTGCTATAGAGACACACCTGAGGCTGGGTATTTTATCAAGAAAAGGTGTTTAGTTAACTCATGGTTCTTCGGGCTGTACAGGCTTCTGCTTCTGAGGAGGCCTCAGGAAACTTACAATCATGGTGGAAAGTGAAGGGGAAGCAGTCACATCTTCACATAGGAGGAATGGGGGAGGTGCTATACACTTTTTTTGAGACGGAGTCTCCCTCTGTTGCCCGGGGTGGAGTGCAGTGGTGTAATGTCAGCTCACCGCAACCTCTGCCTCCTGGGTTCAAGTGATTCTCTTGCCTCAGCCTCCCAAGTAGCTGGGATTACAGGTGCCTGCCATCATGCCTGGCTAATTTTTTTTGTATTTTTAGTAGAGACGGGTTTCACCATGTTGGCCAGGTTGGTCTTGAACTCCTGACCTCAAGTGATCCACCTGCCTCGACCTCCCAAAGTGCTGGATTTACAAACATGAGCCACTGCGCCTAGCCACTACCCACTTTTAAACAAGCGTATCTCAGGAGAACTCTATCACAAGAACAGCAAGAGGGAAGTCCACCCCCATTATTCAATCACTGCCGATCAGGCCCCTCCTCCAACACTGGGAATTACAATTCGACATGAGATTTAGGTGGGGACACAGAGCCAAGCCATATCATCATCTATAAGAACTTACCCAACCTAGCTAGAGAGGCTAACATTCACATTCAGTAAATGCAGAGAAACCCAGCAAAGAAGACCACAAGAAGACCATCCCCAAGACACATAACCATCAGATTCCCCAACATCAAAATGAATGAAACTATTTTAAAGGCAGCTGGAGAGAAAGGATAGGTCACCTACAAAAGGAAGCCCATCAGACTAAAGTGGATTTCTCAGCAGAAAACCTACAAGCCAGAATCTCTAGTGAATTGCCTGGTGAAAGGCTTTTCTGAAGCCAGTGAGTAAGGACTGGAGGAAGTGACTGCAGACTTCAAGGAACATGAAAAAAAAATCAAAGAAAAAATCAAAGAACCACGACACCACCACAGGAACAAAATAAACCTCCAGTGGCCAACCCCAAAGAAAGAGACCTTTAAGAAATGTCTGACAAAGAATTCAAAATAATCATCTTTAGAATTTCAGTGACCTAAGAAGAACAAAGAAGAAAGAAAAAACTAAACAAAATCAGGAAAACAATACCTGAAAAAAGAGATGTTCAACAAAGGGATAGAAACCATTAAAAAAAAAAAAGCCAAACAGGAGGATTCTGAGATGGAATAGGAAGCACCAGAACACTCTAGATAACAATTGCACTGACAGAATTTGAAAGAACTACTGTGGAACTCTGGAGTTTATTGAAGACATACAACTTTCAGGGGAAGGCTTAGATGGTAAATTGCAGCTAATTTTGGTCAATTTTAGCTCTTAGCTCAGTAGTAGCTACCTATGCCCCACTCCCAATCCCCTGCCAGGCAGCTGTGCACATGTTCCTGGAACAGTTTGCATACAGCTTTCAGGAGACAGGGTGGACCAACAAAACCCCCCTCTATCCTTAAAAAATCAGGGATTTGTGTCCTGATCATTGATGACTGCTTCTGATCACAGAAGTGCAAACAAAGAACTGGGCAGCCATTGTTGTTGCACTTACCCTCATTCCCGCAAGCCCTACACCCTCTGTCTGAAGTGACTTCCAAGGGATTTAAAGCTCCACTGCCACTCCATTAACTCCTTCATTTTTCTCTTTTTCTTCTTTCGAGAGCCAGACATTAAAGAATTAGACATTAAGAAGACAACTGCATATACAGGGAAAATTAGAAAATGACCACACATATCCAGAGAAAAGCTCAGAAAAGGCTTAAGAAGACCTTAAGATTACACCCCAGACCAGTCCTTGGCACAGAGACAGATTACAACTATAAAGCAAATTAATAAATAAAACCTAAAGCAATAACAGCAACAAAATAAACCCTAGAAAATGGAGCAAATATGATTTCCAGAGTTATTACATTATTAAATTAAAAAGTTCCCTTTTAAACAAAAAAAATCATAATGTACACAAAGAGACAGGGAAGGATGGCCCATTGAAAGAAAAAAATAGCAACAGAAATTATCCCTGAAAAAGTCCTGAGGGTAGACCTACTAGATAAATACTTTAAAACAACTGTCTTAATGATGCTTAAAGAACTAAAGAAAGATGGGGAGAAAGTCAAGTAAAGGATGTATGAACAAAATATAAATATCAGTAAAGAGATAGAAAACCTAAAAAGAAACCAGAAAGAAACTCTGGAGCTTAAAAGTATAATAACCGAAATGAAACATTCACTAGAAGAATTCAAAGGCAGATTTGAGCAGACAGAAGAATTAGCAAACTTGTAGATTAAAAAGTGAATATTATCAAGTCTGAAAAACAGAAAGAAAAAAATTCAAAATGGTGAACAGAGGCTAAGTGACATATGCATCCCCATTAAGTAAAAAGTCAATATTGTGGAAATTTCAGAAAAAAAAGGAAGAGAGACAGAAAGGGGCAGAGAAAATATTTGAATAAATAATGACTGAAAACTTCTCAAATTTGATGAAACACATGAATATAAACAACCAAGAAGCTCAATGAATTCCAAGGAAGATAAACTCAAAAAGACTCACATTGAGACATTGTTACAAAGCTTTCAAAAGTCAAAGATGGCTCATGCCTATAACTCCAGCACTTTGGGAGGCCAAGGCAGGAAGACTGCTTGAGTTCCGGAGTTTGAGACCATCCTGGGCAACATAGGAAGACCTGGTCTCTACAAAAAAAAAAAAAAAGGAAAAGCAAAAAAATTAGCCAAGTGTGGTGGCAAATGCCTACAGTCCCAGCTAATCAGGAAGCTGAGGCAAGAGGATCTATTTGAGTCCAGGATGTTAAGGCTGCTAGAAGCCATGATCAATCAGGCCACTACATTCTATTCTGGGTGACAAAGTGAGAACCTGTTTAAAAAAAAAAAAAAAAAAAAAAAAAAACAAGAGTCGAAGACAAAGAGAGAACCTTGAAAGCAGCAATAGAGAAGTGACTCATCATATACAAGGCATCCTTAATAAGATAATCAGCATATCCTTGATGCTGATTATGAAAACTTTGGATGGAAAGTAGAAGGCAGGAATCAATATATTTAAAATGCTAAGAGGAAAAAAAATTTCAACCAAGAGTCCTATATCTGGCAAAAGTGTCCTTCAAAAGTAAGGAATAAATTAAAATATTACCAGATAAACAAAGCTAAGGGAGATTGTTACCACCAGATCCGCCCTGTAAGAAATG
The DNA here is from genome assembly GCF_000001405.40 of Homo sapiens. Taxonomy (NCBI): domain Eukaryota; kingdom Metazoa; phylum Chordata; class Mammalia; order Primates; family Hominidae; genus Homo; species Homo sapiens. Next base: position 121,367,300 of record NC_000003.12, on the reverse strand, counting down.
TGCAAAGGAGTCCTGCAGGGTGAAATAAAAGGATATTAGGTAGTAACTCAAAGCCATATGAAGGAATAAAGATCTCAATAAAGACAAATACAAGGGCAATTGTACAAGCTAGTGTTATTGGAACAATGGTTTGTAACCACACCTTTTGGGTTCTACATAATTTAAGAGATAAATATATTTAAAGGAATTATTAGTTCATGTTGTGGGGTACATATGGTATAAAGATGTAATTTTAGAACATAAACAACTGAAAGAAGTGAGAAAGAAGCTGTAAAGTATCAGAATTTCTGTATGCTATTGAAGTTAAGCTGGTATCAATTCAAATCTTAGTGTTATAACTTTAGGATATTAAATGTAAGCCAAATGGTAACCATAAAATTAGCTATAAAATATACCAATAGGAAATGAGAAAGGAATCTAAACATCCCATTTAACAGTCAGCTAAACACACACAAGACCACACACAAACAGTAATAAAAAAATGGAGTACAAAAAAGCTATAAGGCCTATAGAAGAGAAATCATAAAATAACAGAAATCCCTCTTTATCAGCAATTACTTTAAATGTAAGTGAATTAAAGCCTCTACTCAAAAGATAGAGATTGACTGAAAGGATAAAAACACATAGTCTAACCATACATGGTTTATAACAGACTCACTTTTGATACAGAGTCACAAATAAATTGAAAGTGAAAGGATGGAGAAAGAGATTCCATGCAAATGGTATCCAAAACAGAGTGGGGTAGCCATATCAATATCAGACAAAATGGTCTTTAAATTTATAAAGTTAAAAGAGACTAAGAAGGACATTATATTTCCTAAAAAGCTGAACATATTAAGAAGATACAACAATTATAAATATTTAAGCCTCTAATGAGAGACCATCAAAATATATGAAGCAAAAAATGAGAGAAAATAGAAATATACAGTTCTATAATAGTTGTACAATTCAATATTCCACACTGAAAAATAGATAGACCAACCAGACAGAAGTAAGAGAAAAGAGGACTTAATACAATAAACCAACTAGATCTAACAGTGATATATAACACTCTATACATCAACAAAAGTATACGCATTCTTTTCAAGTGCACATGAGACATCCTCCAGGATAGGCCATATGTAAGACCATAATTGAAGTCTTGATAGACTTAAAAAGATAGATGCCATACAAAGTGTCTTCTATGAGCACAGTGGAATGAAGTTAGAAATCAATAACAGAAGTACAATTGAGAAATTAACAAACTTGTGGAAATTAAACAACACTCTCTTAACCAATGGATCAAGGCAGAAATCAGGATGAAAATTAGAAAATAATTAGAGATAAATGAAAACAAAAATACAACATACCAAAAACATATAAGATACAGTGAAAGCAGTGCAAAGAGGGAAATTTGTAGCTATAAATACTTATAATAAAAAATAAGAAAAATCTCAAGGCAACAACCTAACTTTACAACTCAAGAAAGCAGAAAAAGAAAAAAAGAACCCAAAGCAAGTAACAGAAAACATAAACATTAGAGCAGAGATTAAAAATTAGAGAATAGAAAAACCACAGAGAAAATCAATGAAATCAAAAGTTGGGTCTTCAGAAAATCAACAAAATTGATAAAACTTTAGTTACATGTAAGAAGAAACAGAGAGAGAAGAGTCAAATTACTAAAATCAGAAGTGAAAATGGGGACATTATTGCTGATTCTACGGAAATAAAAAGAATTTTAAGATAGTATTATGAACATTTGTATGCCAACAAATTGCATAATCTAGATGAAAAAATAATTCCTGAAACACAAAACTTGCCATGACCAAGTCACAAAGAAATACAAACCGTGAATAGACTTATAACTAGTAAAAAGATTTAATCAGTAACAAAAAAAAATCTTCTGATTAAAAAAAAAGAAAGAAAAAAAGCCCTGAACCTGTTGGCTTCACTCGTGTATTCTGCCAAATCTTTAAAGAAGAATAATATCAGTCCTTGTAAACTTTTTCAAAAATTGAAGAGGACCAATACTTCTAACTCAATCTATAAGGCCAGCATTACCCTGTTACCAAGCTAGAGAAAGACACTACAACTATAAACTATATTGACTATATTAATATTCCTCATGAACAGTGATGCAAAATACTCAATAGAATACTATTAAATAGAATTCAGTAGCATATTAATGGAATTATAGACTATAACCAAGTGGAATATATTTCTGGAATATAAGGATGATTTAACATGTGAAAATTAATCATTGCAATATATTAAGGTTACAAATTAATAAAATAAATATACCAAGCAGACTCAGATAGAGACTCAAAAAAAGAGGGGAAAAACCCACCTGATCATCTCAATTGAGCAGAAAAAGCATTTGATGAAACTCACCACCCTTTTATAATAAAAACACTCAACAAATTAGAAATAGAAAGAAATTATCTCAATATAATAAAAGCCATATATAAAAACAAAGATTCCACAAAAAACTGTTAGAGCTAATAAATACATTTAGTAAAGCAGTAGAATATAAAGTCAACACATAAAAGTCAGTTGCATTTCTTTATATAAACAATCGGCAAAGGAAATTATAAAAAATTTCATTTACAATAGCATGAAAAAGAATAAAATACTTAAGAATTAATTTAACCAAGGAAGTGAAACACTTGTATAATGATATCTATAAAACATTACTGAAAAAATTAAAGAACATATAAACAAAGGAAAACATATCCCATGTTCATGGATTAGAGGACTTAATATTGTTAAGATGTCAATATAAACCAAAGTGATCTATGGATTCAATGCAACCTCTATGAAAATCCATTTTTTTTTTTTTGCAGATATAGAACAACACATCCTTAACTTCATCTGGAATCTCATGGCCAAATCTAATAGCCAAAATAATTTTGAAAGAGAAGAATAAAGTTGGAAGATTTACAATTTCTGATTTCAAAACTTACTACACAGCTGTAATAAGACATTTTGGTACTGTTATAAGGAGTGACATATAGACTATTGGAGTAGAATCTAGATCCCATAAACAAACACTCTCACATATGGTCAAATCAATTTTGACAAGGATACTGAGCCCATTGAGTTAAGAAAGAATAGTTTCTTCACTAAATTGTGCAGGTAAAACTTGATGGTGCAGGTAAAACTTGATTATCTCTTAGAAGCTACAAAGGGCAAAAGTTAATGACATTACATTTGGTAACAATTTCTAAAATATGATATCAAAGGCACAAACAAGAAATGAAAAAATAGACAACTGGACTTCATAAACATTTAAAAACTGTGTACCTCAAATGACACTATCAACAGAGTAAAAAGGCCACACATAGAATGGAAGAAAATATTTGCTAATCATATATCTGGTAAGGGACTATTATTATCTGGAATATATAAAGAACTCCTAAAACTCAACAATAACAAAATAAACTACTCAATTCAATAACGGGCAAAGATAGGAGGCATAGCAAGATGGCAGAATAGAAAACTCCACCAATCATCTCCCCTTGACCCCAGCAAGGACACCAAGCTAACAAATATCTACACAGAAAAAAAAACCCACCTTCATAAGAACCAAGAATCAGGTGAGCACTCATAACACCTGGTTTTAACTTCATATCATTAGAAGAGGCACTAAGGAGATAGAAAAAACAGTTCTGAATCACTGATGCCACCCCTCCTTTTGGTAGTGGTGATGTGGTGTGTAGAGTATCTGGGTGCTCAGGGAGGGAGGGAGGGAGAAAACAGCAATTGTGAGGCACTGAAATCAGTGCTGTCCTGTTAGAGCAGAAAGGTAAACTAAACCAAACTCAGCTGATGTCCATCCACAGAGAGAGAATTTCAACCATCCCTAGCCAGAGGGGAACTGCCAATCCCAGCAGTCTGAACTTGAGTATGTGGAAACATCACCACCAAGGGCTACAGCTCTCTGTGTCTCCAAATAAATTTGAAAGACAGTGTAGGGCATAAGGACTACAACTCTTAGGTGAGTCCTAGTGCTGAACTAGGCCCAGAGATAGTGGACTGGGTGGGGCAGAGTCGGGGGCAAACAACATATTGAGACACCAGCTGGGTCAGCCAAGGGACTGCTGGTATCACCTCTCCCATAACCCCAGGCTGCACAGCTCATGGCTCCAATAGAGACCCCTTCTTTCTGATTAAGGACAGGAGAGAAAAGAGTGGAGAGGACTTTGTCTTGCATCTAGGATACCAATTCAGTCACATCAGGATAGGGCACTGGTCAGAGTCTTGAGGCCCCTATTCCAGGCCGTATCTCTCAGAAAAAATTTCTTAACATCACCTGGGCCAGAAAGGAACCCAGTGCTTTGAAGGAAAGAACCCAGTTCTGGCAGCATTGATCACCTCCTAACTGTAGAGCCCCTAGGCCCTGAATAACCAGCAGCAATATCCAGGTGCAATGTTAAGGGCCTTGGATGAACCCCTGAGACTTGCCAGTTTCAGGTGAGACTCAGCACATTATCAGCTGTGGTGGCTATGGGGCAAAACTCCTTCTGCTTGAGAAAAGCAGAAGGAAATGTAAAGGGGAGTTTGTCTTGTACCTTAGATATCAGCACAGCCACAGAGGAGGAGAGCACCAAGCAGGCTCTTGGGGTCCCTGATTCCAGGACATGACTCTTAGATGGCATTTCTAGACCTGTCCTGGGCCAGAGGGTAACTCACTGCCGTGAAGGCTGAGTCCCAGGCCAGGCAGCATTCACAATAAGCTGACTTAAGTGACCTTGGACCTTATTGGAATGTTAGTGGTAGCATGACAGTACTTCTCATGGCCTGGGGTGGTGGCGGCTATGGGGTGGAGCTCCTCTGCTTTTAAAAAAGGAGGGAAGAGTAGGAAGGACTCTGTCTTGTGTTTTGAGTGCCAGCCCTGGCTCCCAGACAGCACTTCTGGACCTACCCAGGACCTAGGGGGCCTTGCCACCCTTGAAGAGAAGGACACAAGCCTGGCTGGCTTTGCTACTTGCAGATCATAGAGCCCCAGGACCTTGAGTGAACATAGGCATTAGCCAGGGAGTAATTATAGCAGGCCTTGGGTGAGACCCAGTGCTACACTAAATTTAGGTCTGACTCATCACAATAATAGTAGTGGTGGCCACAAGGGTGTCACTTCACCCCCAGCTTAAGGTGGCTTAGAATAGAGAGAGAGAGAGACTCTGTATGTTTGGGAGAAAGTAAGTAAAGAATAAGAGTCTCTGTCATGTAACCCAGATAATTCTCCCAGATTTGTCCAAGACTATTAAAGCAGTACTTCTATGAGTCTGCAAGAACTATAGCACTACTGGGCTTGGGGTGCCCCCAAAGCAGATACAGCTTAGATCACAATACCCAAGTCCTTTCAAATATCTGGAAAGCCTTTCAAGAAGTATGGATACAAATAAGACCCAACCATGAAGACTAAGATAAATACCTAACTCTTCAATGCCCACACACCAAAGAACATCTACTAGCATCAACACTATCCAGGAAAACATGACTTCACCAAATGAATTAAATAAGGCACCAGAGACCAATCCTGGAGAAAGAGAGATATGTGACCTTTCATATAGAGAACTCAAAATAGCTGTGTTGAGGAAACTAAAAAAAAAAATTCGAGATAACATAGGGAAGGAATTCAGAATTCTATCAGATAAATTTAACAAGAGATTGAAATAATCAAAAGAATCAAGCAGAAAATCTGGAGCTGAAAAATGCAACTGGCATACTGAAGAATGCATAAGAGTGTTTACATAGAATTGATCAAGCAGAAGAAAGAATTAGTGAGCCTGAAGACAGGCTATTTAAAATACATAATCAGAAGAGACAAAAGAAAAGAGAATAAAAAAGAATGAAGCATGCTACAATATCTGGAAAATAGCCTCAAAAGGGCAAACCTAAGAAATGTCCTTAAAGGGGGGGTAGGGAAGGAGATAGGAGTAGAAGTTTTATTCAAAGGAATAATAACAGAGAGCTTCCCAAACCTAGAGAAAGATATTAATATTCAAGTAAAGAAGATTATAGAACACCAATAAGATTTAACTCCAAGAATACTGCCTCAAGGCATTTAATAATCAAACTCCCAAAAGTCAAGGATAAAGAAAGGACTCTAAAAGTAGCAAGAGAAAAGAAACAAATAACATACAATGGAACTTCAAATGCTGGGCAGCAGACTTTTCAGTGGAAACTTTACAGGATAGGAGAAAGTAGTATGACATATTTAAAGTGCTGAAGGAAAAACCTTTTACCCTAGAATAGTATATCTGGTGAAAATATCCTTGAAACATGCGGAACTAATAAAGACTTTCCTAGACAAACAAAAGCTGAGGGAGTTCATCAATACCAGATCCATCCTACAAGAAATGCTAAAGGAAGTGTTTCAATCAGAAAGAAAAGGACATTAATGAGCAATATATAACCACCTGAAGGTACAAAACTTACTGGTAATAGTAAATACACAGAAAAGCATAAAATATTATAACACTGTAACTGTGGTGTGTAAACTACTCTTATCCTAAGTAGAAAGACTAAATGATGAAACAATAAAAAATAATAACTACAACTTTTCAAGACATAGTACAATAAGACATAAATAGAAACAACAAAAAGTTAAAAAGCAGGAGGACAAACTTAAGGTGAGTTTTTATTAGTTTTATTTTTCACTGTTGGTTTATGCAAATAGTGTTGTTATCAGGTTAAATAGCGGGTTATAAGATAGTATTCGCATGCCTCATGGTAATCTCAAACCAAAAAGCATACAATGAATACACAAAAAATAAAAAGCAGGAAACGAAATCATATCACCCAAAAATATCATGTTCACTTGAGGAAGACAGGAATGAAAGAAGGAAGAGAAGACACAAAACAACCAGAAAACAAATAACAAAATGCCAGGAGTAAGTCCTTACTTACCAAGAATTACTTTGAAAGTAAATGGATTAAACTCTTCAATCAAAAGACACAGAATGACTGAATGGATTAAAAAAAGATCCATTGATCTGCTGCCTACAAGAAAACACTTCACCTATAAAGACACATGTTGACTAAAAATAAAAGCATAGAAAAAGATATTCTATGCCAATTGAAACCAAAAAAAGGAGGAGTCACTATATTTATATCAGAAAAAATAGATTTCAAGATAAAAACTATAAGAAGAGAAAAGAAGATCACTATAAAATAATGAAGGGGTCAATTCAGCAAGAGGATATAACAATTTTAAAATACATATGTACCCAATATGGGAACACCTATATATATTATATATATTATTACTATATATTATATTATATAGTAATAATATATATATTATATTATATAGTAATAATATATATATTATATATATTATATTATATATGTATAACCACAAAAGACTCAGAATAGTCAAAGATATCCTAAGCAAAAAGAACCAAACTGGAGGAATCACATTACCAGACTTCAAATTATACTACAGAGGTACAAATTATACTACAGAGGTATAGTTACCAAAATAGCATGGTACTGGCATAAAAACAGACATATTGACCAATGGGACAGAATAGAGAATCCAGAAACAAATCCACACACCTACGGTGAGCTCATTTTTGACAAAGGTGCCAAGAACATATGCTGCAGAAAAGACAGCATCTTCAATAAATGGCACTGGGGAAACTGGATATCCCTGTGCAAAACAATGAAAATAGACCTCTACATCTCACCATATACGAAAATCAAATCAAAACGGATTAAAGACTTAAATATAAGACCTCAAACTATGAAACTACTACAAGATTGGGGTATATCTCTAGGACATTGGTCTGGGCAAAGGCTTCTTATGCAACACCCCACAAGCACCCCCAAAGCAAACATGAACAAATGAGATCACATCAAGTTAAAAAACTCAGCACAGCAAAGGATACAATCAACAAAGTGAAGAAACAAACCACAGAATGGGAGAAAATATTTTCAAACTACCCCTCTGATAAGGAATTACTAACCAAAATATATAAAAAGCTCAAAACAACTCTATATGAAAAAAATCTAATAATCTGATCAAAAGATGGGCAAAATATTTGAATAGACTTTTCTAAAACATCACGTACAAATGGAAAACAGGCTTATGAAAAGGTGCTCAACATCAATGATCATCAGAGAAATGCAAATCAAAACTAATGAGATATCATCTCGCTTAAGTTAAAATGGCTTATATCCAAAAGACAGGCAATAACAAATGCTGGCAAGGATATGGAGAAGAGGGAAGTTTCATGCACTGTTGGTGGGAATATGAAATAGCAAAACTGCAAACAGTTTGGAGGTTCCTCCAAACTAAAAACTGAGCTACTTACTATATGATCCAGCAATCCTACTATTGGGTACATATTCAAAAGAAAAAAAATCTGTATATTGAAAAGACATCTACTATCCTATATTTGGAAAAAACCTAAGCATCCATCCATACATGAATAAATAAACAAAACATGCTACATATATGCAATGGAGTACTATTCAATCATATCAAAGAATAAAAGCCTGTCATTTGTAACAAGATAGATGGAACTGGAGATTATTAAGTGAAATAAGCCAGGCACAAAAAGACAAACATTAAATATTCTCACTTATTTGTGCGATCTAAAAATAAAATCAATTAAACTCATGGACAGAGAGAGTAGAATGCTTATATGGTTTGGCTCTGTGTCACCACCCAAATCTCATGTTGAAGTGTAATCTCCCAGGAGGTGGGGCCTGGTGGGAGGTGACTGAATCATGGTGGTGGTTTCTAATGGTTTGGCACAATCCCCCTAGTGCTGCCTCATGATAGAGTTCTCACAAGATCTGGTTGTTTAAAAACATGCAGCACTGCCCCCTTTGCTCTCTCTTCCTCCTTCTCTGGCCATGAGAAGACATGCCTCGCTTCCCCTTCACTGTCCACCATGAGTATAAGTTTTCTGAGGCCTCCCCAGCCATGTGGAACTGTGAGTCAATTAAATTTATTTTATCTATAAATTACCCAGTCTCAGGTAGTTCTTTATAGCAGTGTGAGAATGGACTAATACGAAAATTACCAGAGGGTGAGAAGGGTAGTGGGGGGTTAGGGAGGTGTTGCGGATGGTTAATGGGTAGAAAAAATTAGAAAGAAAGAATCAGACCTACTATTTGACAGAACAATAGGGTGACTACAGTCAATAATAATTGTATCTTTTAAAACAACTTAAAGAATGTAATTGGACTGTTTGTAACTCAAAGGATAAATGCTTGAGGGGATGCATATCCCATTGTCCATTATATGGTTATTTCACATTGCATGTAATCAAAACATCTCATGTGCCCCATAAATATATACAACCACAATGCACCCACAATATTTTTTTAAAATAAAAGATTTTTAAAAAAGAAAAAAAGATTTTAAAATATTGCTTTTCCACTTCATAAATAGGTATTTGAGTGATGATGTTATGAAGCAGCTTCTCTGTAGCTATATTGCTGTCTGTGGTTGTGGCTCTTTTGTATGCGTGTGGAAGTGTTCCATGGCTGACATTTTATGCTGCATGCTCTATTTTGGAATATCTAGTTTGGAGACTAAGATCAAGTATCCATCACCATCATAGTTACAGAGCCTTCAGCAGCAGTCTTGGCCAGTGGCTACAACAATGTTATTCTCCAAGACAAATGATATATTCATGACAGGCAGCAACTTCTTTCAGAGTTGAAATCTGCACTCTGAAGCATCAGTAAAGAACATGTTGCTATCATAGCTCATCCAGGCCAGAGAGCTCCCATAGACAAATTGAACCTGGGACCCAGTCTCCAGTGGCACCAAGCTATGACATCAGCTAATCAAAAGGCATCTTGCTGTCCCATGGCATACTGGTTGGGTTTTCAAACATTAATGTATGCAGAAACACTCTTCATTTGAAGTCACATGAACCTGCTACTAGCAAAACATTGTTGGAATGCCAATCCAAAGGACAATGAAATTAATTGGCCTTTAAATTAACTTGCTTATCCACTATTCATTTTCACACACACATAAAAAGCGATGCTCCACTACCTACAACAATTTTGTTCTCTAGGAGGGACCACTTCACAAAAGTAGTTGCATGATCAATTCTCAGGATCACCAGGGTTAGCTTCCAGACACCATCTTTCTGACTCATGCAAATGATAATGTGGTCATGCTTGGGAGCCCAGTCAGTACCTGTGATTGTGCTTCTGGAGTTTATGAGGTTTTGCTATTGGCTCCCATTCTTCTTACAGATGTGGATTTTGTGATTATTCAGGCCAAGGGCAATTTGGGTATGATCCCTGTTCCAGGCATGACACGTGATTGGCTCTAGGAAAAACTGTTGCAGAGACAAAATTCTTGCTGTTTTCAAAGGTAGAAAGCTGGGATTGAGGCACTCCTGAAAGGCTCAGACTGGAGAATTTGAAGACTGACCAGTCCCTTGAATGGGCTCTGGCCAGTTATACCACTTTTTATAGTAGGTTATATCTTCTTTTCATTTAAAAATATGCTGGTCCAGGTTCCAAGATGGCCAAATAGGAACAGCTCTGGTCTGCAGCTTCCAGCGTGATTGATACAGAAGATGGGTGATTTCTGCATTTCCTATTGAGGTACTTGGTTCATCTCACTGGGAGTGGTTGGACAGTGGGTGCAGCCCATGGAGGGTGAGCTGAAGCAGGGCAGGGCATTGCCTCACCCGGGAAGTGCAAGGGGTTGGGGATTTCCCTTTCCTAGCAAAGGGAAGCTGTGACAGACTGTACCTGGAAAAATGGGATACTCCCACCCAAATACTGTACTTTTCCCAAAGTCTTAGCAATGGGCAGACAAGGAGACTCTCTCCTGTGCCTGGTTCAGCAGGTCCCATGCCCACAGAGCCTTGCTCACTGCTAGCACAGCAATCTGAGATTGAGCTGTGAGGTGGCAGCCTGGCTTGGGGAGGGGCATCCGCCATTGCTGAGGCTTCAGTAGGTAAACAGAGTGGCCGGGAAGCTCAAAATGAGGGAGCCCACCACAGCTTAGCAAGGCCTACTGCCTTTAGACTTCTCCTCTGTGGGCAGGGCTTAGCTGAACAAAAGGCAGCAGACAACTTCTGCAGACTTAAATGTCCCTGTCTGATAGCTCTGAAGAGAGCAGTGTTTCTCCCAGCACGGCGTTTGAACTCTGAGAACAGACAGGCTGCCTCCTAAGTGTGTCGCTGACACCTGTTCAGCCTAACTGGCAGACACCTCCCAGTAGAGGCTGACAGATACCTCAGATAAGTGGGTGCCCCTGTGGGGCGAAGCTTCCAGAGGAAGGATTAGGCAGCAATATTTGCTGTTCTGCAGCCTCCACTGGTGATACCCAGGCAAACAGGGTCTCGAGTGGGCCTCCAGCAAACTCCAACAGACCACCAGCTGAGGAACCTGACTGTTAGAAGGAAAACTAACAAACAGAAAGGAATAGCATCAACATCAACAATAAGAACATCTACACCAAAACCCCATCTGTAGGTCACCAACATCAAAGACCAAAGGTAGATAAGACCACATAGATGAAGAGAAACCAGAGCAGAAAAGCTGAAAATTCGAAAAATCAGAGTGCCTCTTCTCCTCCCAAGGATTGCAGCTCCTCGCCAGTAACAGAACAAAGCTGGATGGAGAATGACTTTAACGAGTTGACAGAAGTAGGCTTCAGAAGGTCAATAATAACAAACTTCTCCGAGCTAAAGGAGCAGGTTAGAACCCATCACAAGGAAGCTAAAAACCTTGAAAAAAGGTTAGAAGAAATGCTAAATAGAATAAACAGAATAGAGAAGACCTTAAATGACCTCATGGAGCTGAAAACCATGGCACGAGAAATTCGTGATGCATGCACAAGATTCAATAGCTGATTCGATCAAGTGGAAGAAAGGGTATCAGTGATGGAATATCAAATTAATGAAATAAAGTGAGAAAGCAAGGTAGAGAAAAACGAGTAAAAAGAAATGAACAAAGCCTCCAAGAAATATGGGACTATATGAAAAGACTAAATCTAGTTTGATTGGTGTACCTGAAAGTCATAGGGAGAATGGAACCAAGTTGGAAAACACTCTGCAGGATATTATCCAGGAGAACTTCCCCAACTTAGCAAGGCAGGCCAACATTCAAATTCAGGAAATATAGAGAACACTACAAAGATACTCCTTGAGAAGAGCAACCCCAAGGAACATAATTGTCAGATTCACCAAAGTTGAAATGAAGGAAAAAATGTTAAGGGCAGCCAGAGAGAAAGGTCGAGTTACCCACAAAAGAAAGCCCATCAGACTAACAGCGGATCTCTTGGCAGAAACCCTACAAGCCAGAAGAGAGTGGGAGCCAATATTCAACATTCTTAAAGAATTTTCAACCCAGAATTTCATATCCAGCCAAACTAAGCTTCATAACTGAAGGAGAAATAAAATCCTTTACAGACAAGCAAATGCTGAGAGATTTTGTCACCACCAAGCCTGCCTTACAAGAGCTCCTGAAGGAAGTACTAAACATGGAAAGAAACAATTGGTACCAGCCACTGCAAAAACATGCCAAATTGTAAAGATCATAGATGCTAGGAAGAAACTGCATCAGTTAACGGGCAAAATAACCAGCTAACATCATAATGACAGGATCAAATTCACACATAACAATATTAACCTTAAATGTAAATGGGCTAAATGTGCCAATTAAGACACAGACTGGCAAATTGGATAAAGAGTCAAGACCCATCAGTGTGCTGTATTCAAGAGCCCCATCTCACATGCAAAGACACACATAAGCTAAAAATAAAGGGATAGAGGAAGATCTACAAAGCACATGGAGAGCAAAAAAAAAAAAAAAAAAAAAGCAGGGTTGCAATTCTAGCCTCTGACAAAAGAGACTTTAAACCAACAAAGATCAAAAGAGACAAAGAAGACCATTACATAATGGCAAAGGGTTCAATTCAACAAGAAGATGTAACTATCCTAAATATATATGCACCCACTACAAGAGCACCCAGATTCATGAAGCAAGTCCTTAGAGATATACAAAGAGACTTAGGCTCCCACACAATAATAATGGGAGACTTTAACACCCCACTGTCAATATTAGGCAGATCAATGAGACAGAAGGTTAACAAGGATATCCAGGACTTGAACTCAGCTCTGCAACAAACAGACCTAATAGACACCTACAGAACTCTCCACCCCAAATCAACAGAATATACATTTTTCTCAGCACCACATTGCACTTATTCTAAAATTGACCACATAATTGGAAGTAAAGCACTCCTCAGTAAAGTAAAAGAACAGAAATCACAACAAACTGTCTCTCAGACCACAGTGCAATCAAATTAGAACTCAGGATTAAGAAACTCACTCAAAACTGCTCAACTATTTGGAAACTGAACAACTTGCCACTGAATGACTACTGGGTAAATAACGAATTGAAGGCAGAAATAAAGATGTTCTTTGAAACCAATGAGAACAAAGAACAATGTACCAGAATCTCTGGGACACATTTAAAGCAGTGTGTAGAGGGAAATGTATAGCACTAAATGTCCACAAGAGAAAGCAGGAAAGATCTAAAATTGACACCCTAACATCACAATTAAAAGAGCTAGAGAAGCAAGAGGAAACAAATTCAAAAGCTAGCAGAAGGCAGGAAATAACTAAGATCAGAGCAGATCTGAAAGAGATAAAGACACAAAAAACCCTTCAAAAAATTAATGAATCCAGGAGCTGGTTTTTTGAAAAGATCAACAAAATTGATAGACCACTACCAAGACTAATACAGAAGAAAAGAGAGAAGAATCAAATAGATGCAACAAAAAATGATAAAAGGGATATCACCACCGATCCCATAGAAACACAAACTACCTTTGGAGAATACTATAAACACCTCTATGCAAATAAACTAGAAAATCTAGAAGAAATGGATAAAATCCTGGACACACACACCCTCCAAAGACTAAACCAGGAAAAAGTTGAATCTCTGAATAGACCAATAACAGGCTCTGAAACTGATGTGATAATTAATAGCCTACCAACGAAAAAAAGTCCAGGACCAGACGGATTCACAGACAAATTCTACCAGAGGTACAAACAGGAGCTGTTACCATTCCCTCTGAAACTATTCCAATCAATAGAAAAAGAGGGGATCCTCCCAAACTCATTTTATGAGGCCAACATCATGCTGATACCAAAGCCTGGCAGAGACACAACAAAAAAAGAGAATTTTAGACCAATATCCCTGACGAACATGGATGCAAAAATCCTCAATAAAATACTGGCAAACCGAATCCAGCACCACATCAAAAAGCTTATCCAACACGATCAGGCTGGCTTCCTCCCTGGGATGCAATGCTGGTTCAACATACGCAAATAAATAAACATAATCCATCACATAAACAGAACGAATGACAAAAACCACATGATTATCTCAATAGATGCAGAAAAGGCCTTTGACAAAACTCAACAGCCCTTCATGCTAAGAACTCTCAATAAACTAGATATTGATGGAACGCATCTCAAAATAATAAGAGCTACTTATGACAAACCCACACCCAATATCATACTCAATGAGCAAAAATTGGAAGCATTCCCTTTGAAAACCAGCACAAGACAAGGATACCCTCTCTCACCACTCCTATTTAACATAATGTTGGAAGTTCTGGCCAGGGCAATCAGGCAAGAGAAAGAAATAAAGGGTATTCAATTAGGAAAAGAAGAGTCAAATTGTCCCTGTTTGCAGATGACATGATTGTATATTTAGAAAACCCCATTGTCTCAGCCCAAAATCTCCTTATCTGATAAGCAACTTCAGCAAAGTCTCTGGATACAAAATCAATGTACAAAACTCACAATCATTCCTATACAGCAATAACAGACAAACAGAGAGCCAAATCATGAGTGAATTCCCATTTGCAATTGCTACAAGGAGAATAAAATACCTAGGAATCCAGCTTACAAGGGATGTGAAGGACCTCTTCAAGGAGAACTACAAACCACTGCTCAATGAAATAAAGAAGACACAATCAAATGGAAGAACATTCCATACTCATGGATAGGAAGAATCAATATCGTGAAAATGGCCATACTGCCCAAGGTAATTTATAGATTCAATGCCATCCCCATCAAGCTACCAATGACTTTCTTCACAGAATTGGAAAAAAATACTTTAAAGTTCATACGGAACGAAAAAAGATCCTGCATTGCCAAGTCAATCCTAAGCCAGAAGAACAAAGCTGGAGGCATCATGCTACCTGACTTCAAACTATACTACAAGGCTACAGTAAACAAAACAGCATGGTACTGGTACCAAAACAGAGATATAGACCAATGGAACAGAATAGAGCCCTCAGAAATAACACTACACATCTACAATCATCTGATCTTTGACAAACCTGACAAAAATAAGAAATGGGGAAAGGATTCCCTATTTAATAAATGGTGCTGGGAAAACTGGCTAGCCATCTGTAAAAAGCTGAAACTGGATCCCTTACTTACACCTTATACAAAAATTCATTCAAGATAGATTAAAGACTTAAATGTTAGACCTAAAACCATAAAAGCCCTAGAAGAAAACCTAGGCAATACCATTCAGGACATGGGCAAGGACTTCATGTCTAAAACACCAAAAGCAATGGCAACAAAAGCCAAAATAGACAAATGGGATCTAATTAAACTAAAGAGCTTCTGCACAGCAAGAGAAACTACCATCAGAGTGAACAGGCACCATATAAATGGGAGAAAATTTTTGCAATCTACCTATCTGACAAAGGGCTTATATCCAGAATCTACAAAGAACTTAAACAAATTTACAAGAACAAAACAAACAACCCCATCAAAAAGTGGGCAAAGGATATGAACAGACACTTCTCAAAAGAAGACTTCTGGAGAGTAGTCGTTCTCCCAGCACGCAGCTTGAGATTTGAGAACACACAGACTGCCTCCTCAAGTGGGTCCCTAACCCCTGAGTAGCCTAACTGGGAGGCACCCCCCATTAGGGGCAGACTGACACCTGACACGGCCGGGTACTCCTCTGAGACAAAACTTCCAGAGGAACAATCAGGCAGCCACATTTGCTGTTCACCAATATCCGCTGTTCTGCAGCCTCTGTTGCTGATACCCAGGCAAACAGGGTCTGGAGTGGAACTCAGGCAAACTCCAACAGACCTGCAGCTGAGGGTCCTGACTGTTAGAAGGAAAACTAACAAACAGAAAGGACATCCACACCAAAACTCCATCTGTACGTCACCATCATCAAAGACCAAAGGTTGATAAAACCACAAAGATGGGGAAAAAACAGAGCAGAAAAACTGGAAATTCTAAAAACCAGAGCGCCTCTCCTCCTCCAAAGGAACGTAGCTCCTCACCAGCAATGGAACAAAGCTGGACAGAGAATGATTTTGACGAGTTGAGAGAAGAAGGCTTCAGATGATCAAACTACTCAGACCTAAAGGAGGAAGTTCAAACCCATGGCAAAGAAGTTAAAAACCTTGAAAAAAGATTAGATGAATGGCTACTAGAATAACCAATGGAGAGAAGTCCTTAAAGGACCTGATGGAGCTGAAAACCATGGCATGAGAACAACGTGATGAATGCACAAGCCTCAGTAGCTGATTCGATCAACTGGAAGAAAGGGTATCAGTGATTGAAGATCAAATGAATGAAATGAAGTGAGAAGAGAAGTTTAACGAAAAAAAGAATAAAAAGAAACGAACAAAGCCTCCAAGAAATATGGGACTATGTGAAAATACCAAATCTACATCAGATTGGTGTACCTGAAAGTGACGGGGAGAATGGAACCAAGTTGGAAAACACTCTGCAGAATATTATCCAGGAGAACTTCCCCAATCTAGCAAGACAGGCCAATATTCAAATTCAAGAAATACAGAGAACACCACAAAGATACTCCTCGAGAAGAGCAACTCCAAGACACATAATTGTCAGATTCACCAAAGTTGAAATGAAGGAAAAAATGTTAAGGGCAGCCAGAGACAAAGGTCGGGTTACCCACAAAGGGAAGCCCATCATACTAACAGCTGATCTCTCAGCACAAACTCTACAAGCCAGAAGAGAGTGGAGGCCAATATTCAACATTCTTAAAGGAAAGAATTTTCAACCCAGAACTTCATATCCAGCCAAACTAAGCTTCATAAGTGAAGGAGAAATAAGATCCTTTACAGACAAGTAAATGCTGAGACATTTTGTCACCACCAGGCCTGCCCTAAAAGAGCTCCTGAAGGAAGCACTGAACATGGAAAGGAATAACTGGTACCAGCCACTGCAAAAACATGCCAAATTGTAAAGACCATTGAGGCTAGGGAGAAACTGCATCAACTAACAAGCAAAATAACCAGCTAACATCACAATGACAGGATCAAATTCACACATAACAATATTAACCTTAAATGTAAATGGGCTAAATGCTCCAAATAAAAGACACAGACTGGCAAATTGGATAAAGAGTCAAGACCCATCAGTGTGCTGTATTCAGGAAACCCATCTCACATGCAGAGACAGACATAGGCTCAAAATAAACGGATGGAGGAAGATCTACCAAGCAAATGGAAAACAAAAAAAAGGCAGGGGTTGCAATCCTAGTCTCTGATAAAACAGACTTTAAACCAAGAAAGATCTAAAGAGACAAAGAAGACCATTACATAATGGTAAAGGGATCAATTCAACAAGAAGAGCTAACTATCCTAAATATATATGCCCCCAATACAGGGGTACCCAGATTCATAAAGCAAGTCCTTAGAGACCTACAAAGAGACTTAGACTCCCACACAATAATAATGAGAGACTTTAACACCCCACTGTCAACATTAGAAGATCAACGAGACAGAAAGTTAACAAGGATATCCAGGAATTCAACTCAGCTCTACACCAAGCAGACCTAATAGACATCTACAGAACTCTCCACCCCAAATCAACAGAATATACATTCTTCTCAGCACCACACCACACCTATTCCAAAATTGACCACATAGTTGGAAGTAAAGCACTCCTCAGCAAATGTAAAAGAACAGAAATTGTAACAAACTGTCTCTCAGACCACAGTGCAATCAAACTAGAACGCAGGATTAAGAAACTCACTCAAAACCGCTCAACTTCATGGAAACTGAACAACCTGCTCCTGAATGACTACTGGGTACATAACAAAATGAAGGCAGAAATAAAGATGTTCTTTGAAACCAATGAGAACAAAGACACAACGTACCAGAATCTCCGGGACACATTTAAAGCAGTGTGTAGAGGGAAATGTATAGCACTAAATGCCCACAAGAGAAAGCAGGAAATATCTAAAACTGACACCCTAACATCACAATTAAAAGAACTAGAGAAGCAAGAGCAAACACATTCAAAAGCTAACAGAATGGAAGAAATAACTAACATCAGAGCAGAACTGAAGGAGATAGACACACAAAAAACCCTTCAAAAAATCAATGAATCCAGGAGTTGGTTTTTTGAAAAGGTCAACAAAATTGATAGACTGCTAGTAAGAATAATAAAGAAGAAAAGAGAGAAGAATCAAATAGATGCAATAAATAATGATAAAGGGGATATCACCGCCGATCCCACAGAAGTACAAACTACCATCAGAGAATACCATAAACACCTCTAAGCAAATAAACTACAAAATCTAGAAGAAATGGATAAATTCCTCGACACATACACCCTCCCAAGACTAAACCAGGAAGAAGTTGAATCTCTGAATAGACCAATAACAGGCTTTGAAATTGAGGTAATAATTAATAGCTTACCAACCAAAAAAAGTCTAGGACCAGATGGATTCACAGCTGAATTCTACCAGAAGTACAAGGAGGAGCTGTTACCATTCCTTCTGAAACTATTCCAATAAATAGAAAAAGAGGGGATCCTCCCTAACTCATTTTATGAGGCCAGCATCATCCTGATACCAAAGCCTGACAGAGACACAACAAAAAAAGAGAATTTTAGACCAATATCCCTGATGAACATCGACACAAAAATCCTCAATAAAATACTGGCAAACCGAATCCAGCAGCACATCAAAACCCTTATCCACCATGGTCAAGTGGACTTCATCCCTGGGACGCAAGGCTGGTTCAACATATGCAAGTCAATAAACATAACCCAGCATATAAACAGAACCAACGACAAAAACCACATGATTATCTCAATAGATGCAGAAAAGGCCTTTGACAAAATTCAACAACACACCATGTTAAAAACTCTCAATAATTAGGTACTGATGGGACATATCTCAAAATAATAAGAGCTATCTATGACAAACCCACAGCCAATATCATACTGAATGGGCAAAAACTGGAAGCATTCCCTGTGAAAACTGGTACAAGACAGGGATGCCCTCTCTCACCACTCCTATTCAACATAGTGTTGGAAGTTCTGGCCAGGGCAATTAGGCAGGAGAAGGAAATAAAGGGTATTCAATTCGGAAAAGAGGAAGTCAAATTGTCCCTGTTTGCAGATGACATGACTGTATATCTAGAAAACCCCATCGTCTCAACCCAAAATCTCCTTAAGCTGATAAGCAACTTCAGCAAAGTCTCAGGATACAAAATCAATGTGCAAAAATCACAAGCATTCTTATACACCAATAACAGACAAAAAGAGAGCCAAATCATGAGTGAACTCCCATTCACAATTGCTTCAAAGAGAATAAAATACCTAGGAATCCAACTTACAAGGGATGTAAGGATCTCTTCAAGAAGAACTACAAATGACTGCTCAAGAAAATAAAAGAGGATACAAAGAAATGGAAGAACATTCCATGCTCATGGGTAGGAAGAATCAATATCGTGAAAATGGCCATACTGCCCAAGGTAATTTATAGATTCAATGCCATCCCCATCAAGTTACCAAATGACTTTCTTCACAGAATTGGAAAAAACTACTTTAAAGTTCATATGGAATGAAAAAAGAGGCCACAAGTCAATCCAAGTCAATCCTAAGCCAAGAGAACAAAGCTGGAGGCATCAAGCTACCTGACTTCAAACTACACTACAAGGCTACAGTAACCAAAACAGCATGGTACTGGTACCAAAACAGAGATATAGATCAATGGAACAGAATAGAGCCCTCAGAAATAATGCCACATATCTACAACTATCTGATCTTTGACAAACCTGACAAAAACAAGAAATGGGGAAACGATTCCCTATTTAATAAATGGTGCTGGGAAAACTGGCTAGCCATATGTAGAAAGCTGAAACTAGATCCCTTCCTTACACCTTATACAAACATTAATTCAAGATGGATTAAAGACTTAAATGTTAGACCTAAAACCATAAAAACCCTAAAAGAAAACCTAGGCAATACCATTCAGGACATAGGCATGGGCAAGGACTTCATGTCTAAAACACCAAAAGCAATGGCAACAGAAGCCAAAATTGACAAATGGGATCTAATTAAACTAAAGACCTTCTGCACAGCAAAAGAAACCGCCATCAGAGTGAACAGGCAATGTACAGAATGGGAGAAAATTTTTGCAACCTACTCATCTGACAAAGGGCTAATATCCAGAATCTACAATGAACTCAAACAAATTTACAAGAAAACAACAAACAACTCCATCAAAAAGTGGGCAAAGGATATGAACAGACACTTCTCAAAAGAAGACATTTATGCAGACAAAAGACACATACAAAAATGCTCATCACCACTGGCCATCAGAGCAATGCAAATCAAAACCACAATGAGATACCATCTCACACCAGTTAGAATGGCAATCATTAAAAAGTCAGGAAACAACAGATGCTGGAGAGGATGTGGAGAAGTAGGAACACTTTTACACTGTTGGTGGGACTGTAAACTAGTTCAACCATTGTGGAAGACAGTGTGGCGATTCCTCAGGGATCTAGTACTAGAAATACCATTTGACCCAGCCATCCCATTACTGGGTATATACCCAAAGGATTATAAATAATGCTGCTATAAAGACACATGCACATGTATGTTTATTGCGGCACTATTCATAATAGCAAAGACTTGGAACCAACCCCAATGCCCATCAGTGATAGAGTGGATTAAGAAAATGTGGCACATATACACCATGGAATACTATGCAACCATAAAAATGATGAGTTCATGTCCTTTGTAGGGACATGGATGAAGCTGGAAACCATCATTCTCAGCAAACTATTGCAAGGACAAAAATCAAACACTCATGTTCTCACTCATAGGTGGGAATTGAACAATGAGAACACATGGACACAGGAAGGGAAACATCACACCCTGGGGCCTGTTGTGGGGTCGGGGGAGGGGAGAGGGATAGCATTAGGAGATATACCTAATGCTAAATGATGAGTTAGTGGGTGCAGCACACCAACGTTTCACATGTACACATATGCAACAAACCCGCACGTTGTGCACACGTACCCTAAAACTTAAAGTATAATAATAATAAAATAAAAAGAAAAAAAGAAACAAAACTAGAAGAACAAAGACTAAATCATTAACAGTGGTACTGAAGATGAGCAGTTTGGGATTAGGGAAGGAGGCAGGTGACATTTCCTTTAGATATATTGTCTGAATTTAAAAATTACTATATAAAAAAAGAAGACTTCTATGCAGCCAACAGACACATGAGAAAATGCTTATTATCACTTGTCATGAGAGAAATGCAAATCAATACCACAATGAGATACCATCTCATGCCAGTTAGAATGGCAGTCATTAAAAAGTCAGGAAACAACAGATGCTGGAGAGGATGTGGAGAAATAGGCACGCTTTTACACTGTTTGTGGGAGTGTAAATTAGTTCAACCATTGTGGAAGACAGTGTGGTGATCCCTCAAGAATCTAGAACTAGAAATACCATTTGACCCAGCAATCCCATTACTGGGTATATACCCAAAGGATTATAAATCATGCTACTATGAAGACATATGCACACGTATGTTTATTGTGGCACTATTCACAATAGCAAATACTTGGAAACAATCCAAATGTCCATCGATGATAGGCTGAATTAAGAAAATGTGGCACATATACAGCATGGAATACTATGCAGTCATAAAAAGGATGAGTTCATGTCCTTTGCAGGGACATGGATGAAGCTGGAAACCATCATTCTCAGCAAACTATCACAAGGACAAAAAACCAAACACTGCATGTTCTCACTCATAGGTGGGAACTGAACAATGAGATCACTTGGATACAGGGTGAGGAACATCACACACGGGGTCCTGTCAGGGAGTGGGGGGCTGCGGGAGGGATAGCATTAGGAGAAATACCTAATGTAAATAATGAGTCGATGGGTGCAGCAAACCAACATGGCACATGTATACCTATGTATCAAACCTGCATGTTGTGCACATGTACCCTAGAACTTAAAGTTTAATTAAAAAATATGCTTTCTGTACTTACTTTTTTTATATATACAAAAATGTGTATATATATATAATCTTATATATATAATTAAAGATCTTATAATCTTATATACATACTCTTCTTTGTAATTTTAAAGTTTTGGGGTATTTTAATATTTTTCTAATGGTCACCTTGAAGATGTATTCTTAATTCATTACTTTTTAAGTTATCCTCTATGTATAGTATCAATTGATTTCCCTTTATGAAAGGTGAAATTAGTATAATTCCTCTTCCTTCTACTTCTCTTTGCTCTAAATTCACCACCAATTAACCACCAAATATAGTTATAGAATTATTAACTCTTTTATTGGGTACTTTAACCTCCTCTTTGCCTCCTATATTTCAATTTTTAAAATTACACTATTGTATTTGTATTGTCGTGGATTTTAACTTCACATTCTATTTTACAATCATATTTATCACCATTGCTTAACTTTAGTTTTACAATTAAATGAATTAAATAGCACCTGTCCTTTAACCATGGCCTCTCCATGTATCTTTTTGTTGGCTGAAGATAATCCTGTAGCAGATTTTTTTTGTAAGGGCTTAGGGGGACCAATGTTGCACTTAATAGTATTCTAATTTAATTAGATC
This sequence comes from Homo sapiens, assembly GCF_000001405.40. NCBI lineage: Eukaryota > Metazoa > Chordata > Mammalia > Primates > Hominidae > Homo > Homo sapiens. The sequence goes on along the minus strand of NC_000003.12, from coordinate 121,344,400 downwards.
CCATTTGTCAATTTTGGCTTTTGTTGCCATTGCTTTTGGTGTTTTACACACGAAGTCCTTGCCCATGCCTATGTCCTGAATGGTAATGCCTAGGTTTTCTTTTAGGGTTTTCATGGTTTTAGGTCTAATGTTTAAGTCTTTAATCCATCTTGAATTAATTTTTGTATAAGGTGTAAGGAAGGGATCCAGTTTCAGCTTTCTACATATGGCTAGCCAGTTTTCCCAGCACCATTTATTAAATACGGAATCCTTTCCCCATTGCTTGTTTTTCTCAGGTTTGTCAAAGATCAGATAGTTGTAGATATGTGGCGTTATTTCTGAGGGCTCTGTTGTGTTCCATTGATCTATATCTCTGTTTTGGTACCAGTACCATGCTGTTTTGGTTACTGTAGCTTTGTAGTATAGTTAGAAGTCCGGTAGCTTGATGCCTCCAGCTTTGTTCTTTTGGCTTAGGATTGACTTGGTGATGCAGGCTCTTTTTTGGTTCCATATGAACTTTAAAGTAGTTTTTTCCAATTTTGTGAAGAAAGTCATTGGTAGCCTGATGGGGATGGCATTGAATCTATAAATTACCTTGGGCAGTACGGCCATTTTCACGATATTGATTCTTCCTACCCATGAGCATGGAATGTTCTTCCATTTGTTTATGTCCTCTTTTATTTCCTTGAGCAGTGATTTGTAGTTCTCCTTGAAGAGGTCCTTCACGTCCCTTGTAAGTTGGATTCCTAGGTATTTTATTCTCTTTGAAGCAATTGTGAATGGGTGTTCACTCATGATTTGGCTGTCTGTTTGTCTGTTATTGGTGTATAAGAATGCTTGTGATTTTTGTACATTGATTTTGTATCCTGAGACTTTGCTGAAGTTGCTTATCAGCTTAAGGAGATTTTGGGCTGAGACAATGGGGTTTTCTAGATATACAGTCATGTCATCTGCAAACAGGGATAATTTGACTTCCTCTTTTCCGAAATGAATAACCTTTATTTCCTTCTCCTGCCTAATTGCCCTGGCCATAACTTCCAACACTATGTTGAATAGGAGTGGTGAGAGAGGGCATCCCTGTAAAGAGCTTCTGCACAGCAAAAGAAACTACCATCAGAGTGAACAGCCAACCTACAAAATGGGAGAAAATTTTCGCAACCTACCCATCTGACAAAGGGCTAATATCCAGAATCTACAATGAACTCAAACAAATTTACAAGAAAAAAACAACCCCATCAAAAAGTGGGTGAAGGACATGAACAGACACTTCTCAAAAGAAGACATTTATGCAGCCAAAAAACACAGGAAAAAATGCTCACCATCACTGGCTATCAGAGAAATGGAAATCAAAACCACAATGAGATACCATTTCACAACAGTTAGAATGACAATCATTAAAAAGTCAGGAAACAGCAGGTGCTGGAGAGGATGTGGAGAAATAGGAACACTTTTACACTGTTGGTGGGACTGTAAACTAGTTCAACCATTGTGGAAGTCAGTGTGGCGATTCCTCAGGGATCTAGAACTAGAAATACCATTTGACCCAGCAATCCCATTACTGGGTATGTACCCAAAGGACTATAAATCATGCTGCTATAAAGACACATGCACATGTATGTTTATTGTGGCACTATTCACAATAGCAAAGACTTGGAACCAACCCAAATGTCCAACAATGATAGACTGGATTAAGAAAATGTGGCACATATACAACATGGTATACTATGCAGTCATAAAAAATGATGAGTTCATGTCCTTTGTAGGGACATGGATGAAATTGGAAAGCATCATTCTCAGTAAACTATCACAAGAACAAAAAACCAAACACTGCATATTCTCACTCATAGGTGGAATTGAACAATGAGAACACATGGACACAGGAAGGGGAACATCACACTCTGGGGACCGTTGTGGGGTGGGGGGAGGGGGGAAGGATAGCTGTGGGAGATATACCTAATGCTAAATGACGAGTTAATGGGTGCAGCGCACCAGCATGGCACATGTATACATATGTAACTAACCTGCACATTGTGCACATGTACCCTAAAACTTAAAGTATAATAATAATAAAAAAATAGTATTCTAGTATAATTCCTAATGTTATGTGCCAGCCCCTCAATTACATACATTCAAGGCTTGAATTCTATTAATTTACTTTTAGGTTTTTAAATTAAAACTCCTGTTTATTAGGAATGAGAAATGTTTATGCAGTTGATCCTTGAACAGCAAGGGTTTGAACTGTGCAGGTTCACTTGTCTGTGAATATTTTTCTTTCTTTAATTTTTAATTGTTGTGGGTAAATAGTATGTGTATATATTTATGGGGTACATGACATATATTGATACAGGCATACAATGTATAATAATCAGGGTAAATGTGATATCTATCACATCAAGCAATTACCCTTCCTTTGTGTTACAAAAAGTCCAATTATATTATTTAAGTTATTCTAAAATATACAATAAATTATTGTTGACTGTAGTCATGTTGTGCTAGGAAATACTAGTCTTATTCATTTTTTCTATTTTTTATACTCATTAACTATCCCACTTTCCCTTCACTACCCTTCTCAGCCTCTAGTATCTCTCTATGTCCACGAGTTCAACTGTTTTAAATTTTAGTTCCCACGAATAAGTGAGAACATGTTGTTTGTCTTTCTGTGTCTGGCTTATTTCACTTAACATAATTACCCCCAGTTCCATTCATGTTGTAAACAACAGGATCTCTCTCTTTGGTGTGGTTGAATACTACTCCATTGTGTATATCTACCATATTTTCTTTATCCATTCATCCACTGATAGACACTTAAATTGCTTCCAAATCTTGGCTACTGTGAATAGTGCTGCAATATATGGGAGTGCAGATATCTCTTCCATATACAAATTTCCTTTCTTCTGGCTATACACTTGGTAGTGGGATTGCTGTATCATATGGTAGCTGCATTTTTAGTATTTTGAGGAACTTCTAAACTGTTCTCCATAGTGGCTGTACTAATTTACATTCCCACCAACAGTGCTTTTCTACACATCCTTGTCAGCATTTGTTATTCCCTGTCTTTTGGATATAAGCCATTTCAACTGGCGTGAGATAATACCTCACTGTAGTTTCGATTTGCATTTCTCTGAAGATCAAGGATGTCGAGCACCTTTATGTGCTTGTTGAGCACATAAACCTGTTTTCCAGTCAAAATATGTCTTATGTTGAGAAATGTCTACTCAGATTTTTTGCCCATTTTAAAATCAGACTATTAGCTTTTTTCCTACAGAGTTGTTTGAGCTCCTTATATATTCTGGTTATTAATTCCTTGTCAGAGGGGTAGTTTGCAAATATTTTCTCCCATTCTGTGGGTTATCTCTGCACTTAGTTGATTATTTCCTTTCTTCTGCAGAATCTTTTTAGCTTGATGTAATCCCATTTTTTTTCTATTTTTTATTTGAGGTTACCATGAGACTTGCAAATAATATCTTATAATCCATGATTTTAAACTGTTGACAACTTAACACTGATTGCATAAACAAGCTAGCAAAGAGAAAACTAATAAAAACTCTACACTTTAACTTTGTCTCCCTGCTTTTTAACTTTTTGTTGTTTCTATTTATATGTTATTATACTATGACTTGAAAAGTTGTTGTTATTTTTTATTGGTTCACCTGGGTCTTTCTACTTAATGTATGAGCAATTTACACACCGCAAACCCAGTGTTATAATATTCTGTGCCTTCATATACACCATGGAATACTCTGCAGCCATAAAAAGGATGAGTTCATGTCCTTTGCAGGAACATGGATGAAGTTGAAAACCATCATTCTAAGCAAACTATCACAAGGGCAGAACACCAAACACCACATGTTCTCACTCAGGGGTGGGAGTTGAACAATGAGAACATATGGACATGGGGCGGGGAATATCACACACCGGGGCCTGTCGGGGGGTGGGAGGCTGGGGGAAGGATAGCATTAGGAGAAACACCTAATGTAAATGACGAGTTGATGGGTGCAGCAAACCAACTTGGGCACATGTATACCTATGGAACAAACCTGCATGTTGTGCACATGTACCCTAGAACTTAAAGTATAATTTAAAAAAAGTAAAAAAAAGACATTACTACCTTGAAAAAAATAATATTCCATGCCTTTCTATACTTTGTCAAAGATCATTTGGTTGTAAGTATTTGGCTGTATTTCTGGATCCTCTGTTGTGTTCTATTGGTCTACGTATCTACTTTTATACCAGTAACATCTTGTTCTGGTTACTACAGCATTGTAGTACAATTTGAAGTCAGGTAATGCGATGCCTCCAGCTTTATTCATTTTGCTTAGAATTGCTTTGGCTATTTGGGCTCTTTTTTGGTTCCATATGAATTTTTGGATTTTTTTTCTAATTTTGTGAAAAATAATTTGGTATTTTGATAGGAATTTCAGTGAATATGAAGCTTCCTTTGAGCAATATGATCATTTGTGTGATACTGATTCTTCCAATCCATGAGCATGACACGTATTTCCATTTGTTTGTATCATCTGTGATTCCTTTCAGTGGTGTTTTGTAGTCCTCCTTGTAGAGCTCTTTCACCTCCCCGGTTAAATGTATTCCTAGTTTTTTTTTTTTTCAGCTATTATATAAGGGACTGAGTTTTTTATTTGATTCTCAGCTTGGTCGTTGTTGGCATGCAGCAGAGCTACTGATTTGTGTACATGGATTTTGTAACCTGAGACTTTACTGAATTCATTTCTCAAATCTAGGAGTCTTTTGGAGGGATCTTTAGGTTTTTCTAGTTACACAATCATATCGTCGGCAAATATAAATAGTTTGACTTCCTCTTTTCTGATTTGGAATTCCTTTCTTTCTCTTGACTGATTGGCCTGGCTATGACTTCCAGTACTATATTGAATAGAAGTGGTAAAAGTGGGCATCCTTGTCTTATTCCAGTTCTTAGGGGGAATGCTTTTGACTTCTTCCTATTCTGTATGATGTTGGCTGTGGTTTTCCATATGTAGCTTTTATTATTTTGAGATATGTTCCTTCTATATCTAATTTGTTGAGGGTTTTATAAAAGGATGCTGTATTTTATCCAATGCTTTTTGCATCTATTGAGATAATCATATGGTTTTTGTTTTTAATTCTGTTTACATGGTGAATCACATTTATTGACTTGCATATGTTGAACCATCCCTGCATCCCTGGGATAATACCCACTTAATCATAGTTAATTACCTTTTTGATGTGCTGTTGGGTTTAGTTTGCTAGTATTTTGTTGAAGATTTCTGCATCTATGTTAATCAGGAATATTGGTCTGTCATTTTGTGTTTTTTTGTTTTTTGTTTGTTTTGTTTTGTATGCCCTTTCCTGGCTTTGGTATCAAGGTGATACTGGCTTCATAGAATGAGTTAGGAAGGATTCCTTCTTTCTCAGTCTTTTAGAATAGTTTCAGCAAAATTGGCGCCAATTCTTTGAATGTCTGGTAGAATTTGGCTGTGAATTTGTATGGCCCTTGGCTTTTTTTAGGAGGACAACTTTGTTAAATTACTGATTCAATCTCACTGCTTGTTGTTGGTCTGTTCAGAATTTCTGTTTCATTCTGATTCAAGCTGGGGAGGTGGTATGTTTCCAGGAATTTATTAATTCCCTATAGATTTTCTAGTTTATGTGCACAGAGGTGTTCATAGTAGTCTTAAATAATCTTTTGTATTCCTGTGGTATCAGCTGTAATGCCTCCATTTTCCTTCCTTCCTTCCTTCTTTCCTTCCTCTTTCTTTTTTTCTTTCTCTTTTTCTTTCTCTCTTTCTCTTTCTTTCTTTCTTTCTCTCTTTCTCTCTTTTTTTTTTTTTTTTTGACAGAAATGCAACCTCTGCCTCCCAGGTTCAGATGATTCTCCTGCTTCAGTCTCCCAAGTAGCTGGGATTACAGGCGGCACCACCACCCCCAGCTAATTTTTGTATTTTTAGTAGAGACAGGGTTTCATCATGTTGGCTAGGCTGGTCTCAAACTCTTGACCTCAAGTGATCCACCCGCCTCAGACTCCCAAAGTGCTGGGATTACAGGCGTGAACCACCGCACCTGGCCATCCATTTTCATTTCTAATTGAGCTTGTTTGATTCTTCTTTTCTTGGTTAATCTAGCTAATAGTCTACCAATTTTATTTTTTCAAAGAACCAACTTTTTGTTTTGTTGATCTATTGTATTATTTTTCTTTGTTCTAATTTCATTTAGTTCTGCTCTGATCTTTATAATTTCTTTTATTCTGGTAGCTTTGGGTTTGGTTTGTTCTTGCTTCTCTGGTTCCTTGAGGTGTGATGTTAGGTTGCCAATTTGTTTCATTTCAGACTTTTTGATGTAGGCATTTAGTGCTATAAACTTTCATCTTAGCACCGCTTTTCCTGTATCCCAGAGGTTTTGATAACTTGTGTAACTATTATCATTCACTTTAAAGAATTTTTAAATTTTCATCTTGATTTCATTTTTTACCCCCAAATCATCCAGGAGCAGATTAATTTTTAAGCATTTGTATAGTTTTGAGTGTTCCTTTTGGTGTTAATTATTGGTTTTATTCCACTGTGGTCTAAGAAGGTACTTGATATAATTTCAATTTTTAAAAATTTATTGAGACTTGTTTTGTGGACTATCATATGGTCTGTTTTGGAGAATGTTCCATGTGCTGAGGAAAATAATGTATATTCTGAAGCTCTTGAGTAAAATGTCCTGTAAATTCTGTTAGTTATATTTGTTCTAGAATGCAGTTTAAGTACAACATTTTCTTGCTCACTTTCTGCCTTGATTATCTGTCTAGTGCTGTCAGCGGAGTGTTGAGTCCCCCACAATTATTGTGATGATGTCTTTCTCTTTTCTTAGGTCTGGTAGTAATTTTTTATGAATCTGGAAGCTCCATAGTAAGGAGTAAGTAATGTATATTAAGGATTGTAATATCTTCTTGCTGGGGATTGATTCTTTTATCTTTATATAATGACTTTTTTTTTTTTTTTTTTTTACTGTTGTTGCTTTAAAGTGTCTGTTCTATCTAACATGAGAATAACTACTCCTGCTGCTTTTTCTTATATTGGCATGGAATATCTTTTTCCACCCCTTTACCTCGAGTTTGTAAGAATCCTTGCATTAGATGAGTCTCTTGAAGAGAGCTGATATTTGGTTTGTGATTTTTAATTTTTTTGTTTAACTTTTATTTTAAGCTCAGGTGTATATGTGCTGATTTGTTATATAAGTAAACTCATGTCATGGGGGTTTGTTGTACAGATTACTTCATCACCCAGGTACTAAGCCTGGTACTAAATAGTTATTTCTTCTGATCCTCTCCCTCCTCCCACCCACCACCCTCAAGTAGACCCCAGTGTCTGTTTTCCTCTGTGTCCACGTGTTCTCATCATTTAGCTCCCACTTGTAAATGAGAACATGCAGTATTTGGTTTTCTGTTCCTGCATTCGTTTGCTAAGGATGATGGCCTCCAGCTCCATCCATGTTCCTGCAAAGGACATGATCTCATTCTTTTTTATGGCTGTGTGGTATTCCATGGTGTATATGTACCATATTTTCTTTATTCAATCTGCCATTGATGGGCATTTAGGTTGATTCCATGTCTTTGCTATTGTAAGTGCTGCAATGAATACACACGTGCATGTGTTTTTATGGTAGAATGATTTCTATTCCTTTGGATATATACCTAGTAATGGGATTGCTGAGTCAGATGTTAGATGTGTTTTCAGCTCTTTAAGGAGATGCCACACTGCTTTCCACAATAGTTTAATTTACACTCCCACCAACAGTGTATAAGCATTCCCTTTTCTCTGCAACCTTGCAGCATCTGTTATTTTTTTTTTTACTTTTTATTAATAGCCATTCTGACTGGTATGAGATAATATCTCCTTGTGGATTTTTTTGTTTGTTTGTTTGTTTGGTTGGTTGGTTGGCTGGTTTTTTTGAGACAGGGTCTTGCTGACGCCCAGGCTGGGGTGCAGTGGCACAATCTTGGTTTATTGCAATCTCTGCCTACTGGGCTCAAGTGATCCTTCCATCTCAGCCTCCTGAGTAGCTAGGACTACAGGCATGCACCACTGCTCCCAGCTAAATTTTGTAGTTTTTGTAGAGAAGAGGTTTTGTCATGTTTCCTAGGCTGGTCTCAAACTATTGGGCTCAAGTGATCTGCCCACCTCAGCCTCCCAAACTGTTGAGACTACAGGCATGAGCCACCAGGCCCAGCCTCTCATTGTGGTTTTGATTTGCATTTCTCTAATAACCACTGATATTGAACTTTTTTTCATATGCTCTTTGGCCACATATATGTCTTCTTTTGAAAAGTGTCTATTCATATCCTTTAACCACATTTTAATGGGGTTGTTTGCTTTTGTAATTTGCTTAAGTTCTTCTTAGATGCTGGATATTAGTCCTTTGTCAGATGCATAGTTTGAAAATATTTTCTCCCATTCTGTAGGCTGTCTGTTTACACTGTTAATTGTTTCTTTTGCTGTGCAGAAGCTCTTAAGTTTAATTATATCCCATTTATCACTTTTTGCCTTTGTTGTGATTGCTTTTGGTGTCTCCATCATGAAATCTTTGCCGGTTTCTATGTCCAGAATGATACTGCCCAGCTTGACTTCCAGGGTTTTTATAGTTTTGGGTTTTACATTTAAGTCTTTCCTCCATCTTGAGTAGATTTTCGTATGTGGTGTAAAGAAGGGATCCAGCTTCAATCTTCTGCATTTAGCTAGCCAGTTATGCCAGCACCATTTATTGAATAAGGAGTCCAAAGATCAGATGGTTGTAGGTGTGTGGCCTTATTTCTGGGCTCTCTATTCTGTTCAATTGGTCTATGTGTCTGTTTTTGTACCAGTCCCATGCTATTTTGGTTACTGTAGCCCTGTAGTATAGTTTGAAGTTGGGTAACATGATGCTTCCAGTTTTGTTCTTTTTTGATTAAAATTGCCTTGGTTATTTGGGCTCTTTTTTGGTTCCATATCAATTTTAAATAGTTTTTTTCTAGTTCTGTGAAACATGTCATTGGTAGTTTGACAGTAATGAATCTCTAAATTGCTTCAGGCAATATGGCAATTTTAATGATATTGATTCTTCCTATCCATGAACGTGGATATTTTTCCATTTGTTTGTGTCATCTCTGTTTTCTTTAAGCAGTGTTTTGTAATTTCATTGTAGAGATCTTTCACCTTCCTTTTAAGCTGTATTACTAGGTATTTTATTCTTTTTGTGGCAATTGTGAATGGGATTGTGTTTTTGATTTGGCTGTTGGTTTGGCTATTGTTGGTGTATAGAAATGCTAGTAATTTTTGTACATTGATTCTTGTATCCTAAAACATTGCTGAAGGTGTTTATCAGCTGCAGGAGCTTTTTGTCTATAACTATAGGGTTTTCTAGATATAAAATCATGTCATCTGCAAACAGGAATTGTTTGACTTTCTCTCTTCTTGTTTGAATGCTCTTCATTTCTTTCTTTTGCCTGATTGCTCTTTGCCAGGGCTTCCAATACTCTGTTAAATAGGAGTGGTGGGTGAGCATACTTGTGCCAGTTTTCAAGGGGAATGCTTCCAGCTTTTGCCCATTCAGTATGATGTTGGCTGTGGGTTTGTCATAGATGACTTTTATTATTTTGAGCTATATTCCTTCATTACCTAGTATGTTGAGAGCTTTTAACATGAAAGGATGTTGAACTGAGATGATCATGTGGTTTCTATCTTTAGTTCTGTTTATGATGAATCACATTTATTGATTTGCATATGTCGGACCTACCTTGCATCCCAGGGATAAAGCCTACTTGATTGTGGTGGAATAGCTTTTTGATGTGTTGCTGGATTTGATTTGCACGTATTTTTTTGAGATTTTTGCATCAATGACCATCAAGGCTATTGTCCCAAAGTTTTCTTTTTTTTTTGTTGTGTTGCTGGATTTGATTTGCAAGTATTTTTTTGAGATTTTTGCATCAATGACCATCAAGGCTATTGTCCCAAAGTTTTCTTTTTTTGTTGTTGTGTCCCTGCCAGGTTTTGATATCAGGATGATGCTGACCTCAAAAAATGAGTTGGAGAGAAATCCCTCCTCCTCAATTCTTTGGGATAGTTTCAGCTGGAATGATACATTTCTTCTTTGCATATCTGGTAGAATTCAGCCATGAATCCTTCTGGACCTGGACTTTTCTGGTTGGTAGGTGTATTAGTCAGTTTTCACATTGCTGATAAAGACATACCCAAGACTGGACAATTTACAAAAGACAGAGATAATTGGACTTACAGTTCCACATGGCCGGGGAAGCTTCACAATCATGGTGGAAGGCAAAAAGGAGCAAGTCACGTCTTACATGGATGGTGGCAGGCAAAGAAATAATGAGAACCAAGCAAAAGGGGTTTCTCCTTATAAAACCATCAGATCTCATGAGACTGCTCCCCACGAGAGCAGTATGGGGGATACTGCTGCCATGATTCAATTATCTCCCACCAGGTCCCTCCCACAACAATGGGAATTATGGGAGATACAATTCAAGATGAGATCTGGGTGGGGACACAGCCAAACCATATCAGTAGGCTATTATTAACAAACTCAATTTTGGAGCTTGTTATTGGTCTGTTGAGTGAATCAATTTCCTCCTGGTTCAGTCTTGGGAGGGTGTCTGTGTCCAGAAATTTATCCATCTCTTCTAGGTTTTGTAATTTCTGTGCATAGAGGTGTTTATAGTAGTCCCTGCTGGTTACTTGTATTTCTTTGGGGTCAGTGGTAACCTCCCTTTGTTGTTTGTAATTGCATTTATTTGAATCTTCTCTTTTACTCTTTATTACCCTAGTTAGCAGCTTATCTTATTTTTTTTTCAAAAATCCAGCTCCTAATTTCATTGATCTTTTGAATGTTTTTTTTTTGTGTGTGTGTCCCAATCTCCTTCAGTTCAGCTCTGATTTTGGTTATTTCTTGTCTTCTGCTTTGGGGTTGGTTTGCTCTTGGTCCTCTAAGTTTTTTTAGTTGTGACATTAGGTTGTTAATTAGAGATCTTTCCAACTTTTTGATGTGGGTATTTAGTGCTATAAATTTCCCTCTTAACACTGACTTAGCCGTGTCCCAGAGATTCTGGTATGTTGTATCTTTGTTTTCATTTGTTTCAAAGAACTTCTTGATTTCTGCCTTAATTTCATTCTGTATATTTTAAGTAGAGCATTTAGACCACTTACATTTAACATTACTGTTGAGATGTGAGGTACTGTTCCAATCATCATGTTGATTGCTACCTAGATGCTTTATTTTCTCCATGTGCTATTATTTTATAGGACCTGTGAGTTTAAGCCTTTCAAGAGTTTCCATTCTGGTGCATATTGACCTTTGGTTTCAAGATTTTGCCCCCTTTTAGCATTTTTTTTATAGGGCTGGTGTGGTAGTGGCAAGTTCCCACAGCCTTTGCTTGTCTGAAAAAGACTTTATTTCTCCTTCATGTAAGCAACTTAGTTTTGCTGGATTACAAGATTCTTGGCTGATGATAGTTATTCTGTTTAAGGAGGCTAAAGATAAAGCCTGAATCCCTTCTGGTTTTCCTGTATAGGTTACCTGATGCTTTTTTTTTTCACGTTCTTATCATTCTTTACTTCACTTTGACTTTAAATAGCTTGATGACAAATGCCTTGGTGATGTCCTTTTTGCAATGGATCTCCCAGGAGTTCTTTGAACTTCTTGTACTTGAATGTTTAAATCTCTAGCAAGGCCAGTGAAGTTTTCCTTAATTATTCCCTTAGATAGGTTTTCTAGACTTTTTGGTTTTTCTTCTTCTTCAGAAACACCAGTGATTTTTAAGTTTGGTCATGGGATTATGTAATCCCATATTTCTTGGAGACTTTGTTCATTTTTTTAAACTTATTTTTGTTTTATTTTTGTTTGATTGAATTAATTCAAAATTTTGTCTTGAAGCTCTGAAATTCTTTCTTCTACTTGGTCTAGTCTACTGTTAAAAGTTTCTGCTGCATTTCATAATTCCTTAAATGTGTCTTTCATTTCCAGAAGTTCTGGTTTTTTTTTTTTTTTTTGAAAATATCTATCTCTATAGAAAAGTTTTTATTCATATCCTGAATTGTTATTTTTAAATTTTTTTTCATGTTAGTTTTCTCCTTTCTCTTGTATCTCCTGAAGTAACTTAATAATCAACCCTTTGAATTCTTTATCTGGTGTTTTAAAGATTTCATCTTGGTTTGGATCCATTGTGGAAGACCTAGTATGATCTTTTGGGGGTACTACAGTATCTTGTTTTGTCATATTGCCAAAATTATTTTTCTGGTTCCTTCTCATTTGGGTAAACTATTTCTTTTAATTATTTTTGGATTTATTTTTAATTCATCTGTGATTTTTAAAAATTTCTTTTTTTTTTTGTCTCTTAAAGTTGTGACTTTAATGATTACAGTTTTTGTAACCTAATTTGGCTCTGGGCGCTTTCAGAGGTGAAGACTCTGTATGAGTTTCTTGGTTATAGAAAGTCTTTGTATGATGGCTTTCTCAGATGCTGGTTGTGGTGGCAATGTGCTTGGTGTGTGAGCAGGTTCACTGTCTCCTGCAGGGCTAGAATGGCAGAAGTTTCTGGAAGCTTATCTTGTTCCCCATTGGTGTGCACTTTTTTATTTAGTTATTTTTTTCCCCAACATTTTATTTACTGGGTTGAAATGTTCAGGCTTCAGTCCAGTAGGGGAGGTGTCTGGGGGTAAAAACCAGATGTAGCTAAAGTATGTGGGTAGATGCAATACCCAATGTTGGGGAGAGATCACGGCCTTGACAAAGGTAGCTGGGAGAATTCTCAGTGAAATGCACTGTGGTCTTTTCAGGAGGAAGGGAGAGAGCTACCTCAGCTCCTCTGCCAGACCAGAAGGAAAGCTACTCAACTCCCAGACACACTCTTCACCCAGTGTTTCACCTATTCAGATTAGACAGGCACCTCTTTTCATCTGCAGGAATTTTGATATTCCAAGTAGAGAGGAACTATGATTCTACCTTTCATGCAAGCCTGAACTTGGAGGATGCTCCTTCTGTGGAAAAGCAGTCACCCTGAAATGTTCCAGAAAGGGTGTCTACAGGTACACTCATGCTAAGCTCCCATGGGAGAAGCCTCAACTGTGTCTGCAGTGGCGAGCAAGGGGGAGAAGTTTCCATCTCAAAGATCTTTCATGAGCACCCGGGCTGCCTGACTGTTGGGGGAGAGCTGCAGACTTTTCTTGCTGAGCTCAGCACTGCACCAGTGCCTCTGCTGAAAGAAACTTCCCACATGTGGAAAGTTTGGTACTCAAGACCTGCCATCTGGATTCTTCTGTCCCACAGGATGCCTCCTTAATGTTGTGCACTCCCTCTTCCCCTAGCCGCAGGAGTCCCTGAAGGCCAGACTACTGTGAATGCTGCTCTTCTGGGTCTAGCTGCCCTGTGGGGCTGCCACGCTTCAGGATGGTAGTGGGGACTGTCTGCAAGGGATCCAGGCACATGACCTGTCCTCAAGTCTCCCAGCAGCAGGTATTAGCACCAGCTCTGATGGTGGTGACAGGCGAGTGATATAGATTCTGTGAGATTCCTTGGTTATAAATAGGCTTACTGTGTTGGCTTTCTCAAATGCCAGCTGTAGTAGTAATGAACGGGTCATGTGAACAGACTCAGGATCTCTCCGTTGGCCAGGGTGATGCAGGCAATGTTGGTAGCTGAGGTCATGCACAAGTTTTCTCCTTCTTGGGTGCTGTGTTATTCTGCCTGCAGATGCTGTTGTGGGCTGTGTTAGTTGGTCTCCAGCCAGGGGGTAGCATTTGCAAAGAGCAACAGCTGTGGTGGTAATGGTGGTATTTGTGCTTGTCTAATGTTAGTTACCCAGGGGAGGTACTCTGATGTCTCAAGTGTTACCCAGGAAAGGTACCCTACTGTCTCAAGCAATGAGTGGGGTCATAGAACTCCCAAAAGTTTCTGTCCTTTGTGTTAAGCCATTAGGGTGGGTAGAGGAGCAAAGCCAGGTGGTGGCTGGGTCAGGTTAAGTCTGCACTCTAGCTCTCCACATGTGGGTGCAAGAAGCAGCCCCGGGGAAATCAGAAGGCAGTTCTCTGCTGCTGGGGTAATGTTCCAAGGAGAAGTGTAGCTGCCTCTGCTTCCCAGAAGAATCTGCTAGGGCAGTGGGGAGTAGCAGGCAGCAGTAAGCCCCATCCAGCTCCCACATACTTGGCAAGGCAGGTTTCACACCTACAGTGTTCCACTAGCAGCAGCTAGCTAGGTTCTGAGCAGTCTGCACTCAGAAGGCTTATGCCCTATGCCATAAGCCTTCCCTGTTGAGATAGAAACTGTGGCTTTCAGGCCATGCCCCTCCCAGTCTGCCCATGAAGCAGAAATATTGTATAATTATTAAAACCCTGATGAACATTCCATTTAGTGAGCATGTATGGAAGCAGAAATATTGTTCCAATATTAGTGTTTTGCTATTCAGTAGTAAATATTTAATATGCAAACAGAAATATGTGAAAAGCAATTGTCTTACATTAAATAAGTGTATCTTTATGTAGATTTTTTTCATATGTGGTGTGACAAGTAGTTTCTTCTTTAATTCGGCAAGAGGAATGTGGGGGAACAGGGTCTTGCTGTGTCACCCAGGCTGGAGTGCAGTGGTGCAATATCGGCTCACTGCATCCTCCTCCTCCTGGGTTCAAGCAATTCTCCTGCCTCAGCCTCCCGTGTAGGTGGATTATAGGCGCCTGCCACCATGCCTGGCTAATTTTTGTGTTTTTAGTAGAGATGAGGTTTCACCATGTTGGTCAGGCTGGTCTTGAACTCCTGACCTCAAGCAATCCTCCCGCCTCAGCCTCCCAAAGCACTGGGATTACAGGCATGGGCCACCCGTCCCACCCCTACTACATTCTTGACATTCTAACTGTTTGAGTATTTCCATGATAGAACCTCCAAAAGTATAAAAAAATTCTAATTTGGGATTGCTATAATTGCCACAGAATTTCCTCCTATTCAAGCTCAAACTACTTTTCTTTACCATTTATTGATTTGTCTCAGTTCTAACCTCTGGACCAATAATGAGTAATTAACTAGTTCTTGCTCCCACATGCCAGATCTTAAAGCACCTGGAGAGACTTAGTGGACACCTCCAGGTATCCTTAGGTCAGCAGGAATTGTATTTTAAGAAGAATTGCAGGTTATACTGACATCAAGAGGTTGACAGATGGCATTTCAAAAAGCAATCTTTTAAGTCTTCATGAGTATTAACCAACCTACGGGACTTTTACCCAGGATAAGAAGGTACATAAGAAGTACTTCCTGAAGTGCAGCTCAGATTTTCCATACAAGAGAAGCCATATTGTTCTTAGTTGTTGAATTAGACATAGATGTGCATACAGATACAAATGTACATTATATATATAATATATATACATACACACATATGCATTATATATATGTGTGTATATATATAACTTTTCTGGGCTTTTTAAGGTGATTATGATTAGTTCTTTTTTTAAGTAATTAAAATTTTTCATCATATTTTTATATTCCATTTTCTAATGAGGAATAGAAGGTGGTAGTTACAAGGAACAGTAGTGCCCCTATTAGGAGAGGTTAGATGCATTTTTTTCCCTTTGTACAGCTCCACACAGACACTCTTGCTTTTCTCCATGGTAGGTTTCCTAGCATTTATGAAGCGAAGCCTAGTTTATTTTTTATTTTTTTTTTGAGACAGAGTCTTGCTCTAGCACCCATGCTGGAGTGCAGTGGTGCGATCTCAGCTCACTGCAACCTCTGCCTCCTGGGTTCAAGCGATTCTTCTGCCTCAGCCTCCTGAGTAGCTGGGATTACAGGCGCATGCCACCATGCCCGGCTAAGTTTTTATATTTTTAGTAGAGACGGGCTTTCACTGTGTTGGTCAGGCTGGTCTCGAACTCCTGACCTCAGGAAATCTACCTGCCTCGGCCTCCCAAAGTGCTGAGTTTACAAGCGTGAGCCACCAGGCCCAGCCGTGAAGCCTAGTTTTTAAGAACACAAATGAGCTGGATTCAAATCATGACTCAACCATCTGCCCTGGGCTAATAGTTACTTAATTTCAGAAAGATTGATGCTTCCCTTCCTCTGTAAAATAAGGATAACAATTGTCTGTACTTCACAAGAATCTTGTCAGGATTAATGGAAGGAATGTGTGTAAAGCCCTTAGCATAGTGTATGGTATATGGCAAGCATTCAATGTTAGCTATTATTTTCATTATTAAACTTAATTGGCAAGAAAAGATTGTCATTCTATAGTATTCCATGTCAGAAATAATTTATCTGGGCAACATGTTCTACTGAAAATCTAGTGCCTGGCATTAAACAGCACACTTGATAAAGCCTTCAATTGTATATAATACTGTTATTTCCTTTGCACAATAGTATGTCCTAACAAACTTGAATTATAACGGGCTTATTTATTTTCTCTAAAAATCTCCTTAAGTCACATTGTGCATCCTCACATTGAATGGTCTCTTTAATCCTTCACACCCTGAAAAACTGCCTGTCTTAGCTCACAAAAGTAACACGGCAAAAAGTACCATATGTAATCCAGTTGGAGTGAGGGAATATTACCACAGCAAGTGTTAGAATTATAACAATTTGATTTCTTATGCCCACGGACTTGTTAGATTCTGGGCAAATTGTCAGGAAATTTTTGTTACTTTAACATGCTGTAGCATACTTTTTGAAAATAGAAACCAAATCAAAAACAAAAGAAAGAAAATCTGTAGAATTATACACTAAAATGTGAATGTTATTTTACATAAATTGTACTTTAATAAATATGACTAAAAAAAGAAACAAAATACATAGGAAAGCATCCCCACAGATTGGGTTAATCACTTACCTAGTTACATCTATCAACTTCTGAATTAACTAGTAATTGTTAAGTGGTATAGCATGAGAGACTAAAAATTATGAAAATGAGTGAAAGTATTCACTGATGGCAAAATACACAATAATAGTCATCTGTAAATTCTGGCCTAAAGATCAGATGATGGCCTAGCCTCACAACAGCAGCAGATTATAAACCTTTGTGAAAGTATTTATCTCTACTCCTAGACTCATTCTTTCCAAATTTATGTTCAATTATAGCATTGCAGCAGAGTAATCAACAGTTTGGTGGCTTACCATAGCTTATGTGAGAATGAGGTTTTATGCTTAACCCTAAATAAAAATAGAATTGCAGGCATTACATTATGGTTTTGTCTAGGGGACTTCGTGTGTTTTGACTGTATCATCTTTCTTCAATCATCTGTATATTCGTATGTCTTTCTGCTGACTCCTAATTCAATTCAAAGTCAATGGATAGTGCAGCCTGGTTCATCATAAGGATGTTGTATTGGCTACAAATAAGTCTCAGTCAGATCATTGGTTCTACATCTGAATTAAAATTTTAGGAACAGGTTAAATCCTGAATCAAAGTCTGCATATGGCTACTACTTTAATGGGAGATATCACAAAGAGATAGGTCAGAAGTTTCTAATTCAAAGCTTCTGATTAATTGCTTCTTACTTTGAAATGACAGAATTTACTTTTTGATTTCCAGTGAAGAATTTCTACTTTGTTATGGCTAAGCTACAACGAATATTTGGAAGTCCAGAATGGTCAAAGGGACCAAGCTGAGTCTCTTCAGGCCATGGATATTCACCACTGCTTTTATAATAATCACTACCATATATTATTGAGCATCTATGTTCTGAACACTGGCACACAATTAAGTGTAAGAAACCTGCTAAAGTTATAACTGTAGAAAGTGAGAGGGTAAGGTCAAATTTTTCTCTAAAATTGACTCCAAAGCTATGCCATTTCCACTAAGCAACATAATCTCCTTGATACAGAAGATACCACCTGTATGGTCTGGATATATTCTCTGAAATAAATAAATACAACATTAAATTAAAATAAAAGTTGTTTAGATTAAAATGTTTTTAGTTTATGTACTTATGAATTTATCTATTTACTGATTAATTAGCTGACTGGTTGGAATACAGTAACAAATTTCATTTGTCTCTACCTTTCCCTAAGCCAGAAACTAAGATAAGACAAAAACACCTGGTATGTATAGAGACAAAGTTAAAAACAAAAAAGCAAGCATTCTGGGGTCACCACGCCATGGTAAAGCCATAAAAAGCCTACATATCTCTAATTTTGTTGCAATTTTCCCCTTTTTTCCCAAGATGTGGTTAAGATACAACTGGGTAAAGAGGTATTTTTTATTAGAATTTGCTCCAGCATGACAATGTTTAATGTTGTGACACTACCTTCATCTTAAAATATATAATATATTTCTATTTGGACAATGTTAATGAGTCCATGACTATTAATGTCATATAGTTGTTCGATGATTATAAAACTTCATTTCTGTTAAGATTAATGTCTATTTTGAGTTATAAACTTACAGTGATAACTGAGTTTTTCAACCCACTTTTTTTTTTTTTAGTAGACATAATAGGAGGCCAAATAATTTGGGCCAAATAATCAGAGGACCTTGAAGTCTGAAGACCTGAAGACTTGGGTTCAGACTAAGCCATTACTAGCACAGTGACCTTGGGAAAGCTATAGAATCTTTTCTTAGCCATAATTTCTCCATTCATACAAAATAAGAACAATAATAGTATTACATAGATGTAAGGATTAAAGATAATACATATGAAAAATACCTTGTTTGCTTTAAAGTACTATACAAATGTTGATTATAATTTTTAGTAAAAAAGGCTTAATATACTCAAAAGGTGATAATGTTGTTGATTTATGAACTGTAAGAACTAAAAATTATTTTGAAAATCAGTTTTTCCAGAAACTTTAATGGTAAACTATATTTTTTCTGATGTTTCATGGAATGTATATTTCTTAAGTTCTATTAAATTTCTTTGTTAAAACATTTCACAGCTCAGCTACTTTTCATTTTCTCACTGTTTGAATGTCCCATAATTTTAATTGTGATTATTTTTTGTAATTCCCAAATTAATTTTTCTCATTTAATTAACGAACACTAGGGAAAAAACAAATATAACTAACTTGGAATTCCACCTCTACTCACTTAAATAGTCTGAACTTTAGTTTTCTCACCAGAAAAAGGCATATGCTGGGGTGTTGTATTACATAAGAGAAAAATAAAATACTGTTTGAAAAACTGTGGATAACTATTATCTCTATCTTCCTTGGCTACTGACTTTATTTGGGGACTAGAACATTAATAGTTCACACTTTGTGGAGTTGTAAAACTGGCCACAGTCATTTTGCGATAATGCCTAATTTCAGGAGGCTGTGCAACCTGTGTTTGAGTGTTTTTTTTCTTTTTAACACTATGAGCTAGCATGGGGTAAAAAAAAGCAAATGTCAAAGACTGCATAAAATTTAGATTATAGGACCTTCCTTTCCATTTACTGTTTTTGAGAGATAACATTGCCTCTTTGAGGCAATCATAGTTGTTTCTGATGATAGAAAATATTTCATGGTATTATGAAGAATTACAGAGAATATAAAAAAAATCTTACTATTGTTTGGATCTTAAGATTTCACTGAATTCTCTATTGACCGTACCCGCGACCCCCTTACTTTCTTAGAGACCTGAGAAAACTAATCAGGTTTAGAGTACAAAAACAACACTACCAAAATTTTGTGGAAAATTTCCAAACATTTCACAAAAGCCTTAGGGATTCCTAATTCATATCTCATGAAGTGTCTCTGGCGTTATATTTGCTTCAGAAAAATTTGTTTTCATACACCATGAAGGACTTGTGTTTCCACCACAACAAATGAGAATAAAGTTTTGAGACAAGTTGTGAAGCCTAGAAAATTGTGAAGATATGAATAACTTTTGTTTGTTCATAAAGAGATTTTCATCTTCACCTGGCAAGTGATATACTTGATTCCTCTGTCTCATAGCTGATATTTCATTCCTATAAAAGCCTAGTGCTGACTCAGGGGTTCTGGTAGCAAGTCCTAAAGGAAGGGAATATAAAACTATTGGCATGGAGTACCTTAGCCTAAGTGAACCAATAATTTTTATCTTTAATAAAGCTGAATTTCATAATAACTATTTGGAAAGATCTGCATTTTGTATCCTTATCTAAAATAAAGATAAATACTGCTCCAACAAAGGACTGTTTGGAGGGAGAAGAAAGGTTTTTGGAGACTAAAATAGGACTTTAGGCACATAGGAATGCCCAGAAGGAGCATTCAAACTAGGCTGTAAGACCAAGCTCTGACCCAATCCTGAGAACAACAGAGTTTGATACTCCTTTGTTAGTATTTTGTGACTAACCTCTATGATATTTTGATAAAGATATATATTTCTATCATCCTAGCCTTCATTTGAACTTGATAGCATAATAAATGTGTTGTAGATTGTGCACTGAGAATTATGAAGGTGAATGTCTACACAGGTAGCAGCAGTGTCAGGACCTAATGCTAGTATAGAAAAAGATATTAATCCAAGTAAAGAATTAGAAAAAAGGCATACATTCAATAGGACATTAGAAAAACAAACAACATTTAGAAAGACACAGCCCCACAGTTGAAAGCTTGGTAAGTTTTCAATTCTTCGTCCAAATAAAAAGGATCTGTTCTCTTTAAGAGGTTGTAGTCCTGTACCAGGTAAGTGAAGCTAGGGCTGATTGTTAGCACCTACTCACCCTCTTGGGAGGTCAAGCTGTACAGTACAAGTTGGTGAGAAAAAAAAGGTTGTACAGCCTTTAAAAAAGTATGAACAATTTATATAATTAAAGTTTAATGTTTATTTCTGCATTTGAAGTATGTTTATTTTGTTCATTAGTTTATCCTCAGTGAATAGCATAATGTCTAGCTGTAGAAACTGGAAATTATTTGATGTATAGTTGAGTGAATGAATAGATAATATAAAGTGTTATATTATCTTGGAAACTGAGAACATTGGCATTCCATTTGACTCAATGGATTCTTCAAGCTCCCAATCCCTGCTCTTTTCTCCTGTATTATCCTCAAGAAAATGTTTAGGTCTGAACCCTCACTCTATTTTATCTGTAGTTCACTGTGGTATAAGGAAGTTTGAGACCCACATAGAAAATCAGAGTTATAATCTTTCACTATACACAAAAATGAATGCAAGATGGGTTAAATATTTCAATGTAACACCTCAAACTATAAGAATCCTAGAAGAAAACCTAGGAAACACCATTGTGAACACTGGCCTTGAAAAAGAATTTATGACTTAAATCCTCAAAAACAATTGCAACAAAAACAAAAATTGATGAGTGGGACCTAATTAAAAAGCTTCTGCACAGCAAGAGAAACAATCAATAGGGTGGACAGACAAACTACAGAATGGGAGAAAATATTTGTAACCTACGCATCCAACTAAGTTATAATATCCAGAATCTACAAGGAAGTTAAACAATTCAACAAGCACAAAACAAATAACTCCATTAAGAGTAGGCAAAAGACATGAACAGACACTTCTCAAAAGAAGACACAAGCAGCCAACAAACATATCAAAAAGTGCTCAGCATCATTAATCATTAAAGAAATCCAAATCAAAACCACACTGAGATACCATCTTAAACCAGTCAGAATAGCTGTTATTAAAAAGTCAACAAACAACAGATGCTGGTGAAGCTGCAGAGGAAAGGGAACACTTATATATTGTTGATGGGAATGTAAATTAGTTCTGCCCCTGAGGAAAGCAGATTGGAGATTTCTCAAATAACTTAGAACTACTATTCAGCCTAGCAATCCCATTACTGGGCATATATCCGCACCCCCTCAACCCCCCACCCCACACACACACACAAAAAGAAATAGTTCTACCAAAAAGACACATACACATATATGTTCATTGCAACACTATACACAATAGAAAAGACGTGGAATTAACCAGGTGCCCATCAACAGTGGATTGGATAAAGAAAATGTGGTTCATATACACCATGGAATGCTATGCAGCCATAAAAAAGAAAGTCATGTCTTTTTTTTTTTTTTTTTGGCACAGTTTCGCTCTTGTTGCCCAGGCTGGAGTGCAATGGTACTATCTCAGCTCACCACAACCTCCGCCTCTTGGGTTCAAGTGATTCTCCTGCCTCAGCCTCCCTAGTAGCTGGGATTGCAGGCATGCACCACCACACCTGGCTAATTTTTTATTTTTAGTAGAGACTGGGTTTCTCCATGTTGGTTAGGCTGGTCTCAAACCCCCAACCTCAGGTGATCCGCCCATCTCGGCCTCCCAAAGTGCTGAGATTACAGGCGTGAGCCACGGCGCCCAGCCAAAAATCATGTCCTTTAAAGCAACATGGATGCAGCTGGATGGAAGTCATTACCCTAAGCAAATTAATGCAGGAACTGAAAACCAGATACTGCATGTTCTTATTTGTAAGTGAGAGCTAAACATTGGGTATTCATGGACATAAGGATGGCAACCATAGACACTGGGGGCTACTAGAGGGGAAAGGAAGGAAGGGGGACAAGAG
Organism: Homo sapiens; assembly: GCF_000001405.40. Taxonomy (NCBI): domain Eukaryota; kingdom Metazoa; phylum Chordata; class Mammalia; order Primates; family Hominidae; genus Homo; species Homo sapiens. The sequence goes on along the minus strand of NC_000003.12, from coordinate 121,321,994 downwards.
TAGGGTTGGTAAACTAACTGTAGGGTACTATGCTCACTGCCGGGGTGATGGGAAGATTTGTATCTCAAACCTTGGCTTCATGCAATATACCCATGTAACAAACCTCCACTTGTAACCCCTGAATCTAAAATAAAAGTTGAAATTATATTAAAAGGAGAATATCAGAGTTATAAAATGATTACTGGTTTCTGGTTTGCCTAATTCCTGACCTCCTTTATTCAGAGACATTTGCATCAATCTTTTCATCTGTAGCAGATTTAAAGGGGTGAGAGCTGAGATTCCCAAACAGATACCTACAGGGGAGGTAACTACTGAAAAAATATTTTTAAAATGTTTCATAGGGCAGTGATTCTCAAGTGATCTGGAGACCAGAAGCCTTAGCATCAGCCAAGAGCTTGCTAGAAATACAAAATCTCAGGCCCCACCTCAGATCTACTGAATCAGAATGCAGCAATTCCTACAACAGCAAGAGATTACAGAATGTAGTTTTAGGTGTATGTGTGGCTATTGTATATGTATTGTATTGAATTTTGGAAATAATAATGGGCACACTGTCCTTTAAATGACCCTCTAATATAGCACAATTAATTATCATTCTCTTTCATGGAAAATGAATGAAATCAGTAAATATTGTGATTATTTCCAATATTCTTAAGTAGTAAACTCCATTCGCACTTTTCCCAGAAGGATGCATTTCACATAGTTTAACAAATATAACATTTAATGATTACAAAACTGTTATAAGGAAAAAAAAATCTCTCATTCCTCAATTATTATTACTTATAATTTAAAGTTGCTACTAAAGAAGAGTGGGACCTGTCTAGTAGACCAGTATCAAGTAAGGTATTGAAGTGACAAATGGATCTTATCACAATCCATCATTTCTGCCTCAAGTAACATAATACAAAAATAGTCAAAATTTTCCTGCTTTGAAACAATCTACTTAATTGCATGCACAGTTTTCTGAGTCTGCTTTGAAATTAAAAATAAAGTGTGGGCCGGGCACGGTGGCTCACGCCTGTAATCCCAGCACTTTGGGAGGCCGAGGCGGGCAGATCACCAGGTCAGGAGATCGAGACTATCCTGGCTAACACAGTGAAACCCCGTCTCTACTAAAAATACAAAAAATCAGCTGGGTGTGTGACACGCTCCTGTAGTCCCAGCTACTTGGGAGGCTGAGGCAGGAGAATCCTTGAACCTCGGAGGCAGAGGTTGCAGTGAGCTGAGATTGCGCCACTGCACTCCAGCCTGGGTGACAGAGCAAGACTCCGTCTAAAAAAAAAAAAAAAAAAAGTGTGGTCGTTGTGCGTTGTGGTGGTGTTCCTAAATCTGCTGTAACATTAACAAAAGAAGAAACATCATAGGCAAAGGGCTAAAAACAGCATATCTACCAAAAACTGACAGCAATTATAATAATTAATTATGAGTTATTGAAAGCCTTATCAATGAGACTGGGAACAAGAAAAAAAGTCTACTTATACCACATCTATTCAACATTGTATTGAAGGCCCTAGCCAATTTTTTCCTTTAGAAGGAGAAAATGGAGGTTTCATTTTCACAAGGGGCATACTTAGATACGTAGATAATCCAAAAGAATTTTACCAACTATAAGAATTAAGAAATAGATTTAGCAAGTTTCCTGGATGCAAGCTCAATATACAAAAATTAGCTGTATTTTCATATTCTAACCACAAATAATTAGAAAAAGACATAAAAATAACACAATAATAGGAAAAAAACAAACACAAAGGAATAAATTTAATGAAAGATATGCAAGACCTCTACAAAAAAACCCAAAAATATTACCGAAAGAAAGTAGACACACATAAACAGAGAGATACTAAACGAAAAATTCAATATTGTTGAATATGTTAATTCTGCCCAGTTGATCTATAGATCCAGTGAAATCATAATAAAAATCTAAGCATGTTTGTGTGTGAACTGACAAATTCTTTATAAAAGTTATATGAAAATACAAAAAGGTAGAACAGCTATAATGATCTTTAAAAAACTTTTAAAATTATTATTATTATCATCTTTAATGAGACAGGGTCTCACTATGTTGCCCAGGCTGGTCTTCAAACTCATGGCCTCAAGTGATCCTCCCCCCTTGGCCTCCCAAAGTGCTGGGATTACAGGCATGAGCCACTGTGCCTGGCCAGCTATAACAAAATTTGAAGTTACGTATGTAAATTTGATAAAGGGTATTGAATTATATTTTATATCGAAGATTTATAAGCATGGGAAAATATGATCAAAGTAATATTTTAAGAATATTAATTTTACAACATGACATGCAACATTAATTGTAAAAGGTGAAGAGAGAAAATACAGACATCTACTAGAATATTTGTATGATACCATAGGTATGAGGCAATAAATACCTAAATTGGGTTGGTGTCAATGAGAATGCAAAAGGCAGGGTAAACATATGAGACAGTCTTTACAATAAGATCAGTAAAATAAGAATTAAAAATATATGACTAAGAGAAAAATTTACATAGGATATAACTAGATTATACATAGCCTAGATTCCTGAAGAATAAGAATAAAGAACTAACCACTTTTCAGGGATGGAATAAATGGAAGAAATGCTGCAATTCTAAATTAATTTCTACAAGTCCAAATTCGTTGCTTTATAATGGCATTATTAAACTTTTATAAATTTGTATAAGGTTCAAATTAAAATAATGTAAATAAAAAGGAACTACAGTTTCTTGTCTGTAAGAACAGATCTATCATTCAGTAAAGACATACCTAATGATTTTGGTGTTTAAAAACTCACACAAAACTATATATACATTATAGAAAAATCAGAATTATCAAATATGTAAAAATTTTAAAAAACAGGCCAACCAGTCATATTCCCACCACCCAAAAATAACTGTTAACTTTTTTTTTAACAGACAGTACCTTAAAGATTTATCCCTAGGAATCTTTATTCTCACATTTTAAATATATTTTAATGGGTGCACACTTTGTCTTGATGTTTTGCTTCATATCATATTCTATCATCATTTTTCCTTGTGAATAAATATACATGTTTCCAAACTGTGGTCTAGAGGAATGGTATCATTTGCTTCTGCATATATACTGTATATTTCCCACTAATTCAGCTCTAGCCTGAAGATGACAAGTTTCTCTATATCACCAATTTTTATTCAATACTTAGTAAGCATTATTAATGTATCTGCAAAATAACTTTCCTTTAAAATGTCTTTTAAAGTGTTGCACTTTTACCTCTGATCTTAATTTTATTTTGAGATAAAAATATTTTAAAAGACATTTGTTTGTATTTGATATTTGGAATCAAATTTGCTTACAGTAAATTTAATGAATGGAATTATACCTAATTACTAAAATTATAAATTTCACATTATAAAGATCATGAAAATAAAGCAACAGATTACTGCAGTGAATTACCAGAAGTCTGCAAAATACCACTCATGTTTACCTGAGGTAGGAGACTTGCAGCGCTCAAGTTCTAGGGGAACTGGACTGTCATTCAGTTCAGTTAAACCTGAAAATACAATGAAAAAAAATGAGATAAATTTTGCTAGCATTTTGTAGGTTATTCTTATTTCTTAATTCCTACAAGTTTAAAAGGCTTTTTTTTATGTGAAAACTACTTTATCATGTCCAAGTTACGTCAATTATTCTGAATTTTAAAAATATTTTTATTAATTTTTTTTTTATTTTTATAGAGACAGGGTCTCACTATGTTGCCCAGGTTGGTCTTGAACTCCTGGGCTGAAGCAATACTCCCACCTCAGCTTCCCAAAGTGTTGGGATTACAGGTGTGAGCCACCATGCCTGGCCTATTCTGAAAATTTGTTTAAACAAGTGATACAGGAAAAAATAAGGAGAAGTAACTGATTGACATGCAAGAGTATTTAAACATGGATGGTACAAAGATATAAAATCCTTTTTTAACTATTTTTATAAGAAATAGCTACTTTAATAAATGACCCAATTTTATCTGAAAATAGATCATAAATAAGAAGAATTAGAAGGGGTTTTAACAATACCTAATCAAATATCCTCTCAGGAGATATGATTATTGGCTTTTAAAAGATCTTTAAAAACTACAAATTCTAAATTTTATATTTATTTATAAAAATGTAGTATTGTATATTACATACTGTGTTTTGTTCAATAGTATCAAATTCCTTATAATAAGCACTATATTTTTCTCTTTCCAATATTTCTTAATTTTTATTCTGCCACTTTTCTGACAAATGCAACAATAGACACAACAGATTAATAAACATTTTATAATTCTTTCTACTTGCCAATCTGTATTTATATGGTATTTGTAAAATATTCTTCATTATGGTTTTTCTATCTTTGTTAGAAAGTCTCACAGACTTTCTTTTGTGAAATAAATATTCATAATTTCTATTTTAATCTGTCTCCATGCTCAGAAACATTTGAGAGCTATTTTCAATGACCAAAATAATCTTTGTTCCTATTCTTTCCCATCACCCTCTTCTTTATACAATTTATAGCAATAAGCTTGTGGTAGGTCCAAAAAAAATCACAGAATTTTGGAACCAAAAGGTGCCTTGTGACAACCTAGCCCAACTCTTGTGTTTTATAAGTGAGAAACTATAACTTCAAAGAGTTTAAGCTATTTATTCAAAGTCAGAGAAGTAAGTCAATAACATAGCTTGAAAAGGACACAGAACTCAGATTTTTTATTCTGCACTCATATTTCAATTGCTTATAGAGCACTGAATACCAAATGCAAAGCTTACTGTTTGCTCTATTTTTTACTTCATTGAACATTATTTTCAAGACTTTCAATGTAATGCTCATCCAATTTTAAATTTCTGTTTGTAATCATAGTACACATAATATTTACTGATATAAATATTACCATTAATCTGGAAATAGGCATTCATCAAACTAAACTATGTCGAACACGGTCTTAACCCTAGATATACAAATTAGGAAAAAGTTTGACTAAATAAGCAGTAAGTGTTAATCCACAGAGTTGCTATAAGAGTTTTCTAGGCACTCCTTGAAAGTGTACTGACTTGAACAGGCTTTGCTATCTGACAGCAAATTAGAAACTGCAAGTTATAAAGAGGAGGAGGCTGCTAGAACTAGAAACATTAAGAAAAGTAACGTGGAACAACAGTGAAAAAATGGGCAGAGAAAGGAACTGTAATGACTAGTGAGTGAGAGATCTGGGACCATTTAACAGGTGGGTGTTTTACAGATCTCTGAAAGGTTTTAAAGACATCACTGTAAGTTGAGTCAGTGAATCAAATTTATTGAATGCCTACTGTGCCACACGCTCTTTGTAGTAATAGTAATAACAGCAACTAGTATCTATTATTTTGTACCTAATCCTCCGCTAAATACTTTATATAAATTATCGTTTTCCCACCTACCAATATAATTAGAGGGGTTATAATATTAACCCCATCATACAGATAAGAAAACAGGGGAAGAAAGGCTATTACATCAATTCTCCAAAGTTAAACAGCTAGGAGGAAGGATGGGATTTGGTCACTATAAGATAGTAAGTAAGAAAGCATGATGTATATGTTAGAAAGAGTTTCATCAAAATTTTAAAATACAAAATTTGGTGGTTAAAGAGCTAAGCTCATTTGTCTGGAAAATACCATCTTTTCTATTTCTGTACTGTCTATTGATTCTGTCATTTTCCCTAGCTCCTTCTGAATTTACCTACTTTCCTGATGAAGGTAGGAACTGAACTGAATATGGATCTAACAATAATAGTAAAACTACTTCCTTGTGCCAATTTACAACGTGTCAAAACCCTAAACAATTTTATAATTATCATCATTAAATACTATATAGTTATTCAGAACAATCATTATTTAAAAATAAACATTTTTTGGACTATAGAAGTAAAGTTTTGTCCCTCTAGAAAACTTGGAAGATACAGAAAAGTGATGGAGAGGATTAAAAAATACACAATTTCATCATAATTTTGGCTTTTTTCTTCCTTTTTTTTTTTTTGAGACAGAGTCTCACTATCGCCCAGGCTGGAATGAATTGGTGCAATCTCGGCTCACTGCAACCTCCGCCTCCTGGGTCTCAATCAGTTCTCCTGCCTCAGCCTCTCAAGTAGCTGGGATTACAGGTGTGTGCCACCAAGCCCAGCTAATTTTTATATTTTTAGTAGAGACAGGGTTTCATCATATTGGCCAGGCTGGTCTCGAACTCCTGACCTCAAGTGATCTGCCTGCCTCAGCCTCCCAAAGTGCTGGGATTATAAGCATGAGCCATCACGCCTGGCCCCTTCCATGATGATTTTTAATCCAATAAAGAGTTTCATATTCTGATTTTTTTTTACTTTGATGAGCTTCTTTTTTTAATTATTATTATTATACTTTAAGTTTTAGGGTACATGTGTACAATGTGAAGGTTAGTTACATATGTATACATGTGCCATGCTGGTATGCTGCACCCATTAACTTGTCATTTAGCATTAGGTATATCTCCTAATGCTATCCCTCCCCCCTCCCCACCCCACAACAGTCCCCAGAGTGTGATGTTCCCCTTCCTGTGTCCATGTGTTCTCATTTTTCAATTCCCACCTATGAGTGAGAATATGTAGTGTTTGGTTTTTTGTCCTTGCGATAGTTTGCTGAGAATGATGGTTTCCAGCTTCATCCATGTCCCTACAAAGGACATGAACTCATCCATTTTTATGGCTGCATAGTATTCCATGGTGTATATGTGCCACATTTTCTTAATCCAGTCTATCATTGATGGACATTTGGGTTGGTTCCAAGTCTTTGCTATTGTGAATAGTGCTGCAGTAAACATACGTGTGCATGTGTCTTTATAGCAGCATGATTTATAATCCTTTGGGTATATACCCAGTAATGGGATGGCTGGGTCAAAAGGTATTTCTAGTTCTAGATCCCTGAGGAATCACCACACTGACTTCCACAATGGTTGAACTAGTTTACAGTCCCACCAACAGTGTAAAAGTGTTCCTATTTCTCCACATCCTCTCCAGCACCTGTTGTTTCCTGACTTTTTAATGATTGCCATTCTAACGGGTGTGAGATGGTATCTCATTGTGGTTTTGATTTGCATTTCTCTGATGGCCAGTAATGATGAGCATTTTTTCATGTGTCTTTTGGCTGTGTAAATGTCTTCTTTTGAGAAGTGTCTGTTCATATCCTTTGCCCATTTTTTGATGGGGTTGTTTGTTTTTTTCTTGTAAACTTGTTTGAGTTCATTGTAGATTCTGGATATTAGCCCTTTGTCAGATGAGTAGGTTGCAAAAATTTTCTCCCATTTTGTAGGTTGCCTGTTCACTCTGATGGTAGTTTCTTTTGCTGTGCAGAAGCTCTTTAGTTTACGCTTACGCTCTCCCTCTCCCTCTCCCTCTCCCTCTCCCTCTCCCTCTCCCTCTCCCTCCACGGTCTCCCTCTGATGCCGAGCCAAAGCTGGACGGTACTGCTGCCATCTCGGCTCACTGCAACCTCCCTGCCTGATTCTCCTGCCTCAGCCTGCCGAGTGCCTGCGATTGCAGGCGCGCGCCGCCACGCCTGACTGGTTTTCGTTTTTTTTTTGGTGGAGACGGGGTTTCACTGTGTTGGCCGGGCTGGTCTCCAGCTCCTAACCGCGAGTGATCCGCCAGCCTCGGCCTCCCGAGGTGCCGGGATTGCAGATGGAGTCTCGTTCACTCAGTGCTCAATGGTGTCCAGGCTGGAGTGCAGCGGCGTGATCTCGGCTCGCTACAACCACCTCCCAGCCGCCTGCCTTGGCCTCCCAAAGAGCCGAGATTGCAGCCTCTGCCCGGCCGCCACCCCGTCTGGGAAGTGAGGAGCGTCTCTGCTTGGCCACCCATCGTCTGGGATATGAGGAGCCCCTCTGCCTGGCTGCCCAGTCTGGAAAGTGAGGAGCGTCTCTGCCCGGCCGCCATCCCATCTAGGAAGCGAGGAGCGCCTCTTCCCCGCCGCCATCCCATCTAGGAAGTGAGGAGCGTCTCTGCCTGGCCGCCCATCGTCTGAGATGTGGGGAGCACCTCTGCCCCACCGCCCTGTCTGGGATGTGAGGAGCGCTTCTGCTGGGCCGCAACCCTGTCTGGGAGGTGAGGAGCGTCTCTGCCCGGCCGCTCCGTCTGAGAAGTGAGGAAACCCTCTGCCTGGCAACCGCCCCGTCTGAGAAGTGAGGAGCCCCTCCGTCCGGCAACCACCCCATCTGGGAAGTGAGGAGCGTCTCCGCCCGGCAGCCACCCCGTCCGGGAGGGAGGTGGGGGGGGTCAGCCCCCCGCCCGGCCAGCCGCCCCGTCCGGGAGGTGAGGGGCTCCTCTGCCCGGCTGCCCCTACTGGGAAGTGAGGAGCCCCTCTGCCCGGCCAGCCGCCCCGTCCGGGAGGGAGGCGGGGGGGGGGGTCGGCCAGCCGCCCCGTCCGGGAGGGAGGTGGGGGGGTCAGCCCCCCGCCCGGCCGGCCGCCCCGTCCGGGAGTGAGGGGCTCCTCTGCCCGGCCGCCCCTACTGGGAAGTGAGGAGCCCCTCTGCCCGGCCAGTCGCCCCGTCCAGGAGGGAGGTGGGGGGGTCAGCCCCCCGCCCGGCCAGCCGCCCAGTCCGGGAGGGAGGTGGGGGGTCAGCCCCCCGCCCGGCCAGCCGCCCAGTCCGGGAGGGAGGTGGGGGGTCAGCCCCCCGCCCGGCCAGCCGCCCCGTCCAGGAGGTGAGGGGCGCCTCTGCCCAGCCGCCCCTACTGGGAAGTGAGGAGCCCCTCTGCCCGGCCAGCCGCCCCGTCCGGGAGGGAGGTGGGGGGGGTCAGCCCCCCTTCCGGCCGGCCGCCCCGTCCGGGAGGTGAGGGGCGCCTCTGCCCGGCCGCCCCTACTGGGAAGTGAGGACCCCTCTGCCTGGCCAGCCGCCCCGTCTGGGAGGGTGGTGGGGGGGTCAGCCCCCCGCCCGGCCAGCCGCCCCATCCGGGAGGTGAGGGGCGCTTCTGCCCGGCCGCCCCTACTGGGAAGTGAGGAGCCCCTCTGCCCGGCCATGACCCCGTCTGGGAGGTGTGCCCAGCGGCTCATTGGTGATGGGCCATGATGACAATGGCGGTTTTGTGGAATAGAAAGGCGGGAAGGGTGGGGAAAGAATTGAGAAATCGGATGTTTACCGGGTCTGTGTGGATGGAAGTAGACATGGGAGACTTTTCATTTTGTTCTGTACTAGGAAAAATTCTTCTGCCTTGGGATCCTGTTGATCTGTGACCTTATCCCCAACCCTGTGCTCTCTGAAACATGTGCTGTGTCCACTCAGCGTTAAATGGATTAAGGGCGGTGCAAGATGTGCTTTGTTAAACAGATGCTTGAAGGCAGCATGCTCGTTAAGAGTCATCACCACTCCCTAATCTTTAAGTACCCAGGGACACAAACACTGCGGAAGGCCGCAGGGTCCTCTGCCTAGGAAAACCAGAGACCTTTGTTCACTTGTTTATCTGCTGACCTTCCCTCCACTATTGTCCTATGACCCTGCCAAATCCCCCTCTGCGAGAAACACCCAAGAATGATCAATAAAAAAAAAAAAAAAAAAAAAAAAAAAAAAAAGATTGACATACCTTAAGTCAAAAACAAAACAAATAAAACTACATTTTTCTGCCATAAAAAAAAAAAAAAAAAAAAAAAGAAGCTCTTTAGTTTACTTAGATCCCATTTGTCAATTCTGGCTTTTGTTGCCATTGCTTTTGGTGTTTTAGACATGAAGTCCTTGCCCATGCCTATGTCCTGAATGGTAATGCCTAGGTTTTCTTTTAGGGTTTTTATGCTTTTAGGTCTAATGTTTAAGTCTTTAATCCATCTTGAATTAATTTTTATATAAGGTGTAAGGCAGGGATTCAGTTTCAGCTTTCTACATATGGCTAGCCAGTTTTCCCAGCATCATTTATTAAATAGGGAATCCTTTCCCCATTGCTTGTTTTTCTCAGGTTTGTCAAAGATCAGACAGTCGTAGATATGCAGCGTTATTTCTGAGGGCTCTGTTCTGTTCCATTGATCTATATCTCTGTTTTGGTACCAGTACCATGCTGTTTTGGTTACTCTAGCCTTGTAGTATAGTTTGAAGTCCGGTAGCTTGATGCCTCCAGCTTTGTTCTTTTGGCTTAGGATTGACTTGGTGATGCGGGCTCTTTTTTGGTTCCATATGAACTTTAAAGTAGTTTTTTCCAATTCTGTGAAGAAAGTCATTGGTAGCTTGATGGGGATGGCATTGAATCTATAAATTACCTTGGGCAATATGGCCATTTTCACGATATTGCTTCTTCCTACCCATGAACATGGAATGTTCTTCCATTTGTTTGTATCTTCTTTTATTTCATTGAGCAGTGGTTTGTAGTTCTCCTTGAAGAGGTCCTTCACGTCCCTTGTAAGTTGGATTCCTAAGTATTTTATTCTCTTTGAAGCAATTGTGAATGGGAGTTCACTCATGATTTGGCTCTCTGTTTGTCTGTTATTGTTGTATAAGAATGCTTGTGATTTTTGTATATAACATTTATTTCATAAACAATTCCACCATTTTAAAAATTTATCAAATCATTATAAAGATATACCACACTTTTAATTTAACATTCCTCCATTGTGAAACATTTGGATTTTCCAATCTTTACTATACTAAATAAAGCCACAATAAATACCTATATGTCAAAATCTTTGATTTGTTTGTGTTTTTCCTTTAAATACTTCCATAGTCTTTCCACTATGGTAATGACAGGGGCTGTCTATTTTGCATTCTCCGTAGCAACTTACGGGAGTTCCAATTGCTCAATATCTCCACCAACACTAGGTAATAGTCTCTTAAAATCTTAGTCCTTCTGGTCATAGTAGTATCTTATTATGATTTTAAATTTCTCTGATGACTATGGATAGTTGGAACATTTTCACATGCTTATTGGCTAATCATATATCTTCATGATTCTATCCAAATTTCTGGCTTATTTTTTATGTTGGACTGCTTATATTTGTGTTATGTAGTAGTAAGAATTCTTCATATGTTTTAGGTAAGAATTATTAGTCAAAAATAGGCATTGTGAATATTTTCTTTCAGTATGTGATTTATCTTTTAATTTGCTTAATGGTGTCTTTTTTTTTTTGAGACAGAGTCTTGCTCTGTTGCCCAGGCTGGAGTGCAGTGGTGCGATCTTGGCTCACTGCAACCTTCACCTCCCAGCTTCAAGTGATTCTCCTGCTTCAGCCTCCCAAGTAGCTGGGATTACAGGTGTGGGCCACCATGCCTGGCTAATTTTGGTATTTTTAGTAGAGACATGGTTTCACCATGTTGGCCAGGCTGGTCTCAAACTCCTGACCTCCAGTGGTCTACCTGCCTTGGCCTCCCAAGGTGCTAGGATTACAGGCATAAGCCACCATGCCTGGCCTCTTTTGTTTTTGAGGCGGAGTCTCCCTCTGTCACCCAGGCTGGAGTGCAGTGGCACGATTTCGGCTCACTACAAGCTCTGCCTCCTGGGTTCATGCCCCTCTCCTGCCTCAGCCTTCGGAATAGAGTAGCTGGGACTACAGGTGTCCGCCACCATGCCTGGCTAATTTCTTGTACTTTTAGTAGAGACGGGGTTTCACCGTGTTAGCCAGGATAGTCTCAATCTCCTGACCTCGTGATCCACCCGCCTCGGCCTCCCAAAGTGATGGGAGTACAGGCGTGAGCCACTGTGCCCAGCCCATGCCTGGCCTCTTAATAGTGCCTTTTGATGAGCAGAAATTTAATTTACTTGAAGAAAAATTTATTATTTTTATTGTAATTTCTTTTTAATTCCTAAGTAGTCAGTGCCAAACCTATGATCATGAAGATATTATTCTTTGTTTTCTTCTAGAACTTTAAAAATGATTGGTTGTGACGTGAAGTAGGAATTAAAGTTCATTTTTCTCCTATTTGTTTGCCCAGTTGTTCCACCATTATTTGTTAAAAAGACTTTCTTCATTGATTTTTATTGGTGCCTTTGTCAAAAACAAATTGGCCATACATGTGTGGATCTATTACTGGACTTTTTATTCTGTAATGATCCATTTATTTATCTTTTTTTCAATTACCACACTATCATAATTAATGTGGCTTTAAGGCACATCTTGAAATCAGGTAGTGAAGTTCTCCAATTTTGTTCTTCTTTTCCAAGAGTATTTTAGTTATTCCAGATCCTTTGCATTTCTGCATAAATTTTAGAATCACTTTCTCAAGTTCTACAAATAATATGTTAGATTTTTTTATAGGACTGTGATAAACATATGGCTTAATTTGGTAGAATAAAGATCTTTTAAAAGGTGAGTCTTCCAACCTGTAAACCTGGTATTCCCCTCCATTTAAATAATTTTTTAAATGTTTCTTTCTGCAATATTTTGGAGATTTTGGTATCGAGGTCTTCTACATAGCATTTTTCCAGTCATCTAATTCTTTTTTGATCTTCTGTCTAGTTCTTGTATCTATTTTTAAAAGTGGAACTTTGAAATTTCCAACAATTATTATTGACTTTCTCTTTTTGATCATGTTAGGCATTGCTTCATGTATTTTGTAACTCTGTTATTTGGGACATATATGTTTTAATTATTGTCTCATCTTGATTGACACTTTTATCATTATAAAAGGTCACTTTTTATTCTAGTGACATTCTGTTTGCTTTAAAATCTATTTTTTTAAATGGTATTAGTACAGTAACTCCAGTTTTCTTATGGCTGTTGTTCATATGATCTTTTCCCATTCATTTTCAACCTATTTACACCTTTAAATCTAAAATCTCTCTCATAAACAGCATATAGGCAGATCTTGATTTTTTAAAAAAAAGTCTCACAATCTATGTCTTTTGATTGGATTGTTTAATCACTTAACATTTAATATTATTGATATAGTTGGGTTACACTTGTCATTTTCCTTTTGGTTTTCTCTGTCTCATGTTTTTTTTTGATCCTCTAGTCTTTTACTGCTTTGTTTGGCATTAAGTGAATATTTTCTTGTGCAGCATTTCATTCCTTTGATTAATCTTTCACCATATTTTCTGGAGTTTTCCTAGTGGTAAAACTTACCGTATACATTAGAACTTACTGTATATATCCAATCAGAGTCTACTTCAGATGTATACTGACTTAATTCCAGTGAGATACAGAAATGTTAATTTTTAATAGCTGTATTCTCTCTTATGTGCTGTTATTGGTATACAAATTAAATCTATATATTTTACAAACCAATAAAACATTATAATTACTACTTTATATAATTTTATTTCTTTTATAAAAGCTAAGAAATAAGAAGAACAAGCATATATTTATAACCTTCTGATTTACCATTTACCATTTTTTATTCTCTTTATTTGTTCTGGTGAATCCAGGCTATCATCTGGAATAATCTGTTTACTGAAACAGAACTTTGCTCCCACCCACTTCCTTTATGCTCTTACTGACAAATGTATTTAATTTCTATGTTATAGATCCCCAAATAACAATTATATATATGTTGTTTTATAAATTGCTTTAAAAATCAGCTGAGAGAAGAAATATGCATTTATACTCTTTCATAATTACATAGTTACCTTAACATGCTCTTTGTTCCTTTGTGTAGATTTAAATTACAATCTAGGTTCACTTTCTTTCAGCCTGAAAAACTTCCCGTAGTATTTCTTGTAAGGTGGCTCTGCTAGTAATAAATTCTCTCAGTTTTTGTTTACCTGACAATGTCTATTTCACCTACATTTTTGAAAAATACTTTTGCTGGATATGAGGTTTTTTTAAAAATTTAATTTTATTTTAAGTTCTGGGATACATGTGTAGGACGTGCAGGTTTCTTACATAGGTAAACGTTTGCCACGGTGGTTTGCTGCACTTATCAACCCATCACCTAGGCATTAAGCCCCACATGCATTAGTTATTTATCCTGATGCTCTCCCTCCCCCTGCTCCAACAACAGGCCCCAGTGTGTTGTTCCCCTCTGGATATAAGTTTCTTGAATGACAGTTTTTTCGTTTGACCAATTTGAATATGTCATCCCATTCCCTTCTGGCCTCCATTGTTTCTGATGAGCTGTTAATCTTGTAAGAGTTCCATGTATGTGACAAGTCATTTTTCTCTTATTGCTTTCAAGATTTTCTTTTTGTTTTTTGCCTTGTAGCGTGTTTCAGCATGTTTACTATGATGCATCTGGTTGTAGATATTTTTCCATTTATCTTCTCGGAGTTCATGGAGCTTCTTGGATGTGTAATTAATGTTTTTCATAAAATTTGGGAAGTTTTCAGTCATTATTTCTTCAAATATTTTTCTCCTTTCTTCTCTAACTCTCCTCTCCTTCTGCTAATCCTATTATGTATATGTTGGTGCACTTAATTGTGTCCCATGTTTCTCTGAGACTTTATTTTTCTTCATATTTTTTTCTCTCTGTCCTTCAGAATGCACTGTCTCTATTAACCTATTTTCAAGTTTACTGGTTGTTATTTTTGCTAGTTCAAATCTACTGTTGAGTCCCACTACTGAATTTTTCTTTTCACTTACTGTACCTTTCAACTCCAGAATTTCCATTTGGTTCTTTTTGTAACTTCTATTTCTTTATTTATGTTCTTGATTTGATGAGACATTGTCATCATAGCTTCCTTTACTTCTTTAAGCATAGTGTCTTCCAGTTCTTTAAGCATATTTATAATGGTTGTTTTGAGGTCTTGGTCTGTTCAATCCAACATCTGGGCCTTCTCACAGGAAATTTTTGTTGCTTTTTTTCCCTGTGAATGAGCCACACTTTGTTTCTTTGCAAGTCTCATGATATTTTGTTGAGAACTGGATATTTTAGGTAATATATTGTATCACTTCTGGGTACTGACGACTGATTCCTCTCTCCCCTCTCCAGTTTTTGCTGTTTGCTTATTTATTTATTCAGTGACTCGGCTAGACTATTTTCATGAGGTTTATTTCCTCTACATTGTGAAGACTTTGAGGTTGCTTCTCAGAAGGCACAGTATTCAGTGTATATAGTCACTCTGGGATGGCAGTGATTTTAGCAGGATTCTCTTTAACTATCTCCTTCATCTCTCTGTTAACCTGTCTGCCTCTGTTAATATCATATACAGCTGTTACACTGCCAAATCACAGCTGGGTAATTGGTCTATTATTTTATTGTTTTTCAAGCTTAGCATCCACCAGATGTTCTATTATTTTTGACAGTACCCTGGGACATACATTGTACAGTATTCTGATCTAATTTAATTTGATAAGGGGTCATTTTTCAGGCTAGTCTTTGAGGTTTAAATCCCAGGAAGGCTCTTCTTAGCAGTCTCGTTCATTGGTTCTCACTGGTCTAGTCTGTTGCCCCTAATTAAGAGGTGCTATCAATTACTTCCTCTTATTTCATTATCACCAAATTTCCCATTGGTCTTGAGAGCACACTTAGGCTTGAACTTTCCCACACTGTTTCATATAAGGCTAGTCACTTTGGGGAGGGCTTTGAAGCTCTCTATTCACGTAGACCGCATTTCTTTCCTGGGCAAAACCTTTGAGCCACTAGTCTGGGCCTTGGGCAAAGGTGGTATCCTCTGGTCTTCTCAGCTTATCTTTTCAAGCATAAAACTTCTGCCCTATGAGCAAGATGGGGTAAGGGCAATCAGGGATTCAATATTTTATGGTACTGAGGTCTATGCCTGGGGTAGAGCTTCTGTCCTGTCATTGGGGAATGGTCAGAAGGGAGCCTCTGACCTCTTGGTAACACTTCCCAGGAATTTGGTCTCTTCAACTTGGAGTTGGAGGGGATGAGAAATGCTGGCAACCTGGAAGGGGGAGAGGAATTAAGTGAGTTGTGGTTCAAGTGCCACAGACTCTCATTGTTTCTACCAAGTTTCAGTAGATTTTCTTGAATAAATATGTCTTCATTTGCTATATGCCCTTACGACAATTTCTGGAGACTTTACATGGTTGTTTTTAAAATAGCTTTCATAAATTATGCTCTTCCACTCAGGAATAAGTCTATGATACTCCTCAGGCTGCCAGCTGGAAGTCTATCCTGTACATGGTATTTTTTTAAAGTTCATTTTCAAATTGTTTGCTGTTATTTATATAGAAATATAATTAATTGTTGTCTACTGACATGTGTTCTTCAGTCTTGCTAAATTCACTTATTATTTTTGTAGTTTCCTTTGGGTTTTCTACATACACCATCATACCATTGGCAAGTAAAGACAGTTTTAAATTTTCTTTCTAATCTTTAGGCATATAATTTTTTAATCTTGCTTTTTGTCCTTACTAGGTTATGAACTAAATGTTGAATAAAAGTGATGATAGTAAACATCCTCCCCTGGTTACTGATTCTACAAAAAAAAGTCAGTATTTCACAATCAAGTATGATGCTGTAGATTTTTCTTAGTACGGTTTATTCTATTGAGGAAATATTCTTCTATTCTTGTTTTGTTAAGGATTTTTATTTTAAAATATCTAATTTTATCAAATGTTTTCACATGTATTGATATGACTGTATTATTTTCTCCTTTCTTATGTTAATCAGTATTTTACATTCATTGATTTTCAAATTTTAAACTTGCATTCCTGGGATAAATCCACCTTGGTTATGATGCTTTATCTTTCTTTTATATGTTTGTCTTCCATTTGCTAATATTTTATATCTGATTTTTGCATCTAGTTCCATAAATGAGACTGACTTGTACTTTTATTGTACTGCCTTTGTCAAGTTTTAGTTATCAACATTGTGCTGGTTTCAGACAAACAGTTGGAAAGATTTCCTTCTTCTTTTATTTCCTGGAAGAATTTGCATAAGATTGGTGTTACTTCTTCCTTAAATGTTTGATAGCATTAACAAGTGCAGCCACCTGTGGCTTGTAGTTTTCTTTGTTGTGGGTATTTAATTTTGAATTAAAAAATGTTAATGATATGGGTTACTTATATTTTCCAATGTGTTTGGTGTTACATTTGGTGAGTTTTGTCTTTCAAGGAATCTCTTAATTTCATCTAAATTGTCAATTTCTGGGAATAGAGTTAATAATCTTACTTTATTTCTTTAATGTCTGTAGAATTCAGTGATGCTTTTTTTTCACTCCTGGTATTAATTATGTTTCTTCTTTCTGGATCAGTATTGTTAGGGTTTTATATAGTATTTTTGAAGAACTGTTTTGGGGTTTTGTTGATCTACTCTGGTTTGACCTCTATTTCGTTCATTTTTGATGATTATTATTTCCTTTACATTGGGTGGTTTACATTGCTCTTACTTTTTAATGTCTTAATCAAGAGCTTTAGATCATGAAGTAGAGATTTAAAAAAAAATCTAACATAACATCTAATGTTCTAAATTTTCCTCTAAGCACTCCTTCAGTAATATCTCATAAATTTTGATATGTTGTGTTTGTACTTTCACTCAGTTCAAAAATATTTTAAAATTTCCTTTGTAATTTCTTTTTTAAGCTATGAGTTATTTAGAGATGAGTTGCTTAATTTTCAAGTATTAGGGAATTTTATACATACTGTTGATTCCTAATTTAATTCCTTTTGTGGCCAGAGAACACATTCTATTTAATTTCAATTATTTGTAATTTATTATAACTTGTTTTATCGCCCAGTCTATCCTTGTGAATGTTACGTGTTTACATGAAAATAATTTGTATTTTCAATTGCATTGTGTAGGTGTGTATGTTATTAGATCAATCTGGCCAAGAGAGTTGCTTTAGTTTTTTATAATCTTACCAATTTTTGTCTATTTGTTCTGTCAGTTACAAAAGAGAAATGATGAATTTCCAGCAATGATGGTAGAATTGTCTATTTCTAGTTTTGACAGTTTTTGCTTCATATATTTTGAATAGTTCTTATTAGGTTTATGCAAGTATGTAGGATTTTTATATCATTCTGGTCATTTATTTTATTAATTTGAACTGTTTATCTCCTTGCCTTGAAGTCTACTTCATCTAATATTAATATAGCCATATCAGCTTTTTTGGGGATAGTGTTTTCATGGAATTCTTTTCCCCTTCTTTTACTTTCAACGTATTTTTTTTTTATATACTTTAAGTTTTAGGGTACATGTGCACAATGTGCAGGTTTGTTACATATGTATACATGTGCCATGTTTGTGTGCTGCACCCATTAACTCATCATTTAACATTAGGTATATCTCCTAATGCTATCCCTCCCCACTCCCCCCACCCCACAACAGGCCCCGGGGTGTGATGTTCCCCTTCCTGTGTCCATGTGTTCTCATTTTTCAATTCCCACCTATGAGTGAGAATATGTAGTGTTTGGTTTTTTGTCCTTGCGATAGTTTGCTGAGAATGATGGTTTCCAGCTTCATCCATGTCCCTACAAAGGACATGAACTCATCCATTTTTATGGCTGCATAGTATTCCATGGTGTATATGTGCCACATTTTCTTAATCCAGTCTATTATTGATGGACATTTGGGTTGGTTCCAAGTCTTTGCTATTGTGAATAGTGCTGCAGTAAACATACGTGTGCATGTGTCTTTATAGCAGCATGATTTATAATCCTTTGGGTATATACCCAGTAATGGGATGGCTGGGTCAAATGGTATTTCTAGTTCTAGATCCCTGAGGAATCACCACACTGACTTCCACAGTGGTTGAACTAGTTTACAGTCCCACCAACACTGTAAAAGTATTCCTATTTCTCCACATCCTCTCCAGCACCTGTTGTTTCCTGACTTTTTAATGATTGCCATTCTAACTGGTGTGAGATGGTATCTCATTGTGGTTTTGATTTGCATTTCTCTGATGGCCAGTGATGATGAGCATTTTTTCATGTGTCTTTTGGCTGTGTAAATGTCTTCTTTTGAGAAGTGTCTGTTCATATCCTTTGCCCACTTGTTGATGGGGTTGTTTTTTTCTTGTAAATTTGTTTGAGTTCATTGTAGATTCTGGATATTAGCCCTTTGTCAGATGAGTAGATTGCAAAAATTTTCTCCCATTTTGTAGGTTGCCTGTTCACTCTGATGGTAGTTTCTTTTGCTGTGCAGAAGCTCTTTAGCTTAATTAGATCCCATTTATCAATTTTGGCTTTTGTTGCCATTGCTTTTGGTGTTTTACACATGAAGTCCTTGCCCATGCCTATATCCTGAATGGTATTGCCTAGGTTTTCTTCTAGGGTTTTTATGGTTTTAGGTCTAATGTTTAAGTCTTTAATCCATCTTGAATTAATTTTTGTATAAGGTGTAAGGAAGGGATCCAGTTTCAGCTTTCTACAGATGGCTAGCCAGTTTTCCCAGCACCCTTTATTAAATAGGGAATCCTTTCCCCATTTCTTATTTTTGTCAGGTTTGTCAAACATCAGATAGTTGTAGACAGGTGGCATTATTTTTGAGGGTTCTGTTCTGTTCCATTGGTCTATATCTCTGGTACCAGTACCATGCTGTGGAAAGATCTAAAATTGATACCCTAACATCACAATTAAAAGAACAAGAGAAGCAAGAGCAAACACATTCAAAAGCTAGCAGAAGGCAAGAAATAACTAAGATCAGAGCAGAACTGAAAGAGATAGAGACATAAAAAACCCTTCAAAAAATCAGTGAATCCAAGAGCTGGTTTTTGGAAAAGATCAACAATATTGATAGACCGCTAGCAAGACTAATAAAGAAGAAAAGAGAAAAGAATCAAATAGACACAATAAAAAATGATAAAGGGGATATCACCACCAATCCCACAGAAATACAAACTACCATCAGAGAATACTATAAACACCTCTATGCAAATAAACTAGAAAATCTAGAAGAAATAGATAAATTCCTCAACACATACACCCTCCTAAGACTAAACCAGGAAGAAGTTGAATCTCTGAATAGACCAATAACAGGCTCTGAAATTGAGGCAATAATTAATTACCAACCAAAAAAAAGTCCAGGACCAGATGTATTCACAGCCGAATTCTACCAGAGGTACAAGGAGGAGCTGGTATCATTCCTTCTGAAACTATTCCAATCAATAGAAAAAGAGGGAATCCTCCCTAACTCATTTTATGCGGCCAGCATCATCCTGATACCAAAGCCGGGCAGAGACACAACAAAAAAAGAGAATTTTAGACCAATATCCCTGATGAAGATCAATGTAAAAATCCTCAGTAAAATACTGGCAAACCGAATCCAGCAGTACATCAAAACGCTTATCCACCATAGTCAAGTGGGCTTCATCCCTGGGATGCAAGGCTGGTTCAACATACGCAAATCAATAATTGTAATCCAGCATATAAACAGAACCAATGACAAAAACCACATGATTATCTCAATAGATGCAGAAAAGGCCTTTGACAAAATTCAACAACGCTTCATGCTAAAAACTCTCAATAAATTAGGTATTGATGGGACATATCTCAAAATAATAAGAGCTATCTATGACAAACCCACAGCCAATATCATCCTGAATGGGCAAAAACTGGAAGCATTCCCTGTGAAAACCGGCACAAGACAGGGATGCCCTCTCTCACCACTCCTATTCAACATAGTGTTGGAAGTTCTGGCCAGGGCAATTAGGCAGGAGAAGGAAATAAAGGGCATTCAATTAGGAAAAGAGGAAGTCAAATTGCCCCTGTTTGCAGACGACATGATTGTATAGCTAGAGAACCCCATCATCTCAGCCCAAAATCTCCTTAAGCTGATAACCAACTTCAGCAAAGTCTCAGGATACAAAATCAACGTGCAAAAATCACAAGCATTCTTATACACCAATAACAGACAAACAGAGAGCCAAATCGAGTGAACTCCCATTCACAATTGCTTCAAAGACAATAAAATACCTAGGAATCCAACTTACAAGGGATGTGAAGGACCTCTTTAAGGAGAACTACAAACCACTGCTCAACGAAATAAAGGAGGATACAAACAAATGGAAGAACATTCCATGCTCATGGGTAGGAAGAATCAATATCGTGAAAATGGCCATACTGCCCAAGGTAATTTATAGATTCAATGCCATCCCCATCAGGCTACCAATGACTTTTTTCACAGAATTGGAAAAAACTACTTTAAAGTTCATATGGAATCAAAAAAGATCCCGCATTGCCAAATCAATCCTAAGCCGAAAGAACAAAGCTGGAGGCATCACGCTACCTGACTTCGAACTATGCTACAAGGCTACAGTAATCAACCTATTTATGTTTTTATAATTAACGTGCATCTTTTATAAATAGCATATACACTGTTTTTGATATTTGTTTCTTTTTAATCCTGTCTCAGAAGCTCTTTTTCTTTTTTTGGAATGTGTACTCTATTTAATATAATCTTTGATGGGGTTAAGTTTATGTCTATCATCTTTCTAATTGTTTTCAGTTTGTCCCCTCAGTTCTTTTTTTTGTTTGTTTACTGTTACTCTTTTCTGTCTTTTGAGAAAATAAAATATACTTAGTATTCCATTTTATCATCTCTTTGGCTTCTTAGCTACACCTCTCTGTTTTATTTTCTTTAATGGTTGTTCTAGGGATTATAATGTGCATCTATTTGTTAGATTCATTACAGTGCATCTTTAATTATTCTTACATCACTTCTCCTATGTTGAAAAAAACAACAGTATAATTCTGTATACTTCTCTTCAATACTTTGTGTTACTGTTATCATACATTTTACTTCTACATGTTATAAATCCCATAATACATTGTTACTTCTGAAAGAGTAACACAGAGTTTACGGAAAGACAAAATACCTTTTTATATTTACCCACATATTTATTATTTCCAGTGCTTTTCATTCTTACCTGTATTCCTAATTTTCCATCGTTTTTTTATCTGCTTTAAAAATTTTCTTTACTATTTCTTATAGTACAGATCTGTTAATTCATGCACTTTCATTTTTGAATGATATTTTTGCTAGATATAGAATTCTGGATTGACAGTTGTTTTTCTCTAGCACTTAAAAGACGTCATTATGTTGTCTCTAGCTTCAATTATTTCTGATGGAAAAAATCACTCATTATTCATATTTTTCCCTTGTATTTGTATGTGTGTGTATGTTTCTGTACTGCTTTTAAGATTTTCTCTTGTAGGTTGGTTTTAGTAGTTTGACTATAAAGTCTTAAGTGTCGTTTTCTTTGTATTTTTTTTTTTTTTTTTTTTGAGATCAGGTCTCTGTTGCCCAGGCTGGAGTGCAGTGGTGCAATCATGGCTCACTGCAACCTCTGCCTCCCAGCTCAAGCAATCCTCCAACCTCAGCCTTGCAAGTAGCTGGGACCACAGCTGCATGCCCAGCTAACTTTTTGTAGTTTTTGGTAGAGACAGGGTTTTGCCATGTTGGTCCGGCTGGTCTTGAACTCCTGAGTTCAAATGATCCACCTGCCTCAGCTTCCCAAAGTGCTGGGATTACAGGCATGAACCACCATGCCTGGCCTTTTTGTATTTTTCTAGTTTAGGGTGTTTTGAGCTTCCTGGATCTTTAAGTTGATGTTTTTCATCAAATTTGGAAAAAATTTCAGCCAAAGTCACTGATGTTCATTTAGCTTAATTATTATTATTATTTTTTAACTCTGTGCTTCTGTTTGGATCATTTCTAGTGACGTGTATTCAAGTTAACTGATAGTTCCTAGTGCTGTGCAATATATTGTTAAAGCAATCATGTGAACTTTTGTTTTTGAAAGGAATGCCTTTTTATTCAAAAAGTCCAATTTAGGTTCCTTGGTAGTAAGTATAAAGGGTGCCTTGACACTTCCATAAAGATGTTTAAATGTTACTGTCTCTGAAAAAACAGTTTTAGAATATGAAACCTTTATCCTCAAGGTTTCTATGAATATGAAACTCCTCAAGGAGGAAAAACATCACCAGCTTAATTATTTCTATAAAATATCTTCCTCATTTGCTTTTCATGTTGCTAGTGGGAAAAGATAGTAATACTGTTTTCAAAAAATGACGATGATAGATGATTTCATGAAACTTGCTTTTGATTTTTTGTCTACTTAATACCTCAATTCAGAGGTCAGAGATGAATATAGGATTATATATTATCCTTCCATGTTGATTTTTACAAGATCTGCTAGGAGAGCAAATACAATTGAAAATATGCTGTTGTGTTGGTGATTGTTACCCTACACTGACTTCACAAAGGTTCTTATAATTAGGAGAAGAACCCCAAAGACACTTAACTCTACATATATAATCAACACATATATTCAATGGTAAAAAACACACAACATGAAATCTACCTTCTAAACAAATTTTTCAGTGTACATTACAGTACTGTTTACCATATTCACACTGTTGCACAGCAGATATTTAGAACTTGTTCATCTTGTATAACTCAAACTGTGTATCCACTGAACAGTAGCTCTCCATTTTTCCCTCTCCACAGATCCTGGCAATCATTATTCTACTTTCTGCTTCTGTGAGTTTGACTATTTTAGATATACACCATATAAGTGGAATCATATAATATTTGTCCTTCTATGACTGGCTTATTTCATCTAGTGTAATGTCCTGAAGGCTCATCATGTTGTAGCATATGACAAGATTTTCTTTTTCTTTAAGGCTAATATTCCATTGTATGTATCTACCACATTTTCTTTATTCATTCATCTGTCTGCAGATATTTAGGTTGTGTAGAAGCTTTTAGTTTGATGCGGTATCACTTACGTATTTTTGCCTTTATTACCTGTGCCTTTGATGTCACATTCAAGAATTCTTTGCTAAGACCAATGTTATGAAGGTTTTCACCTATATTTTCTTCTGGAAGTTTTACAGTTTTAGGTCTTATGTTTAATTTTTAAATGCATTTTGAATTTATTGTCACGTATTGTGTAAGATAATACAAATAGCCAACAGTTATATGAAAATAACATCACTAATCAACATCACTAATTATCAGGGAAATGCAGATTGAAACTACCATGAGATATCACCTCATACCTGTTAGGATGGCCATTATAAAAAACAAAACAAACAAACAAAAACAGAAAATAACAAGTGTTGATGAGGATGTGGAGAAATTGGAATCATTGTGCACTATTGGTGGGCATGTAAAATGGTACAGCTGAGATGGAAAACAGCAATGAGGTTCATCAAAAAATAAAAAATAGAACCACTATATGATCCAGCAATCCTACTTCTGGGTATTTATCCAAAATAATTGAAAACAGGATTCTCAAAGAAATATTAGCATTCTCATGTTCAATGCAGCATTATTCATTAACAGCTAAGAAACAACCATGAACTTTTAATTTCACATATTTTATTTTTAAGTTCTATAATTTCCATTTGGTTCTTTTTCAGCGTTTCACTTTCTCTTCTAAAATTCCCCAACATATTTACTCAGCCAAACCATCTTTTCCTATATATTCTTTTGGCGGTTGGGAGCAGAGTCTCACTCTGTCGCGCAGGCTGTAGTGCAGTGGCGCGATTTTGGCTCACTGCAACTTCCACCTTCTGGGTTCAAGCAATTCTCATGCTTCAGCCTCCCAAGTAGCTGAGACTACAGGCATGAGCCACCACACCCAGCTAATTTTTGTATTTTTAGTAGAGGCAGGGTTTCACCATGTTGTCCAGGCTAGTCTGGACCTCCTGACCTCAGGTGATCTGCCCACCTCTGCCTCCCAAAGTGCTAGGATTATAGGCGTGAGCCACCATGCCCAGCCTCTTTTCCTATATATTCTTATAATAGTTCTTTTAAAGTTCTTGGCTTCTAATTTCAATTTGGGTCTCTATGGATCTGCTTCGACTGACTTTTGTCCCCCCACTCAATTATGAGTCACAATTTTCTGCTTCTTTGCATGTTTTCTAATTTCTGATGGTATGATCTGTGTACAACAGTAGTAAAAACTAAAGAATCATTCATATATGTATATTATCACTAATATCAGGAATATCACACACACACACACACACACACACACACACACACACATATAATGTAGAATCATTCAGATTCTGCTAAGTATTTAAGCTGGGGCTGGGCTGTAGCTTTAATAAGATTAAGTTCCACTGTTGTTTCAAATTGGACTATGAAAATCTCTCTTTATTTCTCAATCCAACACTCAATCTTTTATACCCCCTTTGCCAAGGGACTGATTGTTATTTGTATTGGTATTTGTGCAGTGACACAGTTGGGATGCTGTTTCAGATAGTTTTAATTCATCTTAATTCAACTTTTGGTTAAATTCTATAATTACCCCAGAATACAGCACATTAAGACTGCATAAATTTCTCTGCCTTCCAGTCCACCTGCATTGCTACTTTTGCAGAAAAATTCTGAGATTGGTGAGGGTTTAGTGGCAGACAATTGCCAACTTGAATGATTTATTTTTCTATTTAGGGTTGTTTCAAATTCTTTCAAATTCCAATCTATAGGTCAGTCCAAACAGCCATTAAACCTCACTGGCTATTTTCTATTCCTTTCAGTCTGTCTATCTATCAAAAGCCCACTCTTTCCCCCACCTATACCCAGGTCAGTCACTAGCCCCAGGTATGGAAGCAGCAGTAGCTTTCTGCTCACCTGTGAATGGCTCTTCTCTGTCTGGCATTCAGTTAATTAGACTTCTTTGAATGTATCACTCTTCCATAGCCCCATAGAAAAGGATAATTTTAATTTTATTGTCATTACTATAGGATTTTGTTGTTTTCATCATTGTTCCTACCATGGGGATTAAGGTCTTTTACATCTTTTAACATCCTATCTGGAAATGGAAAGCCCCTCTTTCACTTATATTTGAAATATTGGAAATACTGTGAAAGCTGGATTGAAGACAGGAGGAATCAGTGGAATGGAAACCAGTTAAGTTGGTTAATCCATTACTGACATTAGTAGGTATTCTACTAAAGTACTCAGGGTACAAGTCAAACATCATGCTTTTGCTAATACTCTAATGAGCACTAAATGATGAAATTTCCCCAAGATTTTATGTGGATAAAGCTGTGTCTGACATGTGAATAGAGTAAAGCAAATTGGCTACTAAACTTGAAGGTTTTTACAGTGATTCATCAGAAAGTATGTAATAAATTCTGGTTGGAACAGATACAGAACTTTTATGGTAAATAAACAATTGAGTATCAGAAATATGATTTCCTGGCTACTGTGAATCACACCAACTTTTATAACTTAAAAATATACACCTGTGATGTAGCTTACTTGGTAATATAATAAGATAGTACTTTAAGTAATAACTTGTAAACATCAAATAAAATATCAGTATTCTCTAGGAGACTTATACCCAATATACAAATATTTCCATCCATATAGTCTACACTTTAAAATTTTTGCTTACTAAATTATTATTTACAATTGTGTTCTAAATGTTTTCAATTTGATTTCACATTTTGGCTAGATAATATTTTGTTGTAGAAATACATTGTAGATGTAGGTGTCAGTAGACTATCCCTACTCTTCAGTTGTGACAATCAAAAAGTTCACAGACATTGCCAAATATCCCTGGGGTACAATGTTATTCCTAGTTGAGAGACTGTTTTATTTGTCTGACTCACGATGAGATTACTATTAACTAACGTCAAGAAAATTCACACATACTGCTAGGTAATATCTCCCGTATTTTGTATGTTTTTGTTGATTTTTGTAAATTCAAAGATAGAAACATATTTTTTCCTACTAATTACAATTCAAAGTAGTTGATTTTCAACATAAAGCTTTGTAGTAAGAAATTTACACTGTAAAACTGATTTTAAGAGGAAAAACTACTAAAATACTGAACTGAAAATCAGATATAACAATCACTTGTTTCATCTCTCAATGAAACAATGTACTTTTCAATGTATCTCTTCATTCTGTAGTTCTCTCATTTCTTTTAAAAAAAGTCTGTCTATACTAATAGACAAAGCCTCCTATTAAATGTCAGTCCTTGTACCTGTGCTTTGATTCCCATTCCTTCTCACTTCCTTAAGAATTTTTTTCCTTTAGTTATCCCCTCTCTCCCTTATCCTCAATCTCTTTTTCTATGGATCATTCTGTATTCACATAAATTAAAAATATGCTCTTTTCTCTAAAATTAAAAAAACCCCAAACTACTCCTTTTAACATCTTACTCCAATCCAGGTATTAATCTATTTTTCAGCACCCCTTCATAACCAAATATCTTTAAAGAGGTATTCAGTTGTGCTGTTTCCTCACCTGCCACTCTTCAGTTTAACAATATTTTGGCTTCTATTTCATTGCTTTTCTAAAATCGCTTTTTAAAGGGTCACTAACAACTTTCACAGAGCCAGACACACTCTAATCACTTTTCTGAACCTATCCTACTTAGCTTATCTGTAGCATCTGATGGAGTTTACCACTTCTTGAAACATTCCCCAGGTTTTTTGTTTTGTTTTGTTTTGTTTTTTCTTCTGTGAAGGTCTTTTCCTTTTTCTCTTCTCCCTGGCAACTCCTCTTCTTCCTGAAATTAAATGTTGAAATTCCTGATATCTCTATTCACAAATCTCCTTTTCTTCCCTACTCCCTTATCTCTCTCTCTTGCTTTCTCTTTTTCTCTCTTGTCTTCTTCCTTCTATGCTTCCTCCTTCCCCCACCCTTCTTCTAGGTAATTTCATTTATTCCCATGCCATTATATACCACCTATATGCTAAAGACTCAAATTATTGCCCTAGACCTCTCATCTGATATTCAGACTTACTTGTCCACTTGACATCTCCATTTATACAACAGACATAATAACATTTAACGTGTCTAAAACTGAACTCTTTATTTCCTACCACCACATGCCCCCTCCTATCTCAAGCTTCTTCACCTTTGTAAAAAATATCATGACAATAAGTGGCTCAAGCCAAAAT
Organism: Homo sapiens; assembly: GCF_000001405.40. Classification (NCBI taxonomy): domain Eukaryota; kingdom Metazoa; phylum Chordata; class Mammalia; order Primates; family Hominidae; genus Homo; species Homo sapiens. The sequence goes on along the minus strand of NC_000003.12, from coordinate 121,294,329 downwards.
CTGGGAATAATCTTTGATTCCACTCTCTTATCTCTCACATTGAATGATAATCAGTAGCTCTGTAAATGCTAATGATTTCCGAATCTATCCTTTTTTCTCCAACAGCGTTGCTATCACCCTAGTCAAGCCACTTCATTTCCTGCTGGAGTGCAATACTCGCCTTCTAATGGGTACACCAGCTTGCTTTCCTTTTTGGCTCCACAATATTTTCTTCACACAGCAGTGTGGATATTTATAGCATAAATCAAAGCATATCATTCCCCTGCTTAAATTAAAATATAATTTCTTGTAATTACTTCAGAAGCTTTTATGATCTTGTCCTTACTCATCTCTACAACAAAATCTTCACTCACTTTTTCTCTTCCGCATGACTATGTCAGCTTCCTTGCATTCTTTCTGTTTCTAGATGATATAGTTAAGTCCTTTACCATCCTAGAACCTTCTATTTTATTTATTTATTTACTTATTGAGGCAGAGTTTTGCTCTTGTTGCCCAAGCTGGAGTGCAATGGCACCATCTTGGCTCACGGCAACCTCCGCCTCCCGGGTTCAAGTGATTCTCCCGCCTCAGTCTCCCAAGTAGCTGGGATTACAGGCACCCACCAATACACCCGGCTAATTTTTTGTATTTTTAGTAGAGACAGGGTTTCGCCATATTGGCCAGGCTTGTCTTGAACTCCTGACCTCAGGTGATCCACCCACCTTGGCCTCCCAAAGTGTTGGGATTGCAGGCGTGAGCCACCGCACCTGGCCTAGAACCTTCTTATAAGCTGTTCACTCTGCTTGGAATGTGCTGTTCCCTGCTCTTCTTTGCGTTAGTTCTTCTTTTAAAAAATAGCCTTGTTAAGGTTTAATTAATGTTTATAAAATGTACTATTTGAATACATTTTGACATACGTATACATCCATAAAACCATCTTTGCAATTAACATAATAAACACTTCTGTCATGCCCAAGAGTTTCTTTGTGCCCTTTTGTAACCCTCTCTTCCAGCCCTCACCATATGTGTCCCTTCCCATTCCCAGGCAATTACTAATCTGCTTTCTGTCACTATGCATTGCTTTTCATTTCCTGGAATTCTATAGAAATGGAATCATACAGTAATGTGTCCTTTTTTTTCCTGATTATTTTTACTCACTACAATTATTTTGGATTCATCCATGTTGTAGTAGTTATCAATAGTATATTCTTTTTTATTGCGGAGCAGAGCACCATTGTTTGGATTTGCCAGAATTTGTTTATCCATTTACTTAATAAAAATTTGAGTTGTTTTAGTGTTTAAAATTTAAAATTTTTTTTTCGTTTTAATAGGTTTTTAGGTAACAAGTGGTGTTTATTTACATGGATAAGTAGTGGTGATTCCTGAGATTTTAGTGCACCCATAACCAAGCAGTGTGCACTGTACCCAATGTGTCATCTTTTATCCCTCACCTACCTCCCACCCTTTCCCTTGAGTCCCTAAAGTCCACTGTATCATTCTTATGCCTTTGCAGCCTCATAACTTAGCTCCCACTTATAAGTGAGAACTTACAATGTTTGGTTTTCCATTCCTGAGTTACTTCACTTAGAATAATGGTCTCCAACTCCATCCAGGTTGCTGCAAATGCCATCATTTCATTACTTTTTATGGCTCAGTAGTATTCCATGATATACCACATTTTCTTTATCCACTCGTTGATTGATGGCCATTTGGGTTGGTTCCATATTATTGCAATTGTGAATTGTGCTGCTATAAACATGCATGTGCAAGTGTCTTTTTCATATAATGACTTCTTTTCCTCTGGGTAGATACCCAGTGGTGGGATTGCTGGATCGAATGGTAGATCTACTTTTGGTTCTTTAAGGAATCTTCATACTGTTTTCCATAGTAGTTGTAGTAGTTTACATTCCTACCAGCAGTGTAAAAGGGTTCTCTTTTCACTATATCCATGCTAACATGTATTATTTTTGATTTTTAAATTACGGCCATTCTTGCAGGAGAAAGATGGTATTGCATTGTGATTTTGATTTGCATTTCCCTGATAATTAGTGATAAGCATTTTTACGTGTTTGTTGGCCATTTGTATATCTTCCTTTGAGAATTGTCTATTCATGTCTTTAACTCACTTTTTGATGGGATTATTTGATTTTTTTTCTGGCTGATTTGAGTTCCTATAGATTCTAGATATTAGTCCTTGTCAGATGCATAGTTTGTGAAAATTTTCTCCCACTCTGTGGGTTGTCTGTTTACTGATTATTTATTTTGCTGTGAGGAAGTTTTTAGTTTAATTAAGTCCCATCTATTTATCTTTGTTTTTGCTGCATTTGCTTTTGGGTTCTTGGTCATAAAGTCTATGTTTAAGCCAATGTCTAGAAAGGTTTTTCCAATGTTATCTTCAGAATTTCTATGGTTTCAGGTCTTAGATTTAAGTCTTTGATTCATCCTGAGTTGATTTTTGTACAAGGGTAGAAATGATGATCCAGTTTCATTTTTCTACATGTGGCTTGCCAATTATGCCAGGATCATTTATTGAATAGGGTGTCCTTTCCCCACTTTATATTATTGTTCGCTTTGTTGATGAGTTGGCTGCAAGTATTTGGCTTTATTTCTGGGCTCTCTGTTTTGTTCCAGTGGTCTATGTGCCTATCTTTATGTCAGTACCATGAAGTTTTGGTAACGATAGCCTTGTAGTGTAGTTTGAAGTCAAGTAACGTGATGCCTCCAGATTTTTTCTTTTTGCTTAGTCTTGCTTTGACAATGTGGGCTTTTTTGGTACTGTGTGAATGAATTTTAGGATTGTTTTTTCTAGTTTTGTGAAGAATAATGATGGTATTTTGATGGAAATTCCATTGAATTTGTAGATTGCTTTTGATAGCATGGTCATTTTCACAATATTGAGTCTACCCATCCATGAGCATGGCATGTATTTCCATTTGTTTGTGTTGTCCATTATTTATTTCAGCAGTGTTTTGTAGTTTTCCTTGTAGAGATCGTTCACCTCCTTAGTTAGGTAAATTTCTAAGTATTTTATTTTATTTTTTTTACAGCTGTTGTAAAAGGGGTTGAGTTCTTAATTTGATTCTCAGCTTGGTCACTATTGGTATATAGCAGTGCTATTGATTTGTGTACATTGATTTTGTATCCTGAAACTTTACTAAATTCACTTTTCAGATCCATGTGCTTTTTGGATGTGTCTTTAGGGTATTCTAGGCATACAATCTTATCATTGGCAAATAGTGACAGTTGGATTTCCTCTTTACTGATTCATATGCCCTTTATTTATTTCTCTTGTCTGGTTGCTCTGGCTAGGACTTCCAGTACTATGTTGACTAGAAGTGGTGAAAGTGGGCATCTTTGTTTTTTTCTAATTCTCAGAAGGAATGTTTTCAGCTTTCCCCCATTCCGTAAAATGTTGTCTGTACATCTGTCATAGATGGCTTTTATTACCCTTAGTTGTTTTCCTTCTATGCTGATTTTGCCGAGGGTTTTAATCATAAAGAGATGATGAATTTTATCAAATGCTTTTTCTGCATCTATTGAGATGATCATACGATTTTAAATTTTGTTTCGTGATGTATCACATTTATTGACTTGTGTATGTTAAACCATCCCTGCATCCCTGGTATGAAACCCACTTGATTGTGGTAGATTATCTTCTTGATATGCTGTTAGATTTGGTTAGCTAGTATTTTGTTGAGGATATTTGCACGTACGTTCACCAGGGATATCAGTCTGTAGTCTTCTTTTTTGTTATGTCCCTTCTTGGTTTTGATATTAGGGTGATACTGGCTTCACAGAATGATTTGGGGGGAGGATTCCCTCTTTCTCTATCTTCTGGAATAGTTTCAATAGGATTGGTACCAATTCTTTTTTGAATGTCTGATAGAATTCAGCTGTGAATCCATCTGGTCCTGGACTTTTTTTGTTGTTGGCAATTTTTTAAATTACCATTTTAATCTCACTGCTTGTTATTGGTTGGTTCAGAGTTTCTATTTCTTCCTGGTTTAATCCAGGAGGGTTGTATATTTCCAGGAATTTATCCATCTTCTCTAGGTTTTCTAGTTTGTGTGCATAAAGGTGATGATAGTAGTCTTGAATGACCTTTTGTATTTCTGTTGTATTGGTTGTAATATTTCCCATTTGTTTCTAATTGAGTTTATTTGGATCTTCTCTCTTCTTTTCTTGGTTAATATCATTAATGTTCTGTCAATTTTGTTAATCTTTTCAAAGAACCACATTTTGGTTCATTTATCTTTTGTATTTTTTGTTTGTTTCAATTTCATTTAGTTCTGCTCTGATCTTTGTTCTTTCTTTTTTTCTGCTGGGTTTGGGTTTGCTCTTGTTTCTCTGGTTCCTTGAGGTGTGACCTTAGATTGTCTATTTGTGCTCTTTCAGACTTTTTGATGTAGGCATTAATGCTATGAACTCTCCTCTTAGCACTGCTTTTGCTGTATCCCAGAGGTTTTGATAGGTTGTGCCACTATTACCACTCAGTTCAAAGAATTTTTAAATTTCCATCTTGATTTCATTGTTGACCCAACTATCATTCAGGGGCAGATTATTTAATTTCTATGTATTTGCATAGTTTTGAGGGTTCCTTTTGGAGTTTATTCCACTGTGTGAATTTTATTCCACTGTGGTCTGAGAGAGTACTTGATATAATTTTGACTTTTAAAAATTTATTGAGACTTGTTTTGTGGCCTATCATATGGTCTATCCTGGTTAATGTTCCATGTGCTCATGAATAGAATGTATATTCTGCAGTTGTTGGGTAGAATGTTCTGTAAATATCTGTTAAGTCCATTTGTTCTAGGGTATAGTTTAAGTCCATTGTTTCTTTGTTGACTTTCTGTCTGAATGACCTGTCTAGTGCTGTCAGTGGAGTACTGAAGTACTGCACTATTATTGTGTTGTTGTTTATCTCATTTCTTAGGTCTAGTAGTAATTGTTTCATAAATTTGGGAGATCCTGTGTTAGATGCATATAAATCTAGAATTGTTATATTTTCCCGTTGGACTAGTCCTTTTATCATATTTAATGTCCCTTCCTGTCTTCTTTAAACAAGAAGGGACATTCTTTAAACAATGTCCCTTCATGTCTTTCTTAAATATTGTTGCTTTAAAGTCTGTTTTGTCTGATATAAGAATAGCTACTCCTGCTCACTTTTGGTGTCCATTTGCATGGAATGTTTTTCTACTCCTTTACCTTAAGTTTATGTGAGTCCTTATGTGTTGGGGGAGTCTCTTGAAGGGGAACAGATACTTGGCTGGTGAACTGCATGTTGTGGGAGTTTGGTGTACAGATTATTTAGTCACCCAGTAATAAGTATAGTGCCTGGTAGGTATTTTTAAAATCCTCTCCCCGCTCTCACACTCCACCCTCAAGTAGGCCCCAGTGTCTGTTGTTCACTTCTTTTTGTCCATGTGACATAGGACCTGACAAAGATTTCATGATGAAGATGCCAAAAGCAATTACAACAAAAACAAAAATTGACAAATAGGACCTAATCAAACTAAATAGCTTGAGCACAGCTATAAAAACTATCAACAGAGTATACAGACAACCTTCAGGATAGGAGAAAATATTTGCAAATTATGCATCCAACAAAGGTTTAATACTCAGAATCTGTAAGAAATGTAAACAAATTTGTAACAAAAAAAATGATTTTATTAAAAAGTAGGCAAAAGACATAAATAGACACCTTTCTAAAGAAGACACACATGATTCCAACAAGCATATGAAAAAATGCTCAACACCTCCAATCATTAGAAAAATGCAAATCAAAACCACAATGAGATACCATCTCACACCAGTCAGAATGTCCATTATTACAAAGTCAAAAAATAACAGATGTTGGAGAGACTGTGGATGAAAGAGAATGCTTATACACTGTTGGTAAGAGTGTATATTAGTTCAGCCATTGTGGAAATCAGTGTGGCAATTTCTCAAAGAACTTAAAACAGAATTATCACTCAACCCAGCAATCCCACTATTATGTATATACCCGAAGAAATATAACTTGTGGTTTACCATAAAAACACATGCATGCGTATGTTTACTGCAGCACTATTCACAATGGCAATAACATGGAATCAGTCTAAATGCCCATCAACAGTAGACTGGATTAAGAAAATGTCATACATGTACACCATGGAACACTACACAGCCATAAAAAAGAATGAAATCATGTCATTTGCAGCAACATGAATAGAGCTGGAGGCCATTATTCTAAGCTAACTAATGCAAGAACAGATTCTTCTTTTTAAAAGCTGTTTTGGCTACTCTAAATCCTTTGAATTTCTGTATGAACTTTAGAATCAGTTTGTCAGTTCCTACAAGAACATCTGCTGTATTTTTATTGGGATCTAGCATTGAAACAACAAATCGATTTGGAATGAACTGCCATCTTAATAAAATTGAGTTTTGTGAGACATAAACTTGGTGTAACTATTTATTTAAGTCTTCTTAACTTTTCTTAGCAATGTTTTCTGGTTTTCCATGTGTGGGTCTTTCTTTTTTTTTGAGATGGAGTCTCGCTCTGTCACTCAGGCTGGAGTGCAGTGGCGCGATCTCGGCTCACTGCAACCTCTGCCTCCTGGGTTCAAGCAATTCTCCTGCCTCAGCCTCCTGAGTTTCTGGAATTACAGGAGCCCGCCACCACGCCCAGCTAATTTTTGTATTTTTAGTGGAGACGGGGTTTCACCATGTTGGTCAGGCTGGTCTCGAACCCCTGACCTCGTGATCCACCCACCTCAGCCTCCCAAAGTGCTGGGATTACAGGCATGAGCCACCGCGCCCGGCCCATCAATGTGTGGGTCTTTCGTATCTGTTGTCTCATTTATGGCTAAGTACTTCTTATTTTTGATGATATTGTAAATGGTAATTTTAAATTTCAATTCAGATTGTTGTATGCATATAGAAATACAATGGAATTTTGTATATTAACCTTATATCCTGCACATTGTTAAACTCACATTTTTAGTTCTAGTAGCTGTTTTTGGCAGATTTCATTAAGTTTTCTTCATAGACAATCATGTGTTCTGTGAATAAAGACTATTTACCTTCTTCTTCCTTTCCAAATCTAGATAACTTTTATTTCTTATTCTTGCTTGACAACATTGTCTAAAATTTCCAGTACAATGTTAAATAGAAGTGGATGTGAGTTATGAACTATTTCTATTTAGGGTAGTGGAAATGGCACTATTTCCTTTATTTGAGTGTTGGGCACTGTTTCCTTTAATCCTTTCAGATGGCTCTTTACCTGTTCCTGGATAGCTGCATCATATGTATACGTTGATCAGCACTTTGCTCTAGGAGGAAACACTGTAGATCTCTGAAATTCTTTTGTGAGCTGTAGATGCTTTGGTTTCTTTGGTTTCTCATCTTCATCTCCCAGCCTAAAAAGCTCAGTGGTTTCCTCCTGGGCTTCCCCTCCCTTTGCTACAGTCTAGAAATTATCTTGCCATAGTAAATGCGTGTGATTGTTAGGTTTCCCATCTGTCCCATCATTTTTTTTTTTCATTGTTTGATACCCCGTGTCTTAAAAACCATTGTTTTCATTTATTTTGTCTATTTTGGGGGAATGGGTGTGGGGTTTTCAGGCAGGAGGTTAAATCTGGTACTTGCTACTCTATCTTTCTATCTTGGTTGGTAGTGAGAATCTAAAGCTTTGACTATTTATCTTGCAAAACTTCACTTAAATGTTTCCATGTTGGATAGGCCATTCCCTGACAACACTTTCAAAAATAGGTCCACCTTATCTCATTTTTCCCTATTATTGCATTGCCACCTTTCTTCAATTATCTATGACTTTATTTATCTGTATATTACCTGTTATAAATGAAAGGAAAAGACCATAATTGTTTCACTCATCACTATGTACTTAATGCCTAGAAAAATGTTTGACACAAGAGATGCTCAGTAAAATATTATTTGAATGAATGTTTTCCCCATTTATTGTTTACCATAATTTTTGCTGATTTTTGTTTCTTAAAGCATTTCTTCTTTAATTTTTTGTTTACTTCTCCATTCCTGACTTTCTGTTCGTTTTACAATACTTATTTGCCTTTCTTGGATAGTTCTCTTATCATCCCCTTTTCTTTTATTTCTTCTTTATGTTTCAGGTGTTTTTAGGATCTGTTATCATACCCCTACCCTTTGAAAAGAAAGGGATAATAGGCCTGGGACTCTCCAAAGGATCCCTTGTTGCATAACTAGAAATTGATGCACAAGCAATGTAGACAATTCTCTACATTAAGCCTACTTTTCAAACTTCCCTTGATTCAAATGGCATAATATCAGTTTTTAAATAGCAAAATTTATGTGATTATCATAAGTAGAACTGTTGCTAGGCAATGAGGCAGCAGCCTGAGTTTTAGTTCTACGTATTCCATAGATTTCTTATGATTCTGGAAGTTATTTAACCTCTCTGTGGTGTGGGTTGGTTCATCTTTTATAATAATTATAATAACTAACATTTATAGAATCACTTTTATTAACATTAACCCAGAAAAGTTCTACAACTCTCTAAGGGAGGTAGAAATTGCAATTTTTACTTTATATATTAGAAGAAAGAAACTCAGAGTGATTAAATGCCTTGTTTAAGATTATAAATGTATGAAGTAGCTAATAAATGGAAAAGGTAAAACAATGTAAATCTTCTGATCAGATGTCTGCTGTTCTTTTCAAAGCGTTTTTCTGCTTCTAAAAATCATAATCTGTAGAACACGAAAGTTTTCTTTCAACTACAAAATTTTATTATTCTATGATGTGAAAGTTTTGCCGCTTGGTAATTTAAAAATTTGGGGAGGTCAGCTGTTTGGAGCCTAACCTATGGAATAAGGTGACCAGTAAAAGAGTCATTGATATAATTTCATTGAGTGTGCAAAAACTGAGGTGTTTTCTGATTATAAAATAACGGACTTGGTTTCCAATGTTCCTGAAACTTTAAAAAAGACACTTAGAGATCCAAGATTATACAGTGAAAAGCCTATCGAGTAATTTTAGTGTCAGATAGGCATAAGTTTGGGTCCCACTTATTCTGTGTGGCTTTGAGAGACTAATTTCATTTTTTTCAACTTCAATTTTCTCATGTGTAGAGAAATATACTAATATATATCAATCTGCCTCAAAGGGTTATAATCACTAGTGGATAATATAACACTGAGTCAAACTGACTAGCAGAGTAGAATAGATAATCAATGGAACTGGGTTCTATTACCCCAAATATGAACAATGCATATATGCTTTTCTGAAAGTTAGTAAGCAATTAATGAAAAGGCTGAGCAGTGTCTACTATAATAAAGTGAGACTATAGAAATATAATCAGATTATATTATCCAATAGTTAAACTTCAAGTCAAATTTTCATTAAATGTATTTTGAAAAGCAATTGTAGGATATGCCTTTGAGTGGTTAAAGAATCAATCCCTTTTCATAATATACAATATCAATCATTCAGAGAAGACTTTTAGGAAATCTGATTTGAAATCCTAGAGCTTGTCTGAGCCCTTGTGGGGCCCACTGGTAGAGACACGGGGATTTCTTTAAGTCCTTCAACAGACTTGATTTTACTTCTGACTTAAAACGTTAGGTCTCTAGTTAGAAACTATGATTACTTTTGCAAAATTCTGGTGAACCTGTTACCTAGTTCTTCTCTCATTTGTCAGATTTGAAAAGTTTTCTGGCAGTTCATGTGAGAGAATAAAGTCTGCTGCCATGCTCTATCCTACTGACATCATCATTTACATAGAGACCTTGTGACTTGTGCTAGATGCAGGGAATATAAAGAATTTTAGATATGGTCTTGAGATTCTTGTCATGCATTTGGAAAGGCAGAACAAAAGTATAAAAGTAAGTAGCCATACAAATGAATCTAGGCTAAATGTCAACTAAATGGTTCAGGCAAGCCTGTACTGTGTACAAACCTGGACACTGGAAGCATTTAAATAAAGGAATTGGCACAACAGGGCTCTGATGGTGGTAGGAAAGGCTTACTATAGAAAGTAAACTTTTAGCAGGGCATTTCCAGAGAGTGGATAATATGAGTAAAACATAATGGTAGTAAGATACAAAAATTTGGCTTAAGAGGAGAATAGTAGAAAATCCATTTGAGGTTGTTGATAGAAATTATACTTTAGAGGATCCTGAATGATGGGCTGAAAAAAAATTCTGAAGGAAATATAAGGAATATAAGAAAATATATTATTGAGATTTCTCAGAACTTTTAAAAACTTTACATCATGGCTGATATTATAGGATCCTGATGAACTAAGAGCCCGCTTCTGCTCCTGACCTTCAGTCTCCAATTTAGCTTCTTAGCATAAAATAATTACAAGTTTATTACAGAAAAATCAGAGTATACTGTAAAGCCAAAAGAAGTCTGTAAAATCCACAAAGCCATGTTCCAGAAACTTTTCTGTCTACACACACACACACACACACACACACACACACAAGCACACACACAAATGTAGGAGATCCTACCTTCAGAAGGCTAAACTGGGATTCTGAAATCTGAATATGTGTATTAAACTACCCTGAGACTATTTACAGAAAGGTTTTGGCTGAAATCCTTTATGTGGTGCAGAGGATGGGTATGAAAAAATGGCACAGAGCAGGAATCAGCAAACTTTAATGTAAAGAACAGGATAGTAAACATTTTAGGCCTTGTGGGCATATAGTTTCTGTTGCAGCTACTCAACTCTGCCATTGTAGTGTGAAAGCATTTAAGGACAATATATAATGAATGATTGGGACTATGTTCCAATAAAACTTTATTACAGAAACTGAAATTTTATAAAATTTTCAGATGTCAAGAAATATCACAGTTATCATAGTATCAAATAAGCTTCTGTTTTAGGAGCAGCAGAAGCCAACATAGATACCAATATTCTCGCACACAGCAACAGGAACAGAGAGAGTGGGAAGGATTCCTAAAAGGGGGTGCTCTGCTAGAGTAGAAAACTAGAGAATATTTATGAGCAAAAATTACTCAACTTCTAGGCATTCCCAGGAACATTTTAAGGATTTCATAGAGACTGACTTTTGTAAGCTAAGGGCATAAACCAGTAAAGTTTTAGGTTTTATTACTGATAAGATTCCATTAGTATCTATGAACTGGTGAGGTCTGAAGGAATTCAGGTTACAAACAACATATATGTGTGAGTGTGTGTATATAATGTATAATGTATATGTTATACAACTATAAGGCCATTTTGTATATATTGTTAAACAACCTGCTTTTTAACAGAATATATTAACATATGATAAACATTTTTTATGTCAATAAATATTTACCGATAAAATCACTAGTCTCATCTGTACCTCCAGTCACACACACTCTCACTCTTCATCCTTTCTATACCAGTTTTTATAATTGCTTACTCTAGATATCTTCGGATCTGTGTTTGATACCATGGTAAAGGTTGATATTATTTATTTGTTTACTTTTTACCTTAATTATCCTACTTTATAATGTCTGAGTGCCTTAAATCACCATAGAAATATGTTTGTATATTTTAATAAAAATCATCAGAAATCAGGAATACTTAGTTATCTTCAAGGAATATAATTATTTAAAAGAAGCAAATATTGTGACCCTGGTTAGAATAGTATTATAAAATGGCCAAAGCATAAGGTTGCCAAAATAAGAAAGCATTAACTTATTACTGATACTGGCATGTCAGTAATAAGTTTTATTATTTACAGGGCATCATAGCTCTTCCTCCTCAAAATAAAAGACAGTGACTCTTGGAATAGTAGGACATGGTCTGCATGGTTGGAAATAAACACTGAAACAATGGGTATGATTGAATGGGTACAGGACAAAAATGGATTGAAATATTTCTATAATAATGTTTATTAAAATTATCAGGTTGCACACCATAACAAAACAAAAATTTGCATGCATGCTGAATGTGTTTTAAGAAACACATTACTGAGCACTGATGTATGGATTTAACTCAAGCATTATGTCTTAAAAAGGCTATTTGCCTAACCTTTATATAACTTACTCTGATAGGAAGTACGGATCCGTTTCGTTAAATCAGGATAAAAGTTAGACAGGCCACGCATGCAAAAGTTGTCTTTGGAACATGCCAGACCACCAGCATCAGCAGCAGGCAGAAGAAAGAGAAAAAAAAGTCTAAAGTGAAAGGAAGTGATATCATACCAGAATCTAGAACAGCCAAGATGAAGAAATTGCAGCAAGATTAGGTAATTAAATTAGAAGGAGATATTAATAAAATAAATCAATTATAAAGTAAGAGGCGATAGATGAATGATGAGAATGCGGTAGTAATTTTAACATTTATTTAAATATTTAATATAAAAATATTTATAAATATTTATTTTTATCTTATTTAAATGTCTTATAAAAGTAGATGGCACATTTTCCTTATATGTTTTTACAAAATACACTTCTTTGGCTTGTAACTAATATGTATAAATTATTTCATTAATAAAAAATGATTGTCTTTAATCCTTCAGCAATTAAAAAGAAAGCTAAAGATTTCAGTCTTTAATACTTCATTGTTATAATATAAAGTGAGTTCTCACTGTGTCATCTTGTACACTAAACACAAACTGAGTTTATAACTTCACAGATTTTCCTGATTTTAAAGTCATCAATGTTCTAAGCTCTAGTAGTAACTGTTAAGGTTCAAGCAGTTTAATTTAAATTAAATAATAATTGTATTACCTTTGTCAAATTATGTACTTTTTTTGCCCCACTGTGTATATCCAGCAAGTGATTTAGATATTGTCATAGGATTCACAGCTTTTCTGATTATATTGGTGCTTTTAGCATTGCAAACTGAACACCTGAAATATGGTTATTATGACTGAGGAACTAAATTTTTAATTATAAATAGCCTACTGCCCCCTAACACCTTTCTATCCTAGAGTCCATCAACTTCAAACTTGTCTTTCCTAATCATGAGGAAACCTCACGTTATGTGAATGTACAGTTGCTTGTTATTTTGTCTTCCTTTCAAAATCTGGTAGTGATAGAGGCAAAAT